>NC_000008.11:18344951-18647981 GCF_000001405.40 Homo sapiens | reverse complement strand
ATCTGCTCAGCTTCTGGGGAGGCCTCGGGAAACTTTAAATCACAGCAGAAAGTGAAGGGGGAGCTGGCACTTCACATGGCCGGAGCAAGAGGAAGAGAGAGAGGGGGCAGGTGCCCCACACCTTTAAACAACCAGATCTCATGATGACTTAACTCACTCACTCACTATCATGAGAACAGTACTAAAGGGGGTAATGCCATTATGATCGAGTCACCTCTCACCAGGCCCCACATTCAACATTTGGGATTACAATCCAGCATGAAATTTGAGCGGGGACACAGATCCAAACCAAATCACTCCCTTATCCTAGTTTAAAAAAAAAAAAAAATCATGTATTGGCTCATTTTAATAAAGTCAGCCAAAAAAAAAAAAAAAACAGTTTTAAATAATGAACTTCTGGATTCCCTCTGCACTTGTGCACCCTCCATGTTTTAGTTACAGCAGCATTGGCCTTGCTTTGTCATTTAGCACATTTGTTCTTTTTAACTCTGGATAAGCATTTTACAACTTTGCATCGTGGAATAATCTTTCCTGCAATTTCATATTGCCCTACAACTCATTTTATAACAATAACAGTTTAAAACATTTGCTGTATTTGCTAATAAGTTAAACTATTTCCCATCTGCCCTCACATATTAAATTGTTCTGGCTAATTAGGTGAGGTGGTAGCACATTGATATCTTTCTGTCCTTCCAGTCATGTGTTATGATAGCCCTGAGCTTTAGAAAGTGTGGTTTTAAATACCAACAGTTTGTAGTTTGGCTTTTCATTTCCTTGTTGCAAATTTAAGTCATGACTGGTCTTTTCAGGAAATCAGTGCTGCCTCTTTGTTGGCTGATTTGCTGAAATTAGGAAGTAGAGAAAATTTTGCAAAGATTTCCTCCCACTTCTTTGCCATTATGTTTAACACTGCCCATGAAGGTGTGAGTGTGTGCATGTACATCTCTGTGTGTATTCTTGGGGGATGATAGAGGCAATGGGATTACTATTACCTGTTTTTTATGTGGGTACCTTGATTGTTCATTCAACCCAATGGCCTAAATATGAAATTGGTAACTAGTTCCAAAGTCTCTTTGTTTTGTGAACTCTTAAGAAAACTCTTTTTCCGAGTAAAGAAGCCTTCTAGGGCTCTTTTACTTTCATTATTTGGTTCCCTTATCATATTTTACTTAACTCAGCATTGATTCTCATTTCATTTTAGGTATTAATACATATTAATTAAAATGTAATCTCAGTTGTTTCTCTGTGAGAGTTGGTAATCTCATAAGGACGAATAGTTTTCTTTTCACCCAAGAGTTTTTCTATTAGTTTAGACTGATTTAGTTGTACCACCTTACACTTTTTAATATAATTTGTCGCCTTTCATTTAAGTTTTTCATTTTTTTTGTTGTAGTGCTTCATTTTGTTTATTTGCCAACATTAGAATCAGCCATGAAGAAAAGTTGGAATCCCTTGTGTGTACTTTTTAGAATTGAACTTACATCCTAATGAAAAGAGTTCTTCCTAATTTTAGTTAAAATATTTTTTACCTTGACATAAAATTATTTGGTTTTCTTTCAAAAAGGCAACTCATGGTAATTTCCTTTTTTTGCAATGACTTACTACATTAAATAACTGTATATCCTTAATCCCTAGTGAATATAGATATATAAAATTGTTAATCAGAGTAGTGTTTCTTAATAGTAGATGTAGATTAATGAAGGAAAACTTTCTTGCTCGAAAAAGTTATTTGGGATGAAGACATTTATGAGGGAACTTTAAAATGAAAGTAATTTTCATTTTAAACTTCAATGTAGCCATCTGTAGGTTGGCAATCATTACTAACAAGAAAACTAAGGCAAGAAGAAGTTGCTATTGTGCCTCTTGAAATACTAGAATAACATTCTCAGTGTCATTGCTGTCTATGGGACTATACTCACATTCCTAACCAGCAGAAACTACATCATACTGGACTCTTGGTAAAATATTAAGCTGGACAATGGTATAGATAAAACATATATTTTAAATATATAACCAAAAATTTAATTTGAGTGTGTGCAGAGAGAGGTAGGGAGCTTGGCATTTAGGGTCATAGGTAGAGACAACTCACCATGGAAAAACTGATAAAATTATTTGCACGAGATATTTGACTACAAAGAAGGAATAATGCATTCATTTATTGTTGGGAGAAACAGAAGGAATAAAACTCAGTTCTCCACTTGAGGTGCTCATACAATTAAATGACTTTTCTAGATACTCATTACACCTCATTGAAATTCTAGAATGAGATTTAGTGTTCTCATTGTCATTGCTCTCTGTTTCACTGTACTCAAATTCCTAACATGGCAGATACTGTGTCACGCTGGACTCTTGGTAAAATAATAATGCTAATGTTAGTACTAGCATAACAAACTTACAAGACAATCTATACGAAGAATAACTAAGGTTAAATCTATATATGTATAGTGGTTATGTAAAGGATATTATTGGTTTGATTGTTCTATTTATATTCAGCAAAGACACCCTGACTGTAAGAAAAGAAACAGAAATGCCATAGTTATGAAAAATTGACCATTAACTTGAAGGAAATATTGAACTAAAGAGTTGAGACCACTTAATTTTGTTAGCTATTGATTATTAGAGTTTTCTACAGTAAAGTATTTTTAAATTAAAAAATTGTTAGCTAAAAATGATATTGAACATGAATTAATCTTCTGGATTTTGGTATTTAAAGGAAAAAGATTTTCAGTGGTTAGAATTAAGGAAGACTCTTGCTATGGTGTCAGCATGTCCCCAGAGTTCATGTGCTAGAAACTTAATCCCCAATGCAGTGTTAGGAGGTAACACCTAATTAGAGACTGTTAGGTCATAAGGGAAAAGGGCTCTGCCCTAATTAATGGATTAATGTTATCAAGGGAGTGGGTTAGTTATCGTGAGAGTAGTTTTGTTTTAAAAGCAACTGTGATCCCCAACTCGCTCTCTTGCGCTTTCTTGACCTTCTGCCTTACTAGGAGAAGGGCAGCAAAGCACAAGAGAGCAGGTGGGGGTTAGAGAAGACCCCAGCAAGGAGGCCCTCATCAGATGCAGGCCCCTTACTTGACTTTGAACTTCCAGCCTCCAATACTGTAAGAAATAAATCTCTGTTCATTTTAAATTATGCAGTTTGTGGAATTCTTTCACAGCAACCCAAAACAGACTACGACAGAAGATTGGTACCGAGAATTAGGGCTGTTGCTATAACAATAAGCTGAAAATGTGGAAGGGGCCTTGGAATTGGGTAATCCACAGAAGCTGGGACAGTTATGAAGTGAATGCTAGAAAAAGCCTAGACTGCTGCAAACGGAGCATTGTGGGCAGTTGGGTGAGGGCTCAGGAGAAGACAAGAAATTTAAGGACCATCTGGGACTTCTTAGACATTACTTAAGTGATCATAATTAGAATGTTAGTAGAAACATGCATAGTAAAGTCCATTTTGATGAGGTCTCAGGTAGAAATGAAGAACAAGGTATTTGAAACTGGAGTAAAGACTGTCCTTGTAATAAAGTCACAGAGAACTTGGCTGAATTGTATTCTTGTCCAAGGGCTTTAGGGAAGGCAGAATTTATGAGCAAGGAGCTAAGATATCTGGTGCAATAAATTTCAAAGCAAAATGTTGATGGAGCTAAGTAGCTACTTTTAACCACATACAGTAAGATATGAGAGGAATGACTTAAAGATAGAACGATAATTAAAGGAGAAGCAGAAGAAAGATTTTGAAAATGTTCAGCCTGGCCTTACAAAGAATGATAAAGCATGCTTGGGAAAGCAAACCACAGTTGTGGCCAAGCAACCATTTGCAAAGATATTGTTATGGATACAAGAGATCAAGACAATGGGAGAATGACCCCTGAAAACATTTCAGAGATCTTTGAGGCTGCCCATTCCATCACAGTCCCAGAGGTGTAGGAGGGCAGAATGGTTTCAAGGGATGGGCCCAGGGTGCTCTCCACCAGAGCCCCCTCAGTTCTCTGCTCCCCACATTCTGGCACAGCATTCCTTGGCTACCCCAGCCGTGGTGTAAGCCGGCCTAGCTACAGCTTAGCCCACTGTTCTAGGAAATACAAGCCATAAACCTTAGCAGCATCCATGTGGTGCTAATTCTGCAGGCACACAGAATGTAAGAGCTGTAGAGGCATGGCTTTCTTTACCTAGATTTCAAAAGATGTGGGATATTCCATGACAGCTGCTGGGTCGTCTAAGCCCAGTGAAGTCATAGGATTGGGGCTGCCTGAGGCCTTGGGGGCCCAACCCCAATTCCAGTGTTTTCAGGATTTGGGACATCAAAGGAAACTATTCTCCAGCTTTAAGTCTTAATGTTGTTTTCCCTATTTGGTTTTGGAGTTGGGTTTTGTTCATTCTTTTTTCTTGCCTATTTCTCCCTTTTGGAATGGGAGCATCTATGTCTGTCTCACCATAGTATTTGAAGTAGATAACTTGTTTGATTTCACAGGCCCACAGCTGGTGGGAAATTTGCCTAAGGATGAATCATGCCTCAAATTGACCTGTATCTGATTTAGGTCAGAGTTTGGACTTCGGACTTCTGAGTTGGTGCTAGAAAGAGTTAAAACTGGGGTCACTGTGATGAAATGAATGTATTTCAGAGGCCACAGACAGAATACTATGGTTTGAATATGTCCCCCAACCATTAGGCAAGGCTTCATAAGAGGTGCTTAGGTCATGAGGGCTATGAGTGGATTAAGGTTGTTACTGCAGGAGTGGGTTTCTTATAAAACCAAGTTCACAGCCCTCTTCCTCTCTCACACTTTCTTGCCCTTGCACCTTCCACAATGGGATGATGTAGCAAGGGAGTCCCTCATCAGATTCAGGACCCTTGACTTTGGACTTCCCAGTCTCCAGAACTGTAAGAAATAAGTCACCATTCGTGATAAACTCCTCAGCCAGTGGAATTCTGTTTTAGCAACACAAAATGGACTAGGACAGCTCTCTCATATGGCTCTGTGAAATGTAATTTTATCAAGAACCTAAAGCATATCTCATACTTAATCTGAGCTCACACTTAAGATTTAAGTACTTGTTTTCTCAGCTGAACTCAGGTGTATAGGAAACTGGAAAGATTTGCCACCCAGTTCTTAGCTTTAAAAGGCCAAATTTTTTTAAAAAATGACAATACATTGTTTGCTTCATGTCTAAGTGGCATTTCTCTTGATAATGAGATTGAGATGGATACTTAGAAATTTTAAGGGTTTTATTGTGAAAAGCTTAAATATTTCTAAATATGATGAAAGTTATGTACTTTACAAATATTGTTATCTTCATTTCACATTATCTTCAGAATATTCAGAGCAGACAGGTTGGTGAGCAGATGGAATGTGATTATGTTAGTAGCCTACTTGTCCTAAAGCATTTTTAGAATCACTGAGGAGCAAAGAATTATGGAGGCTGGGATGTAAAGAAAGCATTTTTCTTAGTATGCTAAGGATAGAGAATCTTATATCCTCTATATCAATTGCTAAGTGCTTGATGTTTGATGAGGAATGATACAAGATGATATATAATAAATATAGTTTCTGAATGATTTTTAATGTGTATATGAGGAGCATTTTAGACAGTAGTTGTTTCATTGAGCATTTATGTACTCGTACATTATAATTTATACATATATGTATATTTTTTAAAGGTGAGAAAATTTAGCCAGATCAAGAATACTCAAGGAAGTTATTTTTAGTTGCCCCTTAAAAATTTTCCAATAGATCTTTTGGGAATACCTAACATGTGGCTTGACCCCAGTGTATTTTCAGAAACTTTTTTAACCATTGGTTAAGTTTGTCTTGGTTTGGAAAGCATACTACAGTCATTGTACATATGGTCAGATCCTTTATTTAGAAAGCCAAGTTACTAGCCTACATCTTTCTCATATCTGGCAGCATTTTTCTTGGTATTAAAAGGCTAGTGATGAAGCCTAACATTTTTAATAAAGCATAGTCTCTTTTTTACTTTTAGGATTCCTGTGTCAAAATAAGGTATTTTTAGAGAATAGAATGCAATTCATATTTTCAGCAGAATTTTAAAATTTAACTACATGCTTTCTTTTTTATTTTTGGTAAGTGACAAAGATCCATTTTAGACTCATCCTGCCTCGTGGTATAATGTGATGTGGTATAATAGAAACCCCATGATAACTCAGCACATTTTTTATAAGTTCATTCTTCGCTTTATTTTCCTGCAATCATCTGATCACAGTATTGAGATGTGAGCCACCTTAGTGTTCTGCCCCTGCATTCAACCACCACCTTTATTTTTTAAACTGCTTTATTGAGGTGTAATTTTTATGCCATAAAATTCACCCACTTAAGTGTACCAATTTTATGCTACACCAATGTTTGTAACTTTGCACACTTGTGTAACAACCACCGTAGTTTATCACCCCATTTCCATCACCCAACAAGGATTTCTTGCATTATAATTTAGCATGTTTGATACAGACTCTTCCCTCCTCTCTGATCCTGTACTGCTTTGTACACAGCTCTGTGGAGACATATAGTATTTTATAAAAAATGTTTTAGCCAATATTTTGTGTATCTGTTTCCCCTACTGGATGATGAACCCCTCGAGGGGTCTTAATCATCATGATATCAGGACTGCCTAGCACACACTGCCTGGCAACTTAGAGCTCCTTCCCATCACTACTCAGCTGGCCCTGATGCCCAGGGATACCAGTTCCCAAGCATTGCTTCCTGGAGGAGAGCAGGGACTTGGTAACATCTAGCTTCTAGGCTGGTTGTAAGGTGAGGAAATTAAATTACAGGGATCATGGTAATGATTGCCAGTACAAGGTGGACTTTGGGACCTGATTTATAACCCCTACCCTTCTGTAATGTTCTGGCTAGAGGAGTGTATACACAGAGCAGAGAGCTGAGTGAAATGAAGTCAAGCCTCTGCTGTGTAATGCAGAGTGCAAGGCACCTGCAGAAAGTTATACTGGAGAATGTGACTGGGACCTGAGTGGCCACCAAGCCTGCTGAGCTCCCCAGCCTAACCATATTACAGGCTGTGAAATCAGAACTAAAGGAGCAGAGGTGAGCTCTGCCCCACTGGGTTTGCCACATAGTAAGGCAAAAGGGATAGAGCGGTTTACCTGATGCCAAAGAAGTAGTGGGGGCAAGTGTCGAGTTTCTCTTTTGAGACACTCAAAGGTAGGTCAGTGGGGCTAATTAGTTCTGCTTCCTAAATAGAGAGGAAAGAACAGGGCTTTCTTCTGCCATCTTCCCTCCAGTCTTACTGATGTATTAGTCCATTCTCATGCTGCTATAAAGAACTGCCCAAGACTGGGTAATTTATAAAGGAAAGAGGTTTAATTGACTCACAGTTCCGCAGAGGTGGGAAGGCCTCAGGAAACTTACAGTTATGGCAGAAGGGGAAGGAAACACGTCCTTCTTCACATGGTGGCAGGAAGGAGAAGAATGAGAGCCAAGTGAAGGTGAAGGGCCTTATAAAACCATCAGATCTCACGAGAACTTAATATCACACGAGTAGCCTGGGGGAAACTGCTCCCATGATTCAGTTACCTCCCACTGGTCCCTCCCATGACACATGGGGATTACAGGAACTACAATTCAAGATGAAATTTGGGTGGGGACACAGCCAAACCGTATCACTTAACAATGTATGCAGTTTTGTTGTTGTGGAGGGTTTGCATGGTAAAACTTGGGGTACCTGCTCCATATCTTAGGGGAGAGGCTTTTTGCAGTATTTAGCCTACACTTAGCAGCATAGGTTTCCATTTAGGGTCAATGCTGTGGAGACACATGGAATATCCTGATCTTTTGTTGTGGTTTTGTATTGGTCTATATCAACGGAGTTCTACAATCATGAAATACTAGAACTAGAATGGATTCACGACCACAGTCTGCTTCCAAGAGCTGTTTTTTGAAAGTGAATGGGGATTCCAGAGACCTTTCTACTCATCCTGGGCTCCCACTCCCTGGACAGGCTTTGCATGGCTTGTATTTACTGACTTAGAGCAAGCTTCAAATTTTACATATGAGGAGGCTGAGATCTAGAGAGATGCTGCAGCTTATTCAGGATCACAGTGAAGTTTATGGAAGAGCAAGTACTGAGACACAGTTGTCCCAGTTTTTCTTCTCTAGGGCACACTCCCATCTGCAAAAGTGATAAAATTAATCTGAAGCTGTGGTGAGGTAGCATCTAAGTATATCCATTTCCTTTGGCTGCCATAACAAAATGCCACAAATGGGCTTTAAAAACCCAGATTTATTGTCTCATGGTTCTTGATCACTGAGATCAAGGTGAAAATAGGGTTGTTTCCTCCTGAAGGCCATGACCGGGAGTCTCCTCCATGCCTCTCTCCTAGCCTGTGGTAGCTTCAGGGTCTTCCTTCTGTATGTGTGTGTCTGTGTCCAGATTTCTTTCTTTAATAAGGACATCAATATTGTTAGATTAGGGCCCACTCTTTAATCATCTTATTTCCAAACAAGGTCATATTCCTAAATGCTGGAAGTTAGTACTTTAATTTCTCTTGTGGGGACTGAATTAAACCCATAACACTAAGACTAGAGCAATAAAAGGGAAATGGGGCACAATGGTGGACTAGGAAGCTCCAGGCCCTTGTTTTCTTAGGGAAACATTCCATAAGCAAGTAAGACCATCTGAAAGAACTTCACATGTGCTCTGAAAACCAAAGATGTACAGCAACCAGGCAAACTCTCAATTAAAAAAAAAAGCCACATTTAAAACAGTAGAAAACTTCAAAGCAATGTTATTTGCCCTTACCCGACTCCCTCCACAGCATGGTATAGCATAGTCCTTAGGAAGCAGCCCAATTACTTACTCCCTCTCTTGGGATGCAAGGAAGAGAGTGGGACTTGATAACAATATTCTGGCCTGTCTGTAGGCTGCCCATGTGACTGGTTTCTATTTTGCCTAAAGTAGGGATCGAAGAGGGGATGGTGTCATAGTTTGGATTTCAGACTGGCACAAGCCACGGAAGGGCAGTGGTCAATGCCATGGCACCTGATTCTGTAGTTTCCCCCATTATATATTCTTGAAACCTTTTCCAGAAATCCAGTTGACCTTAGCTACTTGGGATTTTTTTCTGGGCTTTCTGTTTTTATACCAGTATCATGCTGTTTTGATTACAGTAACTTTATATTTTACAGTCAAAAAACTATGCCTCCAGCTTTGATTTTTTGCTGAAGATTGCTTTGGCTGTTTGGAGTAGTTTCTAGTTTCCTACAAATTTTAGTATTTTTTCTATCCCTATAAAAAATGACATTGGAATTTGGTTACTAGGTATATTTTAACAATATTAATTCTTCCAGTTCATTAACATGGGATTTTTTTCTCCATTGATTTGTGAATTTTTCAATGTTTTACGGTTTTCAGTACACAGATCTTCACCTCCTTGCTTAAATTTATTCCTACTTGTTTTTTTTTGTTTGTTTGTTTTTAATGCTTTTGGAAGTGGGATTGTTTTCTTAATTCTTTGAGTAGTTAGTGTACAAAAATGCTACTCATTTTTTGTGTGTTGGTTTTTTAATCTAAAACTTTACTGACTTTAGCAGTTCTAACAGTTGTCAGGGAGGGGTAGTTTTTACGGTTTTTCTATATATAAGATTATGTCAGCATCAGAGACAGTCACTTCCTTTTTTTTTTTTCTTGCCTAATTGCTCAGCCTAAAACTCCCAAAACTGTGTTGAACAAAAGTGGTGAGAGTGGGCATTCTTGTCTTGTTCATGGTCTTAGAGGAAAAACATTCCACCTTTGACTGTTGAGTATGATGTTAGCTGTGGGCTGTAACAGTACTGAATCTTTTTTTTTTTTTTTTTTTTGAGATGGAATCTCGCTCTGTCGCCCAGGCTGGAGTGCAGTGGCGTGATCTTAGCTCACTGCAACCTCCACTTGCCAGGTTCAAGCAGTTCTCTGCTTCAGCCTCCCAAGTAGCTGGGATTACAGGCACCTGCCACTGCAGTGGGCTAATATTTGTATTTTTAGTAGAGATGGGGTTTTACCATTTTGGCCAGACTGGTCTTGAACTCCTGACCTTGTGATCTACCTGCCTCGGCCTCCCAATGTGCTGGGATTACAGGCATGAGCCACCATGCTGGGCCCAGTACTGAATCTTAATGATGATAATAGAATAATCAATTTGAAGGACAGAAATCTTTCTTCCAGATTGATTCTGATCTATGAGAGACTGGCAGTACTGTATTTTTATATTTTTATTATGGTATTGGTTGTAGATACAAATAGTTTTTCATTGTAAAAATAAAATATAGAAACTAGAAACAACTCAGTATCTTTCGGTAGATGAATAGATAAACAAACTGGCACGACCATAAAATGAAATGGTACTTTACAATGGTAGGGAACAAACTATCGATTCACATTACAATATGGATGAATCTTAAATGCATTTTGCCAAATGCAAGAAACCATTTTATATGCCATTCTGGAAAAGGCAGAACTATAGGGATGGAAGTCAGTTGCCAGGAATCGATGGGAGAGAGGAGTTGGCCAAATAACAGTGTGAGGGAATTTGGGGGGTGATAAGACTGTTCCATTTGGCATTGTAGTGGGTACATGACTCTATACATTATCTAAATCCTTAAATCTGAACATCACAAGAAATGCATTTTCAAAAATGCTTATTTTTTAAGAAAATCAGTCAGGATATGATAAACACAAAGTAGAATTCAGACTATAACGAAGGAATGTGTTTTTCACCTAACCATTGTGATGAGAGTGAGAAAAAAAGAGCTCACCCATAACTTTGGAAAACAGTGTAAGACAAAAGAAATGTACACAAACACTGTACTCTAGTACATAAATTTGTTCCTCACATGGGTGTAGGCTAGCAATTTTGGAACTCTTTTATATGTTTACTGAGATTGAACAAATCAATATATTGCAGATCGTGAAAGCCAGTTTTCTCACTATTGAAGATGTACAGATAAGCAAGTGGGAGAAGGCTGGAATGTGCTGGCTTAGGTTTGGTGGTGTTAATATAAATTAATTGGGATGGTTGGATGGATACACAAATATAGATGTGTGTATACACGTGAGTGTACTTATATATACAGTCATACATCACTTCATAACTGTAATATGTTCTGAGAACTGTGTCATCAGGCGAATTCATCACTGTGTGAACATCATGTGTACTATATGGTATAGCCTATTGCTCCTAGGCTATAATCCTGTATAGCTCGTTACTGTGCCAAATACTATAGGCAGTAGTAACACAATGGTATTTGTATATCTAAACAGAAAACAAACAGTAATCAAAAAATGAACAGCAACAAATATGGCATTAAAGATTTTTTGTAAATGGTATTCCTGTTTAGGGCACTTTACCATGAATGGAGTTTGCAGAACTGGAAGTTGCTCTGGGTGGGTCAGTGACTGAGTGAGTGTTGAATGGATTTGAAAGCCTACGACATTACTACACAGTACTGTAGACTTTCTAAACACTGTACACTTAGGCTACAGGAAATTTCTTTTTAAAAACCTTTTCTTCAATTATAAATTAACATCAGCATACTGTAACTTTTTTACTTCATAAACTCGTTATTTTAGCTTTTTAACTTTTTGGTAATAACAGCTTAAAACACATTATACAGCTGTACAAAAACATTATATCCTTATTTTATAAGTGTTTTCCTATTTTTGAAATTTTGCCTTTTTTACTTTTAAAAACTTTTTTGTTAAAAAAATTGTTAAAAATTAGAACACATGGGACTTTATAGCCTAAGAGTTTAAATAATAAAAATAATTAGAACACAAATACACACGCTGGCTTAGGGCCACACAAGGGTCAGGATCATCAATATCACTGTCTTTCGCCTCATGTATTGTCCCACTGGAAGGTCTTCAGGGGCGTGCATGAAGCTGTCATCTCCTATGATAACAAAGCCTTTTTTATTTTATTTTACTTTAAGTTCTGGGATACATGTGCAGAACCTGCAGGTTTGTTACATAGGTATACATGTGCCACAGTGGTTTGCTGCACCTATCAAACCATTATCTAGGTTTTAAGCCCCACGTGCATTAGGTGTTTTTCCTAATGCTCTCCTCCCTCCCCTTGCCCTCCACCCCACCCCCAACAGGCCCCAGTGTATGATGTTCCCCTCCTTGTGTCCAAATGTTCTCATTGTTCAACTTTCACTTATGAGTGAGAACATGTGGTGTTTGGTTTTCTATTCGTGTGTTAGTTTGCTGAGAATGATGGTTTCCAGCTTCATCCATGTCCCTGCAAAGGACATGAATTCATTCTTTTTTATGACTCCATAGTATTCCATAGTGTATATGTGCCACATTTTCTTTATCCAGTCTATCATTGGTGGGCATTTGGGTTGGTTCCAAGTCTTTGGTGTTGTAAATAGTGCAAAGCCTTCTTTTGGAACACCTACTGAAAGACCTGCCTGAGGCTGTTTTACAGTTAACTTTTTTTTTAATAAATAGAAGTAGGATACTCTAACACTGAAAAGCATAGTATGGTAAGTGTTAGACAATGGGATTTTTTTTGGCTGCATTATAATTTTACAAGACAATGGTTGTATATTGTATGCTGTCCATCGTTGACCACACATTGTTATATGATACATAACTGTATCTCCCTAGCTTTGTCTATTGGGAGGACCCCAAAGCAATGAGCACACCTAGCCCCGAGATTTGATTTCTAAATACTGTTCTCCAGTAAGAAGAACCAAGGCTCCTTGGAGAAGTGGTTGATTTCAGGGCCAGGACAAGGAAAATTTAAGATGAGCTTGGCGTTCTGTGGTACCTGAAAGTAAAGAAGTCCTTTAGAAGATGAGGCATGTTCACAGGACATAGGAGCACACCTTATTATAACTCCCAATGGCCAAAGCTGCAAAAATTTAAGCAACAAATTAAATAACAATAGTATTTGATTATAACCTAAAGAATAAAACAAATATCCATGTGTCCATACTTACAGAAGAATTTCAATTAATGAATGTAGAATAAATGAGGGAACCTTTAAAACACCGTAATAATAATTGTTACAAGATAAAGTTAGTGGGTAAAGGAGAATCACAATATTTGCATAGTTACAAGATATCTCCCCAAAAACACTTACAAAGTTAAATAGTAACTTTACTGTAGAGGAACCTGTGGGACACTGCCTTAACCAAGTGATCATGGTTAATTCTAACAAGTAATAAAACTTGTATCCCCTGGACCTAAAGCACTGAGAAAGATGCATCACCTATATGGAATCTTTCCCCAAAAAATGCATAACGTCTATCCAGTCATGAGAAAACATCAGAAAAACCTAAACTGAGGATATTCTACAAGATAACTGACCAATACTGTTCAAAGTGTCAAGGTCATAAAGGACAGGGAGAGACTGAGGAACTGTTACAGACTGGAAGACGCTAAAGAGACATGACAACAGAATGCACTGTGGGATCATGGATAGGATCCTAGAATAGAAAAAAATGGTAAACTAGTGAAATCCAAATGAAGCCGAGTTTAATTCATTGTATTAAACTTACGTTAATTTTTTAGTTTTGAAATTTTTTACGATAGTTATTAATATATAAGATGTTAATATTAGGAGAAGCTGGGCATAGGGGAATCCTGTCCTTCACAAATCTAAAATTCTTTCAAAATAAAAGTAAAATATCCATTTCTTCTAAGAGTCCAGTTTTGTTTTCACTTATCTCACAATTACTGATAAAATACCAAAAGAGAAAAAAAAGGCTGTTTTTCTCTGATTACCGTCATTATCAAACACTTCTGGTTTTGTGATATATTTAAAATATATTGTGGTTATTTGCAAACTGTTAATCTGGCTAATATCCAGCTTCTATAAGGAACCTAAACAATTCAACAAGCAAAAAACTAAATAACCTTACTAAAAAAGTGGGCAAAGGACATGAGCAGACTGTTCTCAAAAGAAGATATACAAATGGCCAACAAACATGAAAAAATACTCGGCGTCACTAATCATCAGAGAAATGCAAATCAAAACCACAATGAGATACCATCTGACACCAGTCAGAATGGCTGTTATTAAAAAGGCAAAAAAATTAACAGATGCCAGTGGGGCTGCAGAGAAAAGGGAACACTTATACATCATTGGTGGGAATGTAAGTTAGTTCAGCTACTGTGGAAAGCAGTTTTTAAGTACTTTGTTAGAGTACATAAAAAAGAACTACCATTCAAATCAGCAATCCTGTTACTGGTTATATACCTAAAGGAAAACAAATCATTCCACCAAAAAGACACATGCACTCATAGGTTTATTGCAGCCCTATTCACAGTAGCAAAATCATGGAATTAACCTAGATGCCCTTCAATGGTGAACTGGATAGAGAAAATATGGTACATACACACCGTGGAATACTATGCAACCATAGAAAAAGGTTGAAATCATGTCCTTTGCAGCGGCATGGATGCAGCTGAAGGCCATTATTCTAAGCGAATTAATACAGGAACAGAAAACCAAATACTACACATTTTCACTTAAAAGTGGAAGCTAAACATTGGGTACACATGGACATAAAGATGGGAACAATAGATGTTGGGGACTATTTTTATGGCGGTTGAGAAAGTAGCAGCTGTCACATGCCAAAGCACTGTGCCTGGCATCCCCATTCTAATCCATAGTAGCTTTGCCTGGGGTTTTAATATTAGGGACTAGCCTGGTTATTTGGGGGATATTGTTTACTATTGTCCATTGGACTGACTCTAACACTTTTGCTGTTTTCTGTACACCTAGTTCTATGCTAGACCCTGTAGAAATACGTAAGTCAAAATCATAATTCCTGCCAATAAACTCCCACTTGTTTGAAAGAAGACAAACATGAAAGCATTGTAAACGGTGAAAAGACCAATGACTTTAGGGATTTTATGATCATATCTTCATTATCTGTTCATCACTAAATCTGTGGCCTTGTACATTTAAACTCACTGAGTCTATTTCCTTATCTGTAATAGAGGATATTAATATCAGTCTTATAAGATATTGCCATGATCATTAACACCTGGCACACAGAATACATTTAACAAATGGTGTCTGTCATTATCATGGTGGTGGTTATAAAAAGTGATACACCATTGGAATACAATGTAGTTTTTTACAATAACTTACCTTTTTCTTTGAATATTATGATAGGTGCTTGACTCAGTCTTTGTGCTTTCTCCCTTTTAGAGATGATGAAGAGAAAAAAAAGTCTCCCTCAGAAAGTACTGAGGAGAAAGCTAACGGAACACATCCAAAGACCATCAGTCGTATTGGAAGTACTACTAACCCATTTTTGGACATTCCTCATGATCCAAATGCTGCTGTGTACAAAAGTGGATTCTTGGCTCGGAAAATTCATGCAGATATGGATGGAAAGAAGAGTAAGTATCATGCGTTGTCATTTTCTATTTCATTTATTTTATCTTTATGCTCAAAATTTAAAGGGAATTTATCTGAAAGTCAAGGATGAAAAAATTATGTTTATCTATAGACACATTCTTGAAATTGGATAAAGCCTCTAACCCTAAATTAAAAATCCAATGTGGCACCTGCTCTTCTCTAAGCAGAATTATAGAACTTTAGAAAGGGAGAACTCCTTTCAATTTATTCATTCTCTATCCATTCATTTATTTAGTCATGGCTTCAACAAATAATACTGACTACCTGCTGTGCCAGCCACCAGAAATACAGGGTTGAGCAGGAGGGACAAGGTTTCTGTCTTCATGAAGTTTACATTTCTGGTGGTTGAGGGAAAGGTTGAATTTGCAACGCATAGAAAAATTAATGGTGTAAGGTCCCAGAGACAAAGGATGGAGGGAGGGAATTCATATCCAGTACATATGTGGAATGACTCGCCTTTGAGAAGGTGGACAGGTGAGATGTAGGAGAGCATAGTATAATTAGTTTTGGGAAATTGAAGGAGCCTAATTGGATGGCTTCTGATTTTTCTGTGAAGTGTGAGGCATGATTATCTTGATCAATGATGGTGTTTGGAGTTTGAGAAGAATAGAGCATGCTTATATAGTTAGAATAATCTTTGCAGAGTGAAATAGCAATTTGATATACTTGAACAGAGTAAGATAAGGTGACATGTTTGCTCAGAATTATCTTTGGGGTGAAGAGATGGATAGTACCACTGTTTCTATCTGTAGCTGGATCCTTTTTCTTAATGTGTTAGCATATTCTATTAGCTTACATGGAGAGAAACATTGCAGTGGGGTGGCTTTGACATGGACTTAGCAATGCTGAACAAATTTCTTAATGTTCCCAAGTTCTTTAAGAGTGCATCCACCATATCTTCTGTGCACCTTATATACTAGATTACTAGACTACTTAATTTTATCCCACAACATTGTATCAGAACTCACTCATATAGTTGTGACAGCAAGTGAATCCATCTTAGCAAAAGGGCACACCTGAAGATGGATTGTCACCAGGACGTACTCTCCATTTCTATCTCTGCATGATTTTTTGTGTCAGCATTATTCTTTGGAATGAGGTCCTTTATACATGGTTATTAGCAGTGCTATAGATCACGTGTTTAATTTTGACACCAAAGAGGATTGTTCTTCTTCCCTAACTTCTCATTTAGTCTGTTCTAGGACAGGATTCTGACTTGTATCACTGAGAGGATGGAATATTGTGATTGACAGCCCCCACTTGCTTGCAATGACAGTAAGAATGAGATACTGGTCTCAGAGAATGGGAGTTCTTGGCACACAAAGCAATAGATACCCATTTGTTTCTTTCCAGTGTGCAGACACACCCTTCTTCATACATTGAATAATACTTTTGCCAAACATTGCAGTTTTCCTTTTACAACCACAAATATACCATCTCTCTGTAACATGCCTGCCCAACTGCAGCTTCTGTCTCCAAGGCTAAGATTTGTTGATAGTGTTCATTCCCCTCAGTCAGGTATGGATGGCACTGAAATCTATAGGCTAAGTGAAAAATACGAAAATACCGTTGTCCCTTAATATCTGTAGGGGATTGATTCCAGGGCCTCTGACAGGTACCAAAATCCAAGGACACTCAAGTCCCTGATATAAAATGGCATAGTATCTGCATATAACTGATGCATATCCTCCCATATACTTTAAACTGTCTCTGGATTACTTATAATATCTAATACTGTGTAAATAGTTGTTATGTTGTATTCTTTGGGGAATAATGACAAGGAAAAAAGTCTGTACATATTCAATGCAGACAGAATTTTAGAGGGAATATTTTCCATCCACCGTTGGTTGAATACACAGTTGCAGAACCCACAGATATGGAGGGTTGACTGTATCTGACATACCTCACATAAAGTACTAGAGAAAAAAAAAAGAATAATTTCAATTCAAGAAAAGTCAAAAAGGGGAAGTATAACAGCTATCACTTATTCGGAGTATTTACTACTTCCTGCTAGACAGGTATATAGCACAGTTAACCCATGTGAGCATCTTTTCATTGATTCATTTCCTAGCAATGGATTGACTTAATTGGTTAGTTTATTCCAAAGTCCCAGATTCTACTGATAAAATTTTCCTTGTCCACTGTTTTCCTGGACCCAGTGGCCCAGGAAACCTCCTCTATTGGAGGATTCTCCGGGTAGAAGCTCTTCTCCCTCAGCGGCCTAATACATATGAATATAGATACAGAACCTGAGGATTGCTTAGCAGTTGAGACATCACAGACACCTTGTACCAGGCTAGAAGTTTTTCTGCCATTGTATCTCCTTTAAAGCCTTAGTTAACTGTCTTGAGAATTTCTGATTGGTCAAGGCAGTTTTAAGTGTCATGGGGCTTTTGTCTTTGTAGCAAGTTAGGAAGTTCGTCCTGCTTTCCAAAGGAACCTGCCTCTGCTTGTTTCTATCTCTGTTCCTGCCTCAGAACCAAAGGGAAAATATATGGATGGGTTAAGACGTGCCCATCTCCAGGCTTCTTTCCTGTCAGTTGCTTTATCACTGGAGGACTTTTAACCTCTGTTTTTCCATGGGGCTATCAGGAGGAGCGTGGAAGTTTCAGCTGCCTTTAATTCCTCAGGCTCTTCCTGGATATCCCCATTTCAATTTCCCAAGGTTTCCAAATCACATTAATGTTAGCAGATAATTCAGCCTTACAATCCAGAATGTGCATGGTTTCTAATAATTTACAAAAACTAAAATTCACCAATTTAGAGTATATAGTTTGAGTTTTGAAAAATGTATAGTTATATAATCATCAACACAATTAAAATAAATAACATTTCCATTACCCAGAAAAGTTTAACTGTACTTTTGGCAGTAATTGCTTCTCGTATTACTCCCATCCTATGACGGTTATGACAGATGATTATCTGTCTTTGGGCCCTATACTTTTGCCTTTTCTAAAATTGCAATAAATGGAATCATGGGACTGCTTTGTGTTTGGCTTCATTCACTTAGTGTTATTCTTTGCAGATTCATGTATATTGTTAGGTGTTGTGTGAATTAATAGTTTCTCTCTTCTTATTGCTTAATAAGTATTCCATTATTTGGATATCCCACAGTTTATTGATTCACCAGCTGAGCATTCTGGTTGTTTCCAGTTTTGAACTGTTATAAATAAAGCCCCTATGGACATTCACATATAAGTTTTTGCACGTACATATGTTTTCATTTCTTTTCAGAAGTTACCTAGGAGTAAAAGAGTAAGATTGCTTCACCATATGCTAAATATATCTTTAACTTTTTAAGAAATTTCTAAAGTTTCTATATCATTTTGCATCCCTTATACCTATATATATTATGTCTTCCTGATGATTTGACCCCTTTGTCATGAAATGACGTCCGACACCCCTGGTTATATTCCTTATTTTGGAGTCTACTTTGTCTAATATTAATACAGCCACTTTAGTTTCCTTCATAGTTTTTGCATGCTATACAAATTTTGTTTCTAACTTTTTATTGTTAATTTATGGTTGTGTCTTTAAAATTGCTTTCTATTATATGGAATATTGGTGGGTCTCGCTTTTTATTGTAAATCACAGTATCTGTCTTTTAATTAGAGTGCCTATACCATTTACATTTATAGTAGTTATTAGTATAGTTGACTTTAAATCTGCCGTCTTACTGTTGGTTTCTTATTTATTCCGTCTGGTCTTTTCCTTTCTTGTGTAGGATTATTTTTTGTGTGTGGTTCTGTTTTTTGTCACTATTGGCCTGTTTGCTGTACTTCTTTAATTATTTTAGTGTTTGCTGCAAGGTTTACAGTGTACATCTTTAATTTGTCACAGTTCACCTTCAAATTGTACTGCTTCATTTATGGTTTGAGACCCTTATAGCAAGTTAATTCCCCTTATCTCTTCCTAGCCTTTGTGATGTTGTCCTATATTTTAATTCTATGTTCTAAAACTTAAAGTAGTTCATTGTTAATATTTTTGCTTTAAGCAGAAACCTTTTTTTTACTTTTACCCCCACATAACTGCTGTCAGGAATTTTTCTCATGTTTTATCAGTGTGAAAATATCTTTATTTTCACCTTAATTTTAGGAATGTATATTCACTGGGTATAGAATCCTTTGGCAGGTTGTTTTTCCTTTCAATACTTAAAGATGATGTTTCATTTTTCCCTGCCCTGCAGGATTTCAGACAAAAAAAGTCTCCTATCATTCTTATCTTTGTTCCTCTGCACCCAAGATGGCTTTTTCTGCTACTATGAATGCTTTCAAGATTTTTCTATCTCTGGTTTTCATCAATTTTATTATGTGATGCCTTAGTGTGATTTTCTTTATGTTTTCCTTATTTGGTGTTTATTGGGGTTCTTGGATTCATAGGTTCATGTTTTTTTCAGCCATTATTTCTTAAAGCCTCCACTCCTGTTATGGGACTTGTTTGCTATATGATACTCAGTGCTATCCCAAGGGTTTCCTGAAGCTCTTTCCAATATTTTTAACTCTTTGTCATTTCAGTACTTTATTTGATAGTTTTTATTCTTCATTTACTTCATTTTTCATTTCATAATCAGCATGTTTATCTTTGAAGTTCAACTTGGGTCTATTTTATATCTTCCGTTTCTCTCCTTATCAGGTTGATGTTTTTCTTCATGTCCTTGAATATATTTATTCTGTTTATAATTGCTTTTTTAAGGTTCTTCTCTTTGATAACCTTCCTTTCTGTCGTTTCTGGAACTGTTGCATTATTTTTTTTCTGCTGGCTTTAGTCATAGTTGGTTTTTTTTTCCTTTTTCTTTGCATTCCTTGTAATTTTTGAGTGCCAGACATTGTGAATTTTCCATTTTTCAGGTGCTACTTTTAGTTGTATTCATCTAAAAAAAACACTGGATTTTCTCCTGGTGTGCGGGTAAGTAACTTGCAGATTAACTGAATTCTTTAGACGCTTGCCTTTACCCTTTGTTCTGGTGGATCCAGAGCAGTCTTTATTCTGGGACTTATTTAAATATTTCCATTAATAAGGCATTCTTGTTCTTCTTCAGCCTCTTTCCAATATGGCATGTATTACACAGTCTATCCACTCTAGCTGATGAAAACATAAATTCTTCTTAGCCCTGTGTGAGCCCTTGAAATTGTCCATCCCACTACTTTATTTTTCCCATGCCTTGAATTATTTCCTTTCACTAGTGCTAAGATCGATGCTACAGCCAAGAGCAGAGTATCCTCTGCAGGTCTTCAGAACCATCTGTTTTTGTAACTCTCCCCTCTGTTTTACGCAGCTCTACAAATTCTAGCCCTCTCAGCATCACTAAACTCCTTTCTTATCTCCGCATCACTAAACTCCTTTCTTACCTCCTCAACTCAGCATGACTCACAGGCTCTGTTTAGGTACCCTCTTCCACTGTTGGAACCGAGACTCTTTCTCTAAGCAGTAAGCCAGTCTTAACTCATTTGTTTCTTTCTCTTCAGAATTATAATCCAATGTTTTCTGTTTTGAAATGTCTAAAAAGTTTTGTTTTATATACTTACATAGACTTTTTAAGTTATTATAGTAGGGCAGTTTCTATAGCAGTTACTGTTTCTTGGGCATAAGCAGAACTAAGCTGATTCATGATCCCTTTTGTTAAGAAACGTCTTTCCAGTTGCTTCCCGCTTTAAGACCTAATATTTACTGAACTATGAAATTAATAAGGAATTCTAAGCATTCAAGTAAAAGCAAACAGTTTAGTTATATATTTGGAGATGTAGAAAAGCTTTCGTTTCCTTCCCGTCTAATCCTGTCTCCCCCACCAACCTCATTTGTTGGATTTTCAATCATGTCTGGTTGAACAGGTTTATCTAACTATTTGGCTGCTGCTCCTTCTTGGAAATCTACCAGAATGCCTTAATTGTTTCTGAATGTTTTTGCCTTCTTCTTTTGAGAGATGGTCACTATAAACAAATTAGAGAAATGTTTTATAGTAAGGACTTACACAACCTGCTATAAAACACATCACTTTTTATTTACACTACACAGAAAAAAATGAAAACAACAGTGGAGCTTTCCTGGAATAGGAGCTCCAAATAATTCTGAGAATCCTGAATGCTGTTTTTTGGACACAAAAAGTAGATACTTATTTTCTAAATACTTACTTTGATTAAGCATGGTCACTATAGGTAGACCTATATTACATTTGTATGTAAATTTAAACCTGGCCAGGTGCTCTGATGACAAATATTACAAAAAGTGTTTTATAAGTGAAAATTTGAATCAAAGCTGCATGGAAAGGTTATTTTGTTTTAAATGCTGATACACTTGTCTCAAATGGACCATTTATTTCACTCAAGATTTGGTGTCTTTTTTTTTTAATTAACTTTAAACATTCAGTTTGTCAGACTGCATCCATATTTTTAAACCTTGGAGGTTTTCTTCATTTTTTGCCTTTTAAAGTTATGCTCAGTTCAGAAATTCTGCCTCCAGGAGACAAATTGTTGTACCTATCTTAGAAGTATGTATTTTTACAAAGACCTATTAAATCTGACATTAAGGGAAAGCTTTGAAAAGTCAAATTTGGAAAACAAAACGCATCTCCTGGGTTTTGTCAGATACAATAAAAAACAAAATTCAGTATAAGCTCTTAGTTTTCTCAATATGATGTAACATACTTGTGGAAATCAAGAAAGAAACTGGAAACAACATACCCAAAATATAAATGATCTACACAATAACAATAGTGATAATTAAATGATTGCTAAATATTAGAGCTTTATCCTAAGCATTTCATGCATTAATACATTTAATCTTGGTCCTATAAAGCAGATATTATTATTGTCCTCATTTTATACATGAAGACACTGATCCTAAGCATCTTAACCAAGGATGTAGTATAGAATAGCAGTGTATCTGGTGGAACAAAAATCTGATTATACCAAACTAATAGTAGCATATTGTTAAAAGCAATTCCGATGAGAAAATATGCTTATGAAATGTTTAAATTCTGCATTTTTTGTGTAGTTGGGACAGTCTGTCACTGTGTAGCATGTATTTAGATAACTGGAGGTCTCAAGCTAGGGACAGTGAAGCCTGAACATTTCTTTTACTTGGCCAACACAGTGCTGTTTAAACACTGAATTGCCTGGATGTAGGCATTTTCTGGTTGACCATAGTTTTCACAGCTCCCTGTAGCCTTATACCAAACTTCCTCATACATTAAGGGGGAGAAGTACAGTAGGGCCATGTTGACATTTTCCAAGATAATAAGACATACAGATAGGATGATGGGTTGGAAAAGAGAACCCAGAAGCAGCAGTCTCCAGTGTTTATAAAAATTTGATGGATGATATAGAAAGTAAGTCAGATAATTAGAAGCAAAAATTCTTCCGTAATTTATGTTGAGAAGTGTGTGTGTGTGTGTGTGTGTGTGTGTGTGTATTCCCCACCTCAGTTCTAACACAAAAACCAGTTTCACGTAGATTAAAGATAAAAATTTGAGAAACAAGGTTCTAAGATTTTTAGAAGAACATGTGGGACAGTAACTTCATGACTTTTGGGTAGAAAGTGAATTCTTAAGATTTATAAAAGCAGCTGGGTACAGTGGCTCACACCTGTAATCCCAATACTTTGGGAATCCAAGACAGGAGGATCACTTGAGCCCAGGAATTCAAGACCAGCCTGGGCAACATAGCAAGACATCATCTCTACATATAAACAGGCATACGTATATACATACATATTTACAAAAACAGTAAAAAAAAATTGATATGTATAATTACACTAAAAGTAAAGACTTTATATTAAAATTGTACTTAAAAATGAAAGATAATTCACAGATTAAGATACTTGTAGCATATTACCAATAAAGGATTAGGATCCATGGTAATATTTATAAAGAAATTTTTTTTTTCATTATTTTTTCTTTTATTCTTTTTTTTTTAATACTTTAAGTTTTAGGGTACATGTGCACAATGTGCAGGTTAGTTACATATGTATACATGTGCCATGCTGGTGTGCTGCACCCATTAACTCGTCATTTAGCATTAGGTATATCTCCTAATGCTATCCCTCCCCCCTCCCCCCACCCCACAACAGTCCCCAGAGTGTGATGTTCCCCTTCCTGTGTCCATGTGTTCTCATTGTTCAATTCCCGAGAAATTTTAAATTACTTATAAAAAATACAACTCAGTAGAAAAATGGGCAAAAACTTGAAGAGGCCATGCTCAGAAAATGAAACTGAGATGATCAATACATATATGAAGACATATTCAACCTTATTGATATTCAAGGATATTCATTAAACATATAGTGAAATGTCATTTCACATGTTACCTTGACAAAAATTAAAAGAATACCAAGTGTTGGTAAGGATTTGGAGCAATGGGCCCTCTTCTACCCTGCAAAAGTATTAGTGGTATCATTTGTACTTCAGAAAGCAGTTGGCAATAATAAAGTTGGAAATGTTTATTCTTATATCTCAGTTAATTAGTCATAAGGGTGTATACACCTATAAAAACTCTTAGTGTTACAGAAGTCATGTTTATAGCAACATTATAATAGCTCAAAATTTAAAAACTTAAATGTCCATTAATAAGAGATTGAATGGATTTTGTATATCCATATAATTGAAAAGGAAGGAGCTAGAGTTCCACGTATCAACATGGAGGAATCTCACCAGTGGTAATGTTGAATGAAAAAAAGCGGCTTGCAGAAGAATCTGCACGTAAGATAACATTTGAAAGCATGCAAAACAATACTATTTTTAGTAAGAATACATTCATATATTGAAATTATTAAACATAGAATGGTTGTTACTTCTGGAAAGGAGAATAACAGGCAGTCACTGACAAGTACCCAGTGGTTTCACTATATTGATAATATATATTTTTTACATTTGGCGGTAGTACATGTATACCTACTTTATTACTCTTGATAACCTTTTGAAGTCTTATATGTTTTACAATTTTTTTTTTTTTTTTCTGAGATGGAGTCTCGCTCAGTAACCCAGGCTGGAGTACAGTGGTACATGCAATTGTAGCTCACTGCAGCCTCAGACTTCTGGGCTCAGGTAGTCTTCCCACCTCAGCCACCCAGATAGCTGGGACTACAGGCATATACCACCATGCCCAGCTAATTTTTTTTTTTTCCTTTTTCTTTTTTTTTTTTTTTTTTTTTTGGGGAGACGGGGGCTGACTATATTGCCCAGACTGGTCTTGAACTCTTGGCCTCAAGCAGTCCTCCTGCCTTGGCTTCCCAGAGCGCTGGGATTACAGGCATAAGCCACTGCTCCTGGCCTATAAATAAAATTTTTAAAACTCAATAGAACATCTGATTGCATGGAAAATTTAGAAACATATAAGGATGTTTTTCTTAAAATCTGCACAGGAAAATTACAATTAGAAAACTCAGTAAACAAAAATCCGTAGCGACAGAAAACGGTGACCAGACACAGTGGCTCACGCCTGTAATCCCAGCATTTTGGAAGGCCAAGGCAGGAGGACCGTTTGAATCTAGGAGTTCAAGACCAGCCTGGACCATATGGTTATAGCTGTCTCTACAAAAAGATTTTTTGAATGAAAATTGAAAAGAAAAAATGACTTTGTGATCGCCATCATTATAGCATAATTAATAATTTAAAATCTTACCATAGTAATAGAATTTTGGTTACTCACATTTAGATATGTGAAAGATTTAATTGTGGTACACATTAAAATATAAATATTGTGCAACTTGAACCTGTAAGAGTACAGATGATAGAAGGTGGGAGGTAAAACTGGATAGAACTAAGAGGGAGCAGGGAGAGAGATCCGTTAAGCTCCTCTTACAGAGAGGAAGTCAGAAGATGCTGCCTGTACTGGAGAAAGAAGAAATAATGTCAGTCATTATTTGTCAAATTAATACATAAGAAAGTGGCAACTATGTGAGGTGAAAAGTATGTCAGTTAGCTTCCTTGTGGTAATTATTTCACCATTCATATGTAAAAACATCAAATTGTACACTTATGTACAATTTTTATTGGTCAATAACACCTTACTAAAGCTGGGGAAAAAATTTTTCACTAAAATAATAATAATGTTATGCTCCATAAAACTACAGAGGTAATCAATACAGATACAAATAAAAGCTATGTAAGTATATTGGGAAGATGGAATGGCATAGTTAAGTTTGTTAAATTCTCATCTAGCACAGCACAAAACTGAGAGTGTGTTTACAGCCTATTATGACACAGTGGTAGAAGCACATTGTTTAGGGATATAATGTCACTTAACGACTCGGAGAAGTAATTTGTTTCAAAAGGTTTTTTTGTAAAATGGGAACAGAGGAGGTGGGAAGAAATGAATCAAAGGAGGCTAATTGTGTGGACATATCACTTTAATAATTTTAAAATATTTTAATCACATTCTTTTATAGATTCTTTAGTCATTGTACAGTCCTGAGATTAGTTCTGAATTTGAAATATTAAAATATTCATCGCTTTTTAAGGAGGTGAGAACTATGTGTGGTTCAGCTTTTCAATCTCATTGTAAATACTGTGGATACAAGGAGTGGTGTGGAGCACCTTGACAAGGTTGGAGAGGTTCACTCACTTTAGAGGGATTTACACACCTGCCTGTCATCAAAAGTTTAGAAAATTTAGTCCCACATGTCAAATTTAAGAAAGTAGAATTTATTCTGAGTCATCCATACTGAAAATAGTTTATAATGGTAATGCAGGCAGAATTCTTTGCTATCGTGTAACATTGGGAACAGCGACACTATAATTAAGAGATAATAAAAGTGGAATTTTTTTTCCCAAAAGACAGTTGTGTCCTCCTGTTAGAGCAAGACTCTTTAAGTACAGGCAAAGCCAAGCAATTATTTTAAAACTAGGCTAAGGTTTTCCCTTCCCTTGGCACTTGGCTGTTCTCTGGCAGCAGGGTGTGTAACGGAGCAGTTTAAGATGTTAATACAAGGCCAAACAACAGCACTGTGAGGGCAGCCATGTGAACGCGCAGGAGCACCTTGTCACGTGACTCTCTAGTTTTAATGGAATATTGGCTGTTTTAGATAGGAAATACCCCATTCACAATTCAAAATTTAGACTAAAAGATTAAGTTCTAGGTTTTTACATTCCGTAATGATGGCTCATGTCTTTAAAATCCATGCTTTCTGGCAATAAAGTCGGTTGAAAGAGGTCCTCCGCCATCATTCTCATCAGGAGCAATAGTCTTTTTTCTGAGACGGTGTCTCACTCTGTTGCCCAGGCTGGAGTGCAGTGGCACGATGTCAGCTCACTGCAACCTCTGTCTCCCTGGTTCAAGCAATTCTCCTACTGTGGCCTCCTGAGTAACAGGGACTACAGGTGTGTGCCACCATGCCGGGCTAATTTTTGTGTTTTTAGTAGAGAAGCGGTTTTGCTGTGTTGGCCAGGCTGGTCTCAAATTCCTGACCTCAGGTAATCTGCCCTTCTCAGCCTCCCGAAGTGCTGGGATTGCAGGCGTGAGCCACCGTGCCTGGCTGGAAGCAATACTCTTGACTAGGAACAATGGAATATAAACTGCCAATCTTATAGCACCAAAAAATCTGTGTTCAGAATCTCTGAAGTATTTTTCTGAAAGAGGAATGTTCAGTTTTCACTGTGCATGTGATTTTTAGAGGTTATTCTATTTTCACTGCTGACTCGTTCTGTTTATGATTTCGGTTTAATTAACATTTAGGAGAAAGAAGAAAATAATTCTTCCATCCCTGTTGTGGTAATTTAATGCAGTGTGTCAAATTCTTTAATAATCTGATGAAAATTTGAAATTAAAAATACCGTACTAGTTTCCTAAAGGAATTAATCATGGGGATAAGAATGTATATGCAAAAGATGTTATCACTAATGTTAATGGAAATATCAAACTCTGCAAAATGTTTTCTCTTTTTTTCTTTTGTTGAGACAGGTCCTTGCTCACTCACCCAGGCCATAGTGCAGTGGTGTGATCTGGGCTCACTGCAACCTCTGCCTCCCAGGCTCAAGCAGTCCCCCCTACCTCAGCCTATTGAATAGCTGGGACCACAGGAATGTGCTGTCACACCCCACTAATTTTTTATTTTTTATAGAGATAGGGTTGCACCATGTTGCCCAGGCTGGCCTCAAACTACTGGGCTCAAGTGATCCACCAGGCTTGGCCTCCCAAAGTGCTGGGATTACAGGTGTAAGCCACCATGCCTGGCCCTCCAAACTCCATAAAATATCTTAAAGAGGTTTATTCTGAGCCAATGTGAGTGACCACAGCCTGGGGAAAAAAAAAAAAAAAAAACACAAACCCAAGAACCCTTCAGTAAGTAGTCCCGAGACAGTCAGGTTACAGTTTGGTTTTATACATTTTATGGAGATGAGTTACAGGCAAAGACATAAATCAGTACATGAAAGGTATCCATTGGTTCAGCCCCAAAAGGTGAGCATCTTGAAATGGGGGCTTACAAGTCATAGGTGGGTTTTAGGGATGGTTGAGTTATTGGTTGAGAGAGTTAAGCTGTTGTCTGAGGACTTGAAGAGTAGACAGGAATGCTTGAGTTAAGGAGGCTCTGGGAGCCACGGCCCTTATCACGTAGAAGCAGCCTCATGGGTGGCAGCCCTCAGAGAAACAGACTATAAATGTCTCTTTTCAGACTTTTGAGGTGTTGGGCTCTTAGCTAATCTCTCCTACATCTGGGAAAGGCCTAGAAAGGGAAGGCCTGGCTGCATCAATGGCGATTCTCCAAAGATGTTAATTTCCCCCACAAAGGACGGCTTTGGAGGGTCATTTCAAAATAGTTCAAAGAAATTTATTTTGGGGTAAAATATTGTGATTGCTTTCAGGGTCTGCTGTCATGTGATGCTATACCAGAGTCAGGTTGGGGAGTAAGCCACGTTATACCAGGTTAATAAAAATCCATTTAGTGAAATTTTATGGTTAGGGTGTGACTTCACCTTTGCCTCACATGGCCACACGGCCTTAGGTCTTTTTTTTTTTTTTGAGATGAGGTTTCACTCTTGTTGCCCAGGCTGGAGTGCAGTGGCGTGATCTCAGCTCACTACAACCTCTGCCTCCCGGGTTCAAACCGTTCTCCTGCCTCAGCCTCCCAAGTAGCTGGGATTACAGGCACGCACCACCACACCCGGCTAATTTTGTATTTTTAGTAGAGGTGGGTCAGACCTTGTTGGTCAGGCTGGTCTCAAACTCCTTATCTCAGATGATGCACTTGCCTCGGCCTCCCAAAATGCTGGGATTACAGGCATGAGCCAGCATACCCCAGTGGCCTTAGGTCTTGTTTATAATCTGGTATCTTATTGCCACACAGAGTCTGTTTTGATCAGTCTTTTGATCTGCATTTTAACCGTAATGCTGGTCAGTCGGGCCTGAACTTGAAAAGGAAGTGGATATAAGGAGGTGCATCTGAACTTCCATCCCATCGTGGCAGGCATTCAGTTTTTTAGGTTTCTTTTGGTCAAGAGGGGGTCCATGCAGTTGGTTGGAGGGCTTAGGATTTTTTATTTGTTTACACTAGATAGACCTAAGAATTTGAGCTTTGAAGCAAGATAGATCATTGATTTATTTTTTAAAAAACACTTTGAGCTCAAGCAGTATGCCAGTAATACTCTTGGTGAGGAGGAGTAGAGATAGAGGATATGCCTTGTTACTCGGCTGAGAACTGAATTACAAAAGGAAGTTCCGTGATATCTTTGGACACAAAGGTCATGGATAAGCGTATTCCACCACAGCCTGAGCAACATATTAAGACCCCATCTCTACAAAATAAAAGAATAAAAAGTTAGCCAAACATGGTAGCATACGCCCCTAGACCCAGCTAGTCAGGGGGCTAAGGTGGGAGGATTGCTTGAGCCCAGGATGTTAAGTCTGCAGTGAGCCATGATTACACCACTGCACTCCGTCTTACAAAAATAGAAAAGAAAAGAATATCCCATTAGAAAAAAAAAATGCAAAAACCTTAAGGTGAGAGCAATCAAATACGGCTAATACCTGTTATGGTGTGTAGTACACTGCCTGGTACATAGAAGGAATCCAGTTGTTATTTTAGTTACAAAATAACATCATTTTAGAAACAGTTTAATGGCCAATAAAATGTTTAATAAGTAAAATATGATAGATACAGCAATAGAATTTCATCATTTGCCATCATTTTTAAAAATGATATTGTTGACAAAAAAAAGCCAAAGTCTGTAAAATATTTGAAGAGGCTTATTCTGAGCCAGATACAAGTGACCATGGCCCATGACGTAGCCTCAGGATGACCTGAGAACATGTGCCCAAGGTGGTTGGGTTATAACCTGTCTGTATACATTTTTGGGAGACCAAAGTTATAGGCAAAGACATAAATCAACACATATAAGGCATGCATTGATTGATTTAGCCCAGAAGGGCAGGACACCTGGAAGCAGGGGCTTCCAGGTCATAGACGGATTGAAAGATTTCCTGATTGTCAATTGCTTGAAAGACTTAAGCTTTATCTGAAGAGTTATAGTCAGCATAAATAAATATTTGAGTTAAGTTGAGGGGGTGGTGGGGTGGAAGCCAAGGTTCTTGTTATATAGATGAAGTCTCTAAATAATAGACTTCAGAGGGAATAGATGTCAAATGTCTCTTACTGGACCTTAAAAGATACTAGACTCTCCAGAAAAGATTTAGCAAGGGAGGGAGATTCTCTATAGAATGCAGATTTCCCCCACTAGAGACGGCTTTGCAGATCATTTCAAAATATGTCAAAGAAAATGCATTTTGGGGTACAATACTTTGATTTCCCTTAGGACCTGCTATCCATCATGTGATGCTATATTAGAGTCAGGTTGAAATTGGTATCTTAGTGCTACTAAGAGTCTGTTTTGTCAGTGTCGGGATCTCCATTTTAGTGTTAGTGCTGGTCAGTTGTGCCTAAACTCCAAAGGGAGGAGGGCATAATGAGGCATGTCCAACACCCCCTTTCTGTCATGTCCTAAACTGGTTTTTCAAGTTCCTTTGGAATCCCCTTCACCAAGAGTAGGGTTCATTCAGGCAGTTGGGAGCTTAGAATTTTATTATGGGCTTACAATGTATGATATATAAATATAAGAGTTTTGTTTGTTTGTTTTTGAGATGGAGTTTCGCTCTTGTCACCCAGGCTGGAGTGCAATGGTGCAATCTCGGCTCACTGCTACCTGCGCCTCCCAAGTTCAAGCGATTCACCTTCCTCAGCCTCCCGAGTAGCTGGGATTATAGGCACCCACCATCACGACCAGCTAATTTTGGAATTTTTAGTAGAGATGGGGTTTCACCATGTTGGTCAGGTTGGTCTCGAACCCCTTACCTCAGGTGATTCACCCACCTCAGCCTCCCAAAATGGTGGGATTACAGGTATGAGCGACCATGCCCGGCCAGTAGAAAAGTTTAAAATTAACAAATATAATATCTCAGTTTGTTTTGCATGTGTGTACATAGTAAAATGATTAGAAGGTTCTATACTGTAGGGGTCATCCAGGAAAAAAACTTCCCCATCACCCTCTGAAGGTTCACTGAAAAATCAACTCACCAAAGCCAGGTGAATGAGAGAAAAGGTGTACAAATTTATTAACATGCACACAGGGGAAAATCATAGATTGATTACACGACCCTCAATGGAGTAGAGAAACTTTTACCTTATAATTGAAGTTACAGAAAGAATGGGGGCTTGGATCAAAACAGGTTATGAAAAGAGAGGAAGATGGCCGGGCGCGGTGGCTCACGCCTGTAATCCCAGCACTTTGGGAGGCCGAGGCGGGCGGATCACGAGGTCACGAGATCGAGACCATCCCGGCTAAAACGGTGAAACCCCGTCTCTACTAAAAATACAAAAAATGAGCCGGGCGTGGTGGCGGGCGCCTGTAGTCCCAGCTACTTGGGAGGCTGAGGCAGGAGAATGGCGTGAACCCGGGAGGCGGAGCTTGCAGTGAGCCGAGATCCCGCCACTGCACTCCAGCCTGGGCGACAGAGCGAGACTCCGTCTCAAAAAAAAAAAAAGAAAAGAAAAGAGAGGAAGATGAGGCCTGGCTAGCAAAGGTGTTCCTGTTAAGTAAATGAAATCTCACAAGTAGGTGGTAAAACCTAGGCATGATGAGAGCGAGAATAGATGGTGAATGTTTCTTTCAGACCCTTAAAGATGTCAGACACTGAGTTAATCTTTCCTAGATCCAGACGAGGGAAGGCCTCGGAGAATGCCTGGCCACCATCAATACAGATTCTCTCCACAGATGCAAATCTCCCCCACAAAAGATAGCTTTGCAGAGCTACTTCTGTTTGCAGGGCCTCTGAAAGGCCATCTCAAAAATATGTCAAAGAAATGTATTGTAGGGTCGGGTATTTTGGTTTTCCTCAGTGAAGAGCACTTGAACGCACTGGACATCTGATAAATGGAAGAAACGTGGTCTGAGTTGGGAAAAGCTAAGAGGCCATCGTGGAGCAGCATCACCTCAGGTGCAGTCTGTAGCAGACCGTTTTCTGGCTCCTGCGCGTGAGTGGTAAGCCAGAGCCCTCGCCCTGTAATGAGGGCCAGGAACACCTATCAGTAGGCAAAGCTTGAAGTCACTTTTGGAGCTCCTAGGTTGGGGAAAAGCAAGTGAGGCTGTTATATTCCTTGGAGAACAGATTCTGTCTGGAGGCTGCTCATCAGCCACTTTGAGTTATTTTTATTGACCTTCAGCTGTTTTTGCCCGGAGGCATTTTAAAGATGCCCGTGGGCCTTGGGCTGTTTTACAATTACAATAGCTTATTTGAATTGCTAGTTGTAGAAATGCGTGCACAGCAGGGTCTTCGCTCTGTCCTTCCCTGGCTTCTGGGGTGCTTCAGAGGTTGAGGAAACCTGATTTGCTGTCACTTGACAAGCCCACTTGTCTGATTCAGCAGTTACCTGCCCTTCTCAGATAGACTGCGATGATTTAACCTTACATTTATTTTAACACCCTGCTCTTAAAAGGTATGTAAAAAGGTCTAGAAACTGCTCTAGATATTATGAAAAAAATCATAGTATGCTTGATTTTCTTGATCAATGTTCACACCTTTCACATAAACGAACTTATCAAATGTTATATATAAAGTTTCAGTGCTGCAAAAGAAAATATCACTCAAATATAAAATTTTCTTTTTAATTCTCAGCAAGACACGTTACTTCTATATAGAAGGGTGCGCCCTTACAGATGGAACAATGGTGAGCGCATACTTGGACAAGGGAGGGGAAGGGGTTCTTATCCCTGATGCCCGTGGCCCTTGCTGCTGTGTCATTCCCTTATTGGCTAGGGTTAGACCGCACAGGCTAAACTAATTCCGATTGACTAATTTAAAGAGAGTCACTGGGTGAGTGCTTTGGCAGGAGTCAGGGCAGAGCAGGTTGGGGGTAATTGGAATGAGTTAGGGTGGAGCAGGTGATTGGAATGTAGGGTGCAGCAGGTGATCAGAATGAGTCAGGGTGGAGTAGGTAATTGGAATGAGTCAGGGTGGAGTAGGTAATCGAAAAAGGTTGCTTTACGAGGAAGTTAAGTTTAAAAGTAGACGGCAAAGAATTGAACATATTGACATATTCTTTGAAAAGAAATTTAGAATTCATATCTAACATTGAATTTCAGGAAATTTTTGTTATGCCTAACTTTTTGAAGTGATTATTAAAAACAGCAAGTTCTCCAGCATATTCCTTCAGTCAGATATACTTTATAGAATTATGAGGCCTGTGCAGTGGTTCACACCTGTAATTTCAACACTTAGGGAGGCTGAGGCAGGAGGATCGCTTAAGCCCAGCAGTTCGAGACCAGCCGGGGCAACATTGCAAGACCCCGTGTCTATGAAAACAAAACAAAAAAAAAATTAGCCAGGCATGATGGTGCACACCTGTAGTCCCAGCTTCTCAGGAAGCTGAGGTGGGAGGATTGCTTGAGCCTGGCAATTGGAGGCTGCAGTGAGCTGTAATCACCCTGTCTCAAAAGAAAAAAATATGTATATGAAATGTCATTTGTTTGATAGAAGTTTGAAGTCACTTGTCACAAATGTTCATTCTTTAATTAACCCATGAAAACCCACAGTAATGTATTAAGCCTTATTTGTTCCTTTTAAGCCTGGGTGTTTACTGATACCTTATTCCCATATTCAATGTCTTATTGGAATAATCGACCACAGTTTTATTCTACCTCCTCTTTTCTCTTTAAGCATCCTGCGTTTTACCTAAAAGATTAAGCACTAAAAAAAAAAAAATTCCCGGTAATATTTGTTGAATGATGCCATCTACATGCTAGTTTAGGACATCTGATTTTTTTGGGGGGGGGATGGGGGAGAAGGGGTTAATCTGCTCTGTGGTTGCAGCAACAAACCAACGTACTTGCCTTCAAGGTTTTATTCTAATGCTGGAGAAGCTTAATAAAAACTTTGTGATAAGTTACACAGCTGTTAACTGACCCAAAGAAAAGTAAAGTCAAGGTTAGGAAATACTGAAGGAAGCATACACGTCCTATGTTGCAGAGAGTGATTAGAGGAAACCCCAGGATGAGGCATGTCAACTAAGAAGAGATGACAAACCAGACCGCAATGCAGTAAGACAAGACATTTATTGGGCCCTTAGGAATTATAATTCAGGAGACACAGATTTGGCTGTAAGCCAAATTGTGTTCCAAACCAAGTGAGGGTTTTTCAAAGGAAACTAAAGGATTACACAAGTTGTTTTGAAGGAATTATCATGGGTGGAGGCGGCCGGCTTAGCACAAGTCCATAGTTCATTTATTGTTGCTGTTTAGGAGTTGCAGCGCTGGTGAAATTCAGCTGTTTTTCAGGATATCATGGTTGTGGTGGTTAGGTGCACTTCAAAGATTCAAGGCAAGGTACTGGGTTGTTTTGCAAGGTTGCCAGTGGTGCAGGCAGCCCTGAGAATGGATTCTGCTTTAGAGCCCTGAACTGTAGTGATGCCGTTTTCTATGTTTCACAGATAACATTTGAGCAGAGACCTAACTGAAGTGAAGGGGCCAAGTCATGGTATCTGGGAGAGGAACATTCTAGCCATAGAGAATGTGAGGTATCATTCATTAAGATTCAAAAAATAATTCTGTGACTCTAGCGTTGCAGGAAAAAAAACGGGGTTCTTGTCACACGACCAGGAAAGATTAGGCTCGCAGACACGTAGAAGGGTGACAAGTGGAATTTATTAGGCAGAAATGAAAAAGGAAATACGCATCAGCAAAGTGAGATAAGAGTCCTGCTAACAGGCTCTCCATCTCAGGGATTAAATCCCACCTTACCACACAGAAACGAGAGAGACCAGGCTCCTCCCCCCTGCAAACAGTGCAAACTTCCCAAGGCCCCACCCCCTCCTCCCAATGTGCAGATGGGCGTTATTCAGAAAGAATCATTTGGGGAAAAGGGTGGGCTTCATCCGGACCGGCAGTCTGGTTTTTCATCCCTCATGCTGTTTTAGGCTTGAAGGCGGCATTTCGTCAGGTGTTGGGGGCAGGAGGGGTCCTTGGCTGCCTCCTGTCTCTATCACTGGTGTTTATATTTTTCCTGAAAAAAATGATGTAGTGAGAGTCATTTTGGGATTTGTTGCTTCCCACACACGTTTCCGGTAACCCTTAGCTAATGATGCATGCTCTTGTGTTCTGACCTGTTTTCCAACCTCAGCCCAAGCCATGTAAATTCTTCCTGCACGTCTAGTAATGGCTGCCAGTGAAACCGTCTCCTGGCCAAGTGGGGAAAGATACTTGTTTTTAAGTTAGATCTGAGCGACTCTGTGGCTCATCTTTTGGGTAGAAAGTTCTCCAACAGCTTTTGTCTCTTCTATTGTCTACTTTTATTGTTTGCATTCATGTTTGATATCTCCAATGTCAATACAGGACTTGGGACAAAATGAAAACAATAAATATATTAATCGGAGTAAATGTGTCACACTTAGCTCTCTTCCCAGTTAAGGGTGGTATGTGCTAAGTGTTTCTGTTAAAAATGCATCAGTAGGCCGTGTGCGGTGGCTCATGCCTGTAATCCCAGCACTTTGGGAGGCCGAGGCAGGCGGATCACGAGGTCAGGAGATCAAGACCATCCTGGCCAACATAGTGAAACCCATCTCTACTAAAATACAACAACATTATCCAGGCGGGTGGCGGGCGCCTGTAGTCCCAGCTATTGGGGAAGCTGAGGCAGGGGAATGGCTTGAACCCAGGAGGTGGAGGTTGCAGTGAGCCGAGATCACGCCGCTGCTCTCCAGTCTGGCAACAGAGCAAGACTCCGTCTCAAAAGAAAAAAAAAAATGCATCAGTAACGTTAAAGCGGTGTTCTCAAACATTGACTTACAAAAAAAATTCCGAATACATGAATGAAATGTCAACCTGAAGTAACTGAAAGCATCAGAATCCAATTTTAGAGTTTATTCAAGCAAGAATCTGGGAAACATGGACTCCAGAGAAATGAGGCCAGTGCTCTGAAGTAAAAACTTAAGGTCTTGCTTATATATGGGCAGAAACAAAGAAATTTAGTAGGATTGTAACTTTTTTTTATGTAAGGCTGCTTTGTGGGTTATAATAATTTAGTTATTTTTCTTTTCCGTACAGCTTGTTTTTCTTCTTTACAGCTTGTTATCATTTACTTCACAATTTAAAAGAGTTCATTTAACATTCCACCTTAGACAATGTGATAGTCATCATCAAGTCTTTGTGTGAGAAAGGTAAGAGGGAAATTAATCTGTAATGAAGATCAACAGTTAAGCAAGAAGGGGTCTTCCCTGCTGCCTTTTAGTCATTTGCAACATTTTACAAAACAGTGTAGATAAGGAAAAAGGCTAATCTATAATCAGACAAACAATCAGAGAAGCAAAGCTTACAGCTTCCTAGGTTACAGCTGCCTGTTAATGTGATCCATCCAGGTCCCTTAATCACATTCCCTTAAGGCTCTAATAAAGTTCCAGCAACTTAGATTTAAATTGCTTATTTTCACAGCTTATTTTCACAGAAGTGAGAAAAAAAGTCTTTCTTTGTGTTTTAGCATGAAAATTTGATGCATTTTCTTTAGCAGACAGTATCTTTAATTAAAAAAAAAATCCAAAGGATTGCATATATTAACTCATCTAAGTCTCAGAAAAACTGTTTTATACAGGAAGAAAGTAAAGCATAGGACTGGCTAAGTGACTTGTCCAAGGTCACTCAGGTGAAGCCAGTATCTCAAACCAGGTTCTCTGGTTCTAAAATGTGTCCTCTTAAAAAATAAAAAATTATGTGTTTTAACTGTTGTTCTTAGGCTGTCTTGCTAAAGGATGATGATCATTTGCAATGTTTTGAGACTTCCAAAATTGGGATCCACATTTTGATTCCATGTCTTCCTGCTAACATACTGTACAAAAGGTGAAGGTTAAAAGAAAAACCTTTTTTTTTTTTTTTTTCCAAAATCCTACATTAAATTACACCCTCATTTAAAGTGTTCTCTAACCTCTAAATCCTATTCATAAGCAGAATTAATGACCTCCTCCTTGTTTTACCTCCTGGAATCCCCACTGTGATTGTCTTAGGTTAGTGCCATGCTACCATTTAGTTTATACAGTTTATCATGTTAAATTAACTTTCATTGTTTATGTTACTGCCTGTATATGTAAATTATTTAGGGGTAGGGTATGTGTCCTAATAATCTTATGTACCCAGATTAACTCAACAACATTATAAAGTAATTATGGCACATCGTAGTAGATTCATTGTATAGATTTTTAACCAGAGATGTTTAGATTACTTGTCCAAAAGCGGAGAAATAGTGGGCATCATGGTGTGAATAAAATCTAAGTGCCTAGCTCCCAGTTTATGATACTTTCTGGCATTTCAGAACATTTTAGGGTAAAAGTCTTGAGACCTCTTATAGGAATAGAGCCACATCCAGAATGAACAGCACCCCACTAGGGAACACTTTGAATAGAATATTCTTCCAATTCTCTCTTTGTTTTCATTTCTTATTCTCTATCAAAATATGCATTGGTTGCTATTATATAAGAAAAGGAAATAATTTTCTGGGAAAAGCAATAGGTATAGGTTCTGTTAAAAGAAAAGCTTCAGCCCAATTAAATTTAAAGGAGTTTAATTGAGCAATGAATGATTCTGAAATCAGGCAGCCCCCAGAATCACAGCAGATTCAGAGAGATTCCAAGGATGCCTCGTGGTCAGAACAAATTTATAGACAAACAAAGGGAAGTGACATACAGAAATCAGCAGTGAGGTACAGAAACAACTGGGTTGGTTACAGCTCAGCACGTACCTTATTTGAATACAGTTCGAACACTCAGCAGTGTATGAGTGGTTGAAGTACAACCACTGGGATTGGCCAAGACTCAGGTATTGTTACAGGTGCATACTCCTAAGTTAGGTTTTCAATCTTGTCTACCTATTAAGTTAGGTTGCAGTTCATCCACAAGGACTCAAATAAAGAAGTATAGAGTCCTAAGGCCATATTTAGTTTGCTTTAACAGTTCCTACAAGGCTGCCCTACTTTTTTCCTTTATAAAATAGAGTTGACAAAGCATCCTTTTATAAAAGAGAAAGACTATAAGGATTAAGTGATTTTTTTTGTAATGTGTAAATTGCCTTAAGTGTTTCAAAGATAAGTGATTAGGAATATATAGTAGTAATAGTACTGTTTTAGTGCTACCACGCTGCTATAAACCAGGGATAATTAATACTGTCACTTGCTGAATACTGGAATACTGTGTGACTCATAGCCCAGTGGTAAATTTTCCTTTGCTCAGCTTGGACTTGATTGCTTCAAGCAGTAATCTAAAAGTGCCTGAGCTGCTCTATTAATTAAGATGTAATAGAATATCTTGTGATGCCTGAGGATATTTTGTAAAAGAAAGTTAGAGGTTAATATACAGGATTACCCTTAACTTCACTTAATCATCTGTGAGTCTGTCATCTATGAACTTATTTAAATTCTTTGCACATCAATTGCAGAAAGCAGACTCCTCCCTGCGTGAGTTGTATCTTCAACTGTGTCATTGATTAGAACTTCAGAACTCCCTTCTTATCAAGGTAGCCTGTTTCTTCATGCTTTAGGCTACATACTTTAAGGATTTTGTTTTAAAGATACTTTAAGTTGTTTAGTTCTATCACTGAGAAAATAGAACAGTCTTAAAAATGCCTTGTGCTTTTTACAGCTAGTATAGATGATGTCTCACTTATATTAGTACAGAACTTCTGCTAAGTATATCTTTGTTTTCAAGTTCATTAAAGTGCTGGGTTTATTTTGGAATGCCATCATTGGGATTGCTTTATATTGTGAATATCTTTCTCCGTTAACCTCAGGAAATTCAAGATATTTTGCATTAGAACTACCTCATCCCCACATACCTGTTTCTTGGCCTGGCAGGATTTGCATTGTCGGCCTTCACGCCAAGACTCTTGGTGAGGCCCTGAAAAATAAATTACTTCTCATTAATGTGTATATGGCTAATTCTCTCTCTCTACTCTGAGGGGAATAAAATGGTTTTTTTGTCATTTTACATGGAACAATGGGAGAATATTTTCAAGACAACAGACAGGAAGTAAAGATTAATATGTTAAATGAAAACAATAGGCAATGCTCATACTATGTCTTTCTATCCATATTATGACTTTCTATCCATATTATGACTTTCTGATAGTAAACATGAGGAAAAGGAAAAAAAAGATGATCAGGGCACCCAGAGAGATGAGTGGTCAAAAAACAGGACAAGATTTTGATGTAGGAACAAATGCTCTGCCATTTGAATGAAATAGAAAATTGGAACAGTAAAATCTTAAACACAATCCATTTCCAGTTCAGTTGAGAAGAAAAGTTGGAGAGTATAGCATGCAAATATAAACTTCTGCATGAAGCTTATACCTTTTGGTGGATTAAAAAAAAACTTTTCTGGCATAAATCCATTATTACTCGTTAATGAATATTTTATTGTTTAGAAATATTTTATATCTTCCTCTTTATGAAAGAGGGGTGATACTGTCTTTTCATTCCCCGTTAAGCATTTCACTTTTACAAAAATCAGTGGTAATAACTAAAGCCAAAATATTATTCACTGTACTTTATATTTCCAAATATGTTTCTTCAAATTAGTAATAAAGAGAAAATAATAACTGGTTTGTAATATTTAAGATTCAGTGATGGCTCCAATATCACCCATCTTTGGAGGAACTGCCAATTTTTCTATTGCAGAAATGTGGTCTTCATGTGTATGTGAGTTTGACTCAGAATAACGATCACAGCAGCTTGTTGGTTTCATTCACTTCTTAATTTCACCCATACTGGTCAGGAAGCAGCCCCCAAGCCAGAGCTGATACTCAGAGACTGTGTACTGGTACAGACCATTTACTGTGGATGTCCCTTCAATCTGACTGGAACAGTGCTTTTCCCAACAGCTCAAGGTAGCTCCTGAATCAACTCTTAAATAATTTTTTTTTTGAGACAGGATCTCACTTTGTCACCCAGGATAGAATCCAGTGGCACGATCATGGCTCACTGCAGCCTCAACCTCCTGGACTGAAACAGTCCTCCTACTTCAGCCTCCCAAGTAGCTGGGAATATAGGCATGCATCAGCATGCCTGGTGATATGGTTTGGCTGTGTCCCCACCCAAATCTCATCCTGAATTGTAGTTCCCACCTGGTGGGAGGTAATTTAATTGTTGGGGGCCATTACTCTCATGCTGTTCTCATGATAATGAGTGAGTTCTCCTGAGATCTGATGGCTTTATAAGGGGCTTTTCCCCTTTTTGCTCGGCACTTCTCCTTGCTGCTGCTATGTGAAGAAGGACATAATCATTTCCCCTTCTGCCGTGATTGTACATTTCCTGAGGCATCCCCAGCCATGCTGAACTGTGAGTCAGTTAAACCTCTTCCCTTTATAAATTACCCAGTCATAGGTACATCTTTATTAGCAATGTGAGAATGTACTAATACACCTGACTTCCTTTTTTTTTTTGTTTTGTTTTTTTTTTTTGTAGCAGTGGAGTCTTGTTATATGCTGGGATTACAGGCGTGAGCCACCGTGCCCAGCCTCAGCTCTTAAGTAATTTTAATATCACTCCTAGATCCCAGATTTATCCAAGACATTGCCTCCCGAATCTAGTTTAGCTGGCCTTTCTCTGTATGGAAACCAGAGTGAAAACGCCCAGTGCTATGGAGAAACAAGTGCTGCCGGTTCATAGGAGGTGAGAGGAAGGTGGTCATAGGTTCCACATCTGTGAGATGGAGGTTATAACCGTGGATCCCTCATAGACTTACGGGCTTTTGTTTATACAGGTCAAATCTTGGAACAGTGCCTAAAACAGTATGTGTTCAGCAATCATTTGCTGTGCTATTACTACTTCTGTAATTATTAGTAATATTAGATAACTATTCTGCAGAAATGTGGAGCTGGGAGCACCTGAGGGGGCAGGCACAGAGACTGTGCCTCTGTTCTGAGATCTGTAGTCATGAGCAGGGATGCCTTTGAAGGTCCTATAGTTGAGTGAGATTAGAGAAAGTACCTGGTTATATTTCCCTCTTATCTCATCATCTCTCTTCCTGCCTTCAGTGCCCACCTCACAGGAGTAGCAGACCGACCACTGCAAAGAATTGTCACCTGGATATTTTCTATTTCTTAATGTATCTTTAGAAAATATTTACTTAATTGTCCTGTACAGTAGCTTTGAAATCCTTAGATGGGTAGCTTCCTTGGGGGCATACTCTACCTTTCAGAATTGTAAATATAGTTAATAATGGGGGCATAAAATATAAAACAGAGACAATAATACCTACCTGAAAAGATTGTTTGGAACACATAGAACGTATAGGTATAACGTTAGCCCAACACTCAGAGTGCTGCAGTGTAGGTGCTTAGTTAATGTTAATGCCTTTCCCTTTCCTTCCATTTTATCTTAATGTATCGTATGCCTCTATTCATGTTCTGGCCTTTTTCTCTTATCTCACCTACTGTAATAATTTCCTTACTGGTTCCCCTTGTTCCAGTTTCTCTCCTTGTTCTCACTCTGCAATATCTCCTGCATCCTGCTCCAAATGAATTCTTCCTAGATAACAAAGTTTGTGCATAAATTCTTCCCTTCTTATAAAAAGAAGGAAAGAAAAATGCAATAGAGAATCTATTTTTTGCAATGTGATGGCCTACAGATTCTGAAACTCTCCCATAATAAAACATCTAAAACTGATAGATGAAATATTTTTAGATAACTTTTATCTGAATGGATAAGCCTGTAACAATGAAAGGGAAATCCTGTTAGGCCAGGAATAAAGCATGAGTACAAATGTGGGGAGGTGGCCAACCCTGGGGATGCTAAGCCTTCAGGACATTTTTGGATCTAGGTGGCCTACCAGTACTGAAGATAAAATTACACAGCATTTAGCACACAAGTACAGAGAGATGGAGAATATGAAAGAGTGAATAAGTCACAAGTGGAATGAAGTGAGAAGTTAGAATGGAGTGTCAGGTTACAATCATGAAGATGATAGAGGAGAGACATTATTCAAAGTTATAATGTCTACAGGTTTTTCAAAATAATACACAGGAAGCTCAAAGAACAGCAGTCTGTGTAAATTAAAGAAACCTGTGCTTAGACATAGCATTTAGACTCAGGGTAGAAATCTGTAGTAGTCCATTCTCACACTCATCTGAAGAAATACCCGAGACTGGATAATTTATAAAGTAGTTTAATTGGCTCACAGATCCACAGGCTATACAGGAAACATGATGCTGGCATCTGCTCAGTGTCTGGGAAGGCCTCAGGAAACTTAGAATTATGGTGGAAGGTAAAGGGGGAGCACCACTTCACATGGCCACAGGAGAAAGAGAAGGGGGGTGCTCCACACTTTTAAACAACCAGATCTCATGAGCACTCATTCACTATCATGAGAACAGCACCAAGGAGGTAGTGCTAAACCATTGATGAATCATGATCCAATTACCTCCCACCAGGCCCCACCTCCAACACTGGGAATTACAATTTAGCATGAGATTTGGGTGGGGACACAGATCTAAACCATATCATTCCGCCCCAGGCCCCTCCCAAATATCATGTCCTTCTCACATGGCAAAATACAATCATGCCTTCCCAACGTTCCCCAAAGTCTTAACTCATTCCACCATTAACTCAGAAATCCAAAGTCTGAAGTGTCATCTGAGACAAAGCTAGTTCCTTCTACCTATGAACCTGTAAAATCAAAAACAAGTTAGTTACTCCCAAGATACAATGGGGATACAGGGATTGGGAAAATATTCCCATTCCAAAAGGAATATATGGACCAAAAAAAAGGGGCTACAGGCTCCATAGAAGTCTGAAACCCAGAAGGCCAGTCATTAAATTTTAAAGATCCAAAAAATTGTTATTTGGCTCCATGTCTAACATCCAGGGCACACTGGTATGAGGGGTAGGCTCCCACAGCATTGGACAGCTCTGTCTCTGTGGCTTTGCAGGGTTCAGCCCCTGCAGCTGCGCTCATGGGATGGCATTGACTGCCTTCGGTTTTTCCAGGCATATATGGTGCAAGCTGTCAGTGGCTCTACCATTCTGAGGTCTGGAGGACAATGGCCCTTTTCTCACAGCTCCACTAGGTAGCACCCCAGTTGGAACTCTGTGTGAGGGCTTTAACCCTGCATTAGCCCTCCACACTGCCCTAGTAGGGAATTCTCCATGAGGGCTCCACCACTGCAGCAGGCTTCTGCCTGTACATCCAGACTTTTCATATATCCTGTGAAATCTAGGTGGAGACTCCCAGGCCTCAGTTCTTGTCCTCTTTGTAGCCACAGGCTTAAAACCACATGGAAGCCACTAAAGTTTGTGGCCAACATGCTCTGTAGCAGCAGCCCAAGCTGTACCCAGGCCCCTTTGAGCCATGGCTGAACCTGGAGAAGCTGGGATGCAAGGAGCAGTGTCCCGAGGCTTCACAGGGCAGCAGTGCCCTGGCTCTGGCCCATGAAACCATTCTTCCCTCCTAGGCCTCGAGAGGGGCTGCTGTGAAGGTCTCTGAAATACCTTCAAGGCCGTGTCCCCATTGTCTTGGCTAATAGCACTTGGCTTCTTTTTAATTTATGCAAATTTCTGCAGTCTGTTTGAATTCCTCTTCTGAAAATAGGCCTTTTTTTTTTCTATCACGTGGCCAGGCTGCAAATTTTTCAAACATTTATGCTCGGCTTCTCTTTTAAATTTAACTTCCAGTTTTAGGTCATTTCTTTGCTCACACATATGAGCATAGGATGTTAGAAACAGCCAGACCACATCTTGAGCACTTTTCCTGCTTAGAAATTTCTTCTGCCAGATACCCTAAATCATCACTCTCAAGTTCAAAGTTACACAGATCCCTAGGGCAAAGGCACAGTGCAAGCCATGTTCTTTGGTAAGGCATAACAAAAGTGACTTGTACTCCAGTTCCCAGTAAGTTCCTCATTTCCATCTGTGTCCTTGTTAGCCTTGCCTTTGCTGTCCATATCACTGCCAGCATTTTGGTCATAACCATTCATCCAGTCTCTGGGAATTTCCAAACTTTCAGTCATCTTCCTGTATTATTCTGAGCCCTCCACCCTCTTCCAACCTCTGATTTTTATCCAGTTCAAAAGTAGCTTTCACATTTTCAGGTATCTTTATAAGCAATGCCCCACTTGACAGTACCAATTTTCTGTATTGGTCCATTTTCATACTGCTATAAAGAAAACCTGAGACTGGGTAATTTATAAGAAAAGAGGTTTAATTGGCTCACGGGTCTGCAGGCTGTACAGGAAGCATGATGTTGGCATCTGTTCAGCTTCTGGGAAGGCCTCAGGAAACTTACAGTCATAGCTGAAAGTGAAGGGGGAACAGGGCTTCAAATGGCCAGAGAAGGAGCAAGCAAACTGGGCGAGGTGCTACACACTTTTAAACAACCAGATCTCACGAGCATTCACTTACTCAGTGTCACGAGAAGCGGATGGTGCTAAACCATTCATGAGAAACCACCCACATGACCCAATCACCTCCCACCAGGCTACACCTCCAACACTGGGGATTGTAGCTGAACATGAGATTTGGGTGGGCACACAGATCTAAACACTATCAACATTGCAACAATGGTGTTAGCCAAAAGATAGTGAAATAATGTCTTCATAAGAAAAAGCAGTTATCAACTTGGAATTTTTAATGAAATAAGGACATTTATTATACAAACAAAAATAGAAGATTGGCCACCAAAAGACCCTCCTCACTAAAGGAACTTCTAAAGGATAGACTTCAAGAAGTAATTGAAAATGGCCTCCAAAAAGCAATCTGAGGTACAGAAAGAAGTGATCAATAAAGATAAAAGTAAACATTAAACTGACAGTAGCATGTTATAGAAAAACAATGATGCCTGTTTCAATAGCATTAAAAAAAAGAAAAGCCAAAGTAAGGTTAGAGGCAGATTGTTGGAATCAAAACCCTAAAAGCTTCTTGTATTTTCAAGAAGGAAAGCAATTGATTGTCTTTGGACCTTAAGTATGCACAGTAAAAACTGCAGTGAAAAGATGGGCTCACATGTAAAATGGTGTCTTTTAATCAAACTCAGTAAACACTTTCTCACGGAAGATACCTGGATATTAAAGGATGTCAGCCTATTGATTCCCCACAGCCCTTGTAGTTAAAGCCTGTCAGTTGCTGCATTAGGTTTCCTGTCAGTAATCTTTTCACTCTTCCTCTCATCAAGTTCATTATGTGAAGTTACAACTCTTTACGGACCTCTGTGTGTTTAATAAAACACACGTGCTGTGAAATCACTTTAACTCCTTCTACAGTCCTCATGATGAGGACCAGTGCTTGTCATTCATTAGCATCCAGCTCATTGTGTTTTGCTTGAAGAGCCTCACCAAGGGTCCAGTGGCAACAGCGGCACTGTATGTGTGGTTGTCAAATCAGAGCAGTTGCACCTGCTCTAGAGAGCCTTCCCAGCCCACTTTAGTGCACAGTAGTCCCTTCTTCCCCTGAATTCTGCTTGATTGCACCCATCTGTCTCACGTAAGATGGAAGTATCAATAGTACCTTACTCTTAGCATTACGGTGTGAGTTAAATGGATTAATAAGTGTCAGAGCACTTAGAGCAGTGCTTTTATAGCACACCAACTAAATACCGTTGAATAATTGCTCCCTAGTTATCTTTTTGGGAGGATTATAGGTTGTTTCATCCATGTGTTAGATTACTAAATTGTAACTGGCCAAAGATAAGGTTAAGTTTTATACTTCTGTGGGAAATAGAAAAGTAGACTGCAGTAAGTGAGTACAATAAGTAAGTCAGTTACTAAGTAACTGACTTAGTGGGCATTAGTCACTCATGGGTGACTTTTAAAATCACATTTCGCTTGGAGAGCTCTTTGGAATCTCTTTGTAGTAGGCTTAGTGTAGTAATGAGAAAGAGCTGTTTAAAATTTTGTAAACATGTACTTGGATTAATTGATCTACTGCGAAAGTAGAAACGTAGATGTGTAGATTTTTGAACTAAAGGGATCGCAAGATGCCAATAAATTAGTTTTAGGGCTCGGGGAAAGCCTTTGTACTTCAGGACCTATGGCTCTTCTGTTAAAAACAAAAATATTTTCTCCAGGTTCCATTCCAGCATTAGCCAATGCTTTGCCTTCAGTTCTAGGAATTACCCACATTTTAAAATGAAGCAAAAGTACAGCAGTAGAGTGACTTGTTAGGGGCTGGTGGGTGGGAGGATAGTTTTCAGACCAGGTGAGATTGTGAAGGGGCTGGAAACCAGCTGGTCTGCTTTCAAGTCAGGTGCCTCCTGCACACTGTGCCACCTGAGGCCCTGCTCTGCAGCAGCCCTCTCAGCCCTGGTCTCTTCTGTGTGCGCAGTGCTCATGTTGGCAGTATCAGAATTTCACATCTATTGAACAATGTAGTGAATATTTATTTTATATGTGATGTATGGTTATCTGTTTATCTTAGTTGCTTTTTTGCTTTATAACGGAAATAATGGTATGCTTTTTTTTGGTTATATGTATTTTTAGTATACCTTTAAGCCTCACCTAGTGGAGGCAGAAGGGATGATATTTATTATCTCCCTTGGAAACCTGCAGGGTGGATATTTTGAATCCTTTCTTGCCAGGTGGATATCTCAGCATGGTGTTGGCAGGATTGCCTGTGTTCTGTAAGTGGCTATTCACCTAGTTCCAAGTCTAAGAATTCTTGAGTATTCAGTCAAAAGAGATTTAAAGGATTTGGTTGACAATAATGTACTTTCTAATGTAATCAGGTATCCAGGTTAAAGACAGACCACAGACAGCCACATGTTTGATACAAGAGCATGAGTAAATGGCTCTCCCTGTCTATTTCAGCAGACATGTTTAGAAAAATGATATTCAAGCAATAACATTTTCCAGTTATAGATTTTAATTGTATTAAGATAATAAATCCTAAACTGTTTTGCTAATCTATTGCTTTTTGCTTTAGAACAATTTGTAAGAGTTTATACAAGTCAGTAGAGAATTCATATCCAGAAAAATATAAACAGAAGAAATCTAAGGACTTCTGAAATAATTAATTATTTTGGATAATTTGTATGATTGTGTTTAATGTCTGTCTTGCAGTATACTCGATTTGGTGAATTCTAAAGATGAAGGATACCTCCTGTCAAGTCATACATAGTCTAGTGAAAGAGACATTTAGACGAAAATAGTACATTACAGCAAGATCCTCAGTAGAGATATGCACAGGTTGCAATAGGAGTAATAACATTTAAACTTGCACTCTGGTTGAGGGGGGTATGGGAGAAATGCCAAAAGTGGTCCTTTCATATTCTGAGACTACTTCGTGATTTCTAGAGTCTCTGAAGAAGCTATAAAGGCTCTGGTACATGAGCTCTTTAAGCTTTCTCTTGGATTGCTATGTATTTCCAGTATGCTTCCTGTGCTTACCCAGTCTGTTGTCAGCCATGCTACCTGGTTTTTCAGCCTTCTACTCTTCCTAGTTGTGGGACCATTAGCAAGTTATTGCCTTGTGTTTCAGTTTTGTAAGAAGAGAGAAATAGCACCAACCTGGTAGGAGCATTGTAAATATTAAGATCGTATATGGAAAACATTTTAGAATGCCGCCTGGTACACCATAAGGCTCAGAAAATTTTAGTTCTTATTGTTATTACTTTCGGTAGCTAGGTAGAATATTGAAACACTGTCACCATGTTGATCATTTAGATTCTCTTTCTAAAATGCTGATGTCAAATAAAATTTTACATTTTTTCCCCCTTTCTAGCTCCAAGAGGAAAACGAGGATGGAAAACCTTTTATGCTGTACTGAAGGGAACAGTTCTTTACTTGCAAAAGGTAAAAGTAAAGCAGATAAAAAATCCACAAAACTCGATGAAATAATTACATGAGGTCCAGTATATGTATGTACGGTAGTCTCCCTTATCTGTGGTTTCACTTTCTGCAGTTTGTTTGCTGATGTTAAAAAATTTTCAGCGGAGAATTCCAGAAATAAACGATTTTAAGTTTTAAGTTGCATGCTGTTCTCAGTAGCGTAATGAAATCTTTCTCAATCCTGCTGCATCCTGACCAGCTGTGAATCATCCCTTTGTCCAGCATAGCCATCCTATATATGCCCATCCTTTAATCACTTAATAGACATCTCTGTGATGACATCAGCTGTCCAGCTATCGCAGTGTTTGTGTTCAAGTGACCCTTATTTTACTTACTAGCCCCAGAGAACAGTGATGGTGGCATATTGTTATCATTGTTCTATTTTATTATTAGTTATTATGGTTAATCTCTTACTGTGACTAATTTATAAATTAAATTTTATGTTAGGTATGTATGTATAGGAGAAAACATAGTATACCGTCATCCCTCCATGCACACAACAGATTGGCTCCAGGACGCCCCTTAAATACCAAAGTCCCCACATACTCAAGTCCTGCAGTCAGCCCTGTTGAATCCACATATAAGAAAAGTTGGCTTCTGCATACTCGGGTTTCACGCCCCACAAGTGCCATATTATTAGTCCTCATTTGATGGAAAACAGTCTGCATATTAGTGGATCTGTACAGTTCAAGCCCATTCTCTTTAAGGGTCATCTATATATAGGGTCTCGTACTATTCAAAATTTCAGGCGTCCACTGGGGGTCTTAGAATACATCCCACATGGATAGATAAGGGGAGCCTACTGTAGCACATATTCTTTATTCATCGTTCAGTGGACACTTAGGTCGTTTCCACCTTTTGTGAGTAATGCCGCAATGAACATGGGGTGCAAATATCTCTTCAAGATCCTAATTTCATTTCTTGTGGATAAATACCCAGAAGTGGGACTGTGGGGTCATATGGTTCTGTTTTCAGTTTTTTGAAGAAACTCCATATGGTTTTCCAAAGCAATGTACCATTTTATACCTGAACAACAGTACATAAGGGTTCCAGCTTCCCCCCATATATGTGTTGAATTTGTCTGAGCTCTGTGTTCCATTCTGTTGGTCTATGCATGTGTCTGTCTTTATGCCAGAACCATATTGATTTGATGTTGTAGCTTGGTAATATGTTTTGAAATCAGGAATGTGAGGCCTACAGCTTTGTTCTTCTTTTTCAGTATGATTTATGGCTTATTCAGAGATTCAGAGTCTTTTATGATTACATATAAATTTTGGAATTTTTTTTTCTTTTTCTGTAAAAAATTCCACTGGGATATTCACAGGGATTTTATTGAATATGTAGGTCGCTGTGGGCAGTATGGACATTTTAATAATGTTAAATCTTTGAATCCTGAATCCCTGAAGATGGAATGTCTTTTCATTTATTTGTGTCTTCTTTAATTTCTTTCAGCAGTGTTTTATAGTTTTCAGTGTATATGTCTTTTGCCTTCTTGATCATGTTTATTCTTAAGTATTTTTTAATAGTTTTTGATGCTGTTGTAAATGGTATTATTCATTTCCTTTTCAGATTGTTCATTGTTAGCATATAGAAATGGAACTGATGGTTGATTTTGTATCCTGCAACTTTGCTGAATTTATTTATTCTAATAGGTTTTTGGGGAATCTTTGGGTTTTCTACATATAAGATCATTTGAAACTGTATCTGTTTTGAGGGTTTTTCAAATCATGAAAGGATATTAATATCATCGCTTTCCTGCATCATTGAGATGTTTGTGTAATTTTTATCATTTGATCTGTTAATGCGTTTTATCACTTTGACTGATTTTCATATGTTGAACCACCTTTACATCCCAAGGATAAATCTCACTTGGTCATTGTATATGATCCTTTTTTTTTTTTTTTTTTTTTTTTTTTTATTATACTCTAAGTTTTAGGGTACATGTGCACATTGTGCAGGTTAGTTACATATGTATACATGTGCCATGCTGGTGCGCTGCACCCAATAATGTGTCATCTAGCATTAGGTATATCTCCCAATGCTATCCCTCCCCCCTCCCCCGACCCCACCACAGTCCCCAGAGTGTGATATTCCCCTTCCTGTGTCCATGTGATCTCATTGTTCAATTCCCACCTATGAGTGAGAATATGCGGTGTTTGGTTTTTTGTTCTTGCGATAGTTTACTGAGAATGATGGTTTCCAATTTCATCCATGTCCCTACAAAGGATATGAACTCATCATTTTTTATGGCTGCATAGTATTCCATGGTGTATATGTGCCACATTTTCTTAATCCAGTCTATCATTGTTGGACATTTGGGTTGGTTCCAAGTCTTTGCTATTGTGAATAGTGCCGCAATAAACATACGTGTGCATGTGTCTTTATAGCAGCATGATTTATACTCATTTGGGTATATACCCAGTAATGGGATGGCTGGGTCAAATGGTATTTCTAGTTCTAGATCCCTGAGGAATCGCCACACTGACTTCCACAATGGTTGAACTAGTTTACAGTCCCACCAACAGTGTAAAAGTGTTCCTATTTCTCCGCATCCTCTCCAGCACCTGTTGTTTCCTGACTTTTTAATGATTGCCATTCTAACTGGTGTGAGATGATATCTCATAGTGGTTTTGATTTGCATTTCTCTGATGGCCAGTGATGATGAGCATTTCTTCATGTGTTTTTTGGCTGCATAAATGTCTTCTTTTGAGAAGTGTCTGTTCATGTCCTTCGCCCACTTTTTGATGGGGTTGTTTGTTTTTTTCTTGTAAATTTGTTTGAGTTCATTGTAGATTCTGGATATTAGCCCTTTGTCAGATGAGTAGGTTGCAAAAATTTTCTCCCATGTTGTAGGTTGCCTGTTCACTCTGATGGTAGTTTCTTTTGCTGTGCAGAAGCTCTTTAGTTTAATTAGATCCCATTTGTCAATTTTGTCTTTTGTTGCCATTGCTTTTGGTGTTTTGGACATGAAGTCCTTGCCCACGCCTATGTCCTGAATGGTAATGCCTAGGTTTTCTTCTAGGGTTTTTATGGTTTTAGGTTTAACGTTTAAATCTTTAATCCATCTTGAATTGATTTTTGTATAAGGTGTAAGGAAGGGATCCAGTTTCAGCTTTCTACATATGGCTAGCCAGTTTTCCCAGCACCATTTATTAAACAGGGAATCCTTTCCCCATTGTTTGTTTTTCTCAGGTTTGTCAAAGATCAGATAGTTGTAGATCCTTTTAATGTACTGTTGAATTCAGTTTGCCAGCATTATGTTTAGAGTTTTTGCATTTATGCTCATAATGGATGTTGGCAAGTAGTTTTCTTGCAGTACTGTTTTCTGGTTTTGATATCAGGGTCATGCTGGCCTCATAAAATGAGTTTGGAAGTGTTCCCTCCTCTTCAATTTTTTGGAACAGTTTGAGAATGATTGGCATTAGTTGTTTAACTGTTAGGTAGAATTCACTGGTGAAGCCATCTGCTCCTAAACTTTCCTTTGTTGGGAGGGTTTTCATTACAGATTCAATCCCCTTATTATTACAGATCCATTCAGATTTTCTACCTCTCCGTAATTCATCTTGGTAGATTGTAGGTTTCTAGTAATTTATCCCTTTCTTCTAGGTTTCCCAATTTGTTGGTGTATAATTGTTCATAACAGTTTCTTAGAATCCTTTTAGTTTATGTGGCATCAATTGCAATACCTCCTGTTTCATTTCTGATTTTATTTATTTGAGTGTTCTCTGTTTTTTTCTTAGTCCAGCTAAAGGATTGTCAATTTTGTTGATCTTTTGAAAAGAAATTTTTAGTTTTATTTTTTCATTTCTCTATTTCTTTTATTTCTGCTCTAATCTTTGATTAGATTTTCATTTCTCTATTTCATTTATTTCTGCTCTAATCTTTACTGTGTCTTTCCTGTGCTGACTTTGATTTTCATTTCTCTATTTCGTTTATTTCTGCTCTAATCTTTATTGTTTCTTTCCTGTGCTAACTTTGCATTACTTTATCTGGTGTAAAAACAGGTTGTTTATTTAAATCTTTCTTCTTTTCTAATGTTAAGTGTTTATTACCATAAACTTGCCTATTGGTACTGCTTTTGTTTCCTTCCACAAGTTTTGGCATATTGTTTGTCCATTTTTGTTGGTCTCAAATTATTGTCCAATTTCCTTTTTGATTTTTTTTTGACCCATTGATTGTTCAGGATCATGTTGCTTAATTTCCACATATTTGTGAACTCTCCATTTTCCTTCTGCTTTTAATTTCTACTTCCCTTTCTTTGTGATTGGACAATATATTTGGTATTATTTCAGTCTTCTTAAATTTGGTAAGATTTGTTTTGTAACTTAGAATTTTATCTATCCCAGAGAATGTTCCATGTGCACTTGAGAAGAATATATATTCTCATGCTGTTGAGTGGAATGTTCTGTATATGTTTGCTAGGATATTTGGTGTATTGCATTTTTGAAGTTCTCTGTTTCTTTATTAGTCTTCTGTCTAGAAGTTCTGTACATTATAGAGAGTGGGGAGTGGAAATCTCCTACTATTGTTAATTTCTACCTTCAGTCCTGTCAATGTTTACTCTATATATTTACGTGCCTTGATGATAGATGCATATGTACTAATAATGGTTACAACTGTGTGGTGAATTGACTCATTATTATATGTCATTCTTTCTCTCTTGACAGTTTTTTACTTATTTTGTATAATATAAGTATGGCTACCCCTCTGCTCTTTTTGTTACCAATTGCATGCAATATTTTTTCCATTATTTCATGTTCAGGTGTGTGTGTCTTTAAATCTAAAGTGAGTCTCTTGTAGACAGCTTATACTTGGGTTTTTTTTTCTCTCTCTCTCTGCATCTGTCCCTCCCTCCGTCTGTCTCTGTCTCTCTGTCTCTCTCTCTCTCAATACATTCAACCACACTCCCAGCTGTGATTGGGAGTTTAATCCATTCATATTTAAAGTAATTATCGATAGAGAAACACTCTTGCTATTTTGCTATTTATTTTCTGTCTTGTCACTTTTTTACTTCACTCTTATTAGTATTCCTTTTTTTTTTTTTTTGTAATAACATTTCTTTATTCTCATTTTCTTTTGGGTATCTTTTAGGGTTTTTTTTGTTTGTTTGTTTGTTTGCTTACCATGGGGCTTACATAAAACAGTTATAATGATCTATTTTAAGCTGATAATGATTTCAGGTCATATGCCAAAACTATACTTTTACTCCGTCACAAATTATATCCTTTTGTATTCTGTTCCCACTAATGTATATTTATAGGTAAAGTATTTTAATACTTTTTTTAAAATTTCTATACCAGAGTTAAAAGTCATTTACACACCACTATTACAACATTAAAGCATTGTATATTTTTCCTACATATGCTCAGCACTGCATATCAGTGATTGCTGCATTTGAATTCAACCAACCTGAGATTGAAATATTCAGAAAAAAAAAGTTCCACAAAGTTTCAAAAAACAAAACTTGAATTTTCTACATGCTGAGTACTATGTTGAATCTATGCCAATGAAGTGATGTGTAGGCCTTTTATTAGGTATCATGAGTAATCTAGAGATGATGTAAAACGTGTACAGAAGGATATACATATGATATATGCAAATACTGTGTCATGTTATGTAAGTGACTTGAGCATCCATGGATTTTGGTGTCCATCAGGGGTCCTAGAACAAATCTCCCACGGATACCAAGTCCTGTCTCTGTTTACTTTTGCTATTGAGCTTTATACTTTCTTGTTTCTGTTTAGCATTCTTTCATTTCAAGTTGAACTCCCTTTAGCCTTTCTTGTAAGGCAAGTCCAGCAGTGATGAACTCTCTCAACTTTCGTTTACCTAAGAAAATATTATCTTTCTTTCTTTTGTATATATATAATATAATATATAAATAATATAATATATTATATATAATGTATATTATTTATATATTATATAATATATTATATATAATGTATTATATTATTTATATATTATATAATATATAGAATATATATTATATATTATAATATATATTATATATAATAATATATATTATTATATATAATATATATTATATAATATATATAATAATATATATTATATAATATATATAATAATATATATTATATAATATATATAATAATATATATTATATAATATGTATATAATAATATATATTATATAATATGTATATAATAATATATATTATATAATATATATATAATATATATTATTATACTTTAAGTTCTAGGGTACATATGCACAACGTGCAGGTTTGTTATATATGTATACATGTGCCATGTTGGTGTGCTGCACCCATTAACTCGTCATTTGCATTAGGTATGTCTCTTAATGCTATCCCTCCCCCCTCCCCCCGCCCCACAACAGGCCCCGGTGTGTGATGTTCCCCTTCCTGTGTCCAAGTGTTCTCATTGTTCAATTCCCACCTATGACTGAGAGCATGCGGTGTTTGGTTTTTTGTCCTTGTGATAGTTTGCTGAGAATGATGGTTTCCAGCTTCATCCATGTCCCTACAAAGGACATGAACTCATCCTTTTTTAGGGCTGCATAGTGTTCCATGGTGTATATGTGCCACATTTTCTTAATCCAGTCTATCACTGATGGACATTTGGGTTCGTTCCAAGTCTTTGCTATTGTGAGTAGTGCTGCAATAAACGTACGTGAGCATGTGTCTTTATAGCAGCATGATTTATAATCCTTTGGGTATATACCCAGTAATGGGATGGCTGGGTCAAATGGTATTTCTAGTTCTAGATCCCTGAGGAATCACCACACTGTCTTCCACAATGGTTGAACTAGTTTACAGTCCCACCAACAGTGTAAAAGTGTTCCTATTTCTCCACATCCTCTCCAGCACCTGTTGTTTCCTGACTTTTTAACGATCGCCGTTCTAACTGGTGTGAGATGATATCTCATTGTGGTTTTGATTTGCATTTCTGTGATGGCCAGTGATGATGAGCATTTTTTCATGTGTCTGTTGGCTGCATAAATGTCTTCTTTTGAGAAGTGTCTGTTCATATCCTTCACCCACTCTTTGATGGGGTTGTTTGTTTATTTCTTGTAAATTTGTTTGAGTTCATTGTAGACTCTGGATATTAGCCCTTTGTCAGATGAGTAGATTGGAAAAATTTTCTCCCATTCTGTAGGTTGCGTGTTCACTCTGATGGTAGTTTCTTTTGCTGTGCAGAAGCTCTTTAGTTTAATTAGATCCCATTTGTCAATTTTGGCTTTTATTGCCATTGCTTTTGGTGTTTTAGACATGAAGTCCTTGCCCGTGCCTATGTCCTGAATGGTATTGCCTAGGTTTTCTTCTAGGGTTGTTACGGTTTTAGGTCTAACATGTAAGTCTTTAATCCATCTTGAATTAATTTTTGTATAAGGTGTAAGGAAGGGATCCAGTTTCAGCTTTCTACATATGGCTAGCCAGTTTTCCCAGCACCATTTGTTAAATAGGGAATCCTTTCCCCATTTCTTGTTCTTGTCAGGTTTGTCAAAGATCAGATAGTTGTAGATGGGTGGTGTTATTTCTGAGGGCTCTGTTCTGTTCCATTGGTCTATATATCTTTCATTTTTAAAGGGTAGTTTTGCTGGATGTAATATGCTTGTGTGGCAAGTGTTTTTGTTTGTTTGTTTGTTTGTTTGTTTTTTTGAGCACCTTGAACATATCATCACAGTCACTTCTGGCCCTGGATCATTTATGCTGAGAAATACACAGACCAATCACTTTTCTTTTGCTACTTTCAAAGTCCTCTGTTTTTCTTTGACTTTTTATAATTTGGTCATTGGTCCCAGTGTAATTTATTTCCATTAATCCTGGTTGTCATTAGGCTTCTCGAATCTGGATGTCTGTTTCCTTCCTCAGATTTCAGAAGTGTTCGGTAAATAAGCTTTGTGCCCTCTTTCTTCTTTCTGCTCTTTCTTGGATTTCCATAATGTGTTGGTCTGCATAATGATGTGTATAAGGCTCTCTTAACTCTTTTTCATTCTTATTTATCTTTGTTCTCTGAGTGGATAATTTCAAATGGCCCGTTTTCAAGTTTGCTCATTCTTTCTTCTTTGTTTTCTGCTCTTGAGCCTCTCATCTGAATTTTTCATTTCAGTTACTATATTCTTCAGCTTGAAAATATCTATTTAGTTCCCTTAAATATTTTCTCTTTGTTGATATTCTCATTTTGTTTATTCATCTTTTTTTAGCTTGTTGAGCATCTTTACAGTGTTTATGCAGGTAATTCTTATACCTTTGTTTCTTTACGGTCAATTTCTGGAAATTCATTTTGTTCCATTGAACCATGTTTTCCTGTTTGTTCTGTCTCTTGTAGCTGTATTGGGATCTGCACATTTGAAGAATCAGCCACCTCTTCCAGTATAGAGACTGGCTTGCTACAGCAGAAGCCCCTCACCAGTCATCTTTGCAACAGATTTTAGGGAACTCTGAATCCTTTTTCAGGAGCCCATAATCCTTGCACCCTTTGATGTCTGTCTGCAACACTGCAAGTTATCTGATTTTAGAGCAGGAAGCTACCCAGCTGTCCCCTGTTCTAAGCAGCCACCAAGTGTATGCCATCAGTTCCCTGAATCAGGAGAGTCAGATACCACTCCCTCAGATAGCCCTCCAAAAAGCCAGAATGCTGGATGCATACTCTGCTCCTCTCTCTCTCCCTCCCAAGGGAGAAATCAAGTACACTAAGTGTGCCAGCCACAGCAAGCCACCTGTCTCTCTACTCTGTTCTAAGTGTCCTTCAGGCTTCCAAGCTATGCTAGTTCTGTTAGTGCTGTGAGTGAGGTGAGAAAGAAATTAGTCCCTTGGGGCCAAGAAGAGCTGAAATGAGGGCCACACACTCTACCTTTCTTCAGCCCTCCCAAAGTAGAAGCTTCAGGTTGACCACCTTTTCTCCCAATTGCATCAAGCTGTGCTGACTGCAGCGAACCACCCACCACTTTCCTTTGTTCTTAGCAGTGCCCAGGTATCCACACTATTGCAGTTCCCTCAGTATTCCAATTGAACCAAGATTAAGCCATTACCCAGGCAGCCCTCTGAAAAGCCAGAATAGCAAAGACCTCTTTCCTTTCCCCCATCAGAGATGTCAGGGGCCAGGGCATTCTCTTCTGGTGCTGAGGCATGCTAGCTTCAGGGAGGGGTTGATGTGGGTAAGATGAAATCACTCTTCTTACCTGTTTCAGCGTGGGTTTCTTGGCTTTGTGCTCTCCTGGGGTACTACAACCTCTTCACTGGATTTTGGTATTGTCTTAGTAGGTATTTTGGTCCATAAATCATTGATTACTCAATATTTTTATTGGGGAGATGGGAGCTGGGACTACCTATTCTGCTGTCTTGCTAACAGCACTCCCAGGAAGAGACTGTTTAAATCTATGTGGAATCATAGTATAACACAGTTTTGGCGTCTTATTCTTTTCACTCTGTATGTTATCATAAACAGTTTCTTATTAAAAGTTTTTTAGAAACATTTTTGGTTTTCATCAATCTGGTATTTGGTGACTGTGAAATGATATGTAATTATGGTTTTGTTTCTTCTGTCCCTAGATCATTTATAAACATATTCATTTTTAAATGCATGTAGTATTTTTTGTTAAATAGATTTATCATAATTTAACTTTTCCCCCACTTTCAGACATACTCTTTTTTAGTTTTTCATTTATAAAATAACACTGCACACACACACATGCACATATCTCTTTTATTTTCTTAAGATTCCTAGGGGTGTCATGGGGCACATGGTAGGAACTGTTTACAGTTCTGAAAACATATTTCTAAATTACCTCCAGAAAGATTATACCTAATGTCATTCCTTACAGAAGTTTGTGACAACATGTCTGTTTTCAGTGTATTATTGACATATGGGTATTCAGAGGAAAGGATCTGAAAGGATTCATTTTGAACTTCTTGTTTTTGGTGTTTGTCCACGAACACATGTCCTTCCACTCTTTACACACTGCTGTAGTTGCCTTTCCACACCTGTGTTTCTCTGGCAAAGAGGCCTCCCGTTTGATTTACTATCCGCAGTACTGAATCAGATGGCGACCCCTCATGGTATGCACGCTTGCACCACTGAGATGATCAACTGCTTTGGAATGGAGACTGGGAAGGAATACATTTGATTTATTGTTATTTTAAATTTTTCAAAATATTATAATAATGCCATATATGAGATTGAAAGAATTATTCTTTTTTAAAACTAGCCTTCCTTTGTCCACCCAGATCTTTATTTAAAGGACTTTATATTTCAACTATACTGTATCTTTTTTGCTTTTTTATTGTTGTTGTTGTTGTTTTCTTTGCTTGTTTTTGTTTTTTTACAAAAGTTTATTTTTAAATGTTCAACAGATTCCAAGACAGCACTTCATTTTAGCTGTAGGTGGCAAAATATGTTATGGCAGGGAATACAGATGTTTAAGTAAGAACGGAAGGCAAGGATCACCATCACCTCAGACGCAAAGAACAACTTACTTGTGGACAGATTTCTTAAATCAACCTTTTGGGCAGGGGACCCTTGCCCACAGCCTTTGCTTTCAGCTCCAGAGTTTCTTTGTCTTTTCTTTTTGTTTCTGCTTAGAAGCCCTCGCCTCCTCGCCCATCTCCTTGGCTCATTTCAGGGCTGCTTCTTGCCACTTTGATGGCTGGATCTGGTGCCTGCCACCCCTTCTCCAGACCCTGCCACTGGAAACCCATATCTTTCATTAACATTTTACATATTACCAGAGCAGCTTTGTAAACAACATTTTTATAATTATTTTTTGTTTTATTTTTTATCTGAACTGTTTTCAAGTGTCCAAATTAGGAAGGACCATATCTAACACAAACCCTTTTGTCATCTTCCTTTTGGAATACATCAGGTAAGGAATATTGGAGCATGGAATGCTTCACCTTAGACCATGATCTCTTTTTGGGAAAATAGGCTTTGTAGAAAGAGATATGGAGTTAGCTGAAACCCAAAGATCACAAAGTAAATGATTTGCCGCATCCTTCTAAAATTCTCACATTACTTTGAGGGTCATGACAAGGGAGAAATGGAGGCAGTTGTTGATACTTGGAGATTATCCATGCTCTTAGGTGGCTGGCTATCTCATACTGTCTTTATTTTCCTATGGAGTCTATAAGCTTGTTTTCCTGTGGAGTCCTATAAGCTTCTAGTTTATAAGTCAGCTACTCTGGCCTCTGCCAGATCAGCATGTGTGTACATGCTGGGCCCACACTGGTCCTTTTAGCTACCTTTGTCTCTGCAAGGAAGAACCCTTTGAAATTAAATTTCACATATCACAGCCATTTCCCCAGCATAAATTCCACTCTCTTGGGTCACTTCTTTATTTTGTCTAAAATCTGTGTTAAGGGGCATAGCTGCCTTTGGCAAAACCGTTTCTCTGAATACCTAGCCACCGGATTTCCACCCACTCCATCTCAGGGTGGGCCTGGGAAGAGAACACTATTCTCACATTCAACATTTGAGAGGAGTGATGCCAAGAAAGATGCTGTTTCAAAGGTACCAGCTTTTCCTACATCACTGTCCTCTCCCTCAGATAAATGTATTGGGAGTTTGAGTCATCAAGATGGAGAATGGGTTAGTATTGACAAGGGAACAACTTTGTAAACTTTGAAGCTTCAGCATCAGCTTGGATTAGAGCTCCAAGAAGGTTGCTTCTCCGGATTTATGATAGCTCTGGAGTGTGGCAAATGTGCATTTGGGCAAAGTTGGGTGAAATTGCTTTTATAAAGAGAAAAGCCTGGCAGTAAGGAAATTATACATTTATGAAGAGTGAATAGTAGAATCATGGGTTATTGTTCGGGTTGCTATTTCAGTTAAATCATAAGAATGCTAGCATAGCTGTAAACTATCTACTTACAATGAGAATAAGCCTGCAAAAGGGTGGCCATGTTTAATAACCAGTCTCCACTCTCTTCTTAATGCTCTTTTTTAAAAAATCAGAACTAATATATGTTCCTGGAAACCTTGCACAGATCCTAGAGACTAATTCCTCAATCAATGGAAGCTTAAACTTCATAGTTCTGTGTCTTGTATGGCTATATCTACCTGATTGTGTGGTTTCTACCTGGTTCTGTAGTTTCTTCTTAATCTGTAAAACTAAAAACTAAAAAGGTAGGTAGACTGTACAAGAAGGAAGACCTTATGGGCATCTACATCTGGAAATGCCACTCCCTCTTAGGTTAATAGGATACTGCCTGCTGCTGAGCAGACTTTTGCATCATAGCGTTCTTTGGGGTATCGAGCCATCCAGCAGAAACAGGAGTAGTAGATAGTTAAACTTCTTCCCCTTGGCCAGGTTGTAGCATGTGTTAAGGGCTAATCCTGGTGATGTGTGCATCCTACAGGGAGTTACTAATGTCCCACTGCTGGTTAATCCGTCCCCCTGGTTGGAAGCCTAATCTACCAGCATGTGATAGCAGATGCTACACAAAAAGTAAATTATATGATTACAAGGTGGTTTGGGGTTTATACAGTTTGGGTTTTATATCCTCCCAAAGCTATTTATCACATCAGGTACTGTGCAAAATTCTAAGCTTCCAAAGACAACTAAGATACAATCCCTGCCTACACAGAGCTCACAAAATAGGAGGAAAACAGATAAATTGAGCATTCACTAAGCAATGAGATGAATTAATAGAGGCGTGGAAAAATCTTACTGAAGAAGGCCCCCTAAGCATACTTGCAAAGGTCAGAAGATGCCTCCCTGAGGAATTAACATGACTTGAACTGATGCCTGAAAGATAAGCAGGAGTTTGCCAGGCAGGCAGGCGAGAAAAAGCATTTTAGCAAGAGAAGGGTGAAAATAGCAGATATGAGAGAATATGGCATATTCAAAGAGTGGCAAACTACTTTTTACATTTGCATTATAGGCTGGAGGGGGAGTAGCAAGCAGTAGAAAGATGATGAAAAAAATTATGTTTCAAATGATGAAGGTATCACGAAAATTAAAGAGATGGTATCACAATGTCATAAAGTGTCCCATTTACGAAAGAACTGTTTTCTTCCCTCAAGGAATTTCAAGCTCTTTGAGTGAGAGGTCATTGCCGCTGCCACCTATACTCAGGTACTCAAAGGACTTAGGTGGCATAGTGTCCCCCATGCTAAGCAGCCCTCCTCACAGGACCTGTGTGGGGCATGTGACCTGGGAGTGCCATGTTGTTCTCCGCTCTGTGCTCTTAGGATGCCAGTATTTACACTCCTAGGATTCCAGTATAGCAGAAATGTCTCTCCTTCTTCTTCCCTTCTTCAGCCAATCCCCCACTATTTGGGTGAGGAGAGGAGAAAAAAGCCCTGGCCCAAAGTTAGTGTCATTCAGTTTGACAAAAGCTCACTCATTTGGCCTCCTGTGTAACAGGGGCTTTGCCAGAGATGGGGATGCAAAGATCCCAGGATCCGGCGTCTATCCTTAAGGGCCTCACTAGCACACTCAGGCTCTACATCCATTCTCTCTTTCTCCACACCTTTCTACCCCATATACATTTCTCAGCATCAAGGAATCCTGTCCAAGGGCTTCCAGTTAACTTCCCTCCTGAGTGCCCTCCATTTTCCCCCTTGCGGCTGCCAACGTCTCGGCCTTGGGGATAAATGAGGGGGGTAGTACTGCCTGAGACAGAAGGAAACAGGGCCACTGCTTCCCTGATTAAATGAATCAAATTGGTCTTCGAAAGAATTCATAATGGCTGGCAATTCCAGCCATTCCGGAAGTCCATAATGGCTGGCTTTGAAGACCACCTTCCCTTCATTGTAAACACATATATACCACACACATACACAAACCACCCCCTGCCCCACCCACTGGAATAACAATCTGTTTAGGGTCTCATTTCATTATTAGTTGCTCATCAGTTACTTTAAGCCTTTCATCAAGACTTCTCAACTACGTAATAGCGTATAATGATTTTTACCCATATAGAACAATTCAAGAATAATTCAATTCGCATTTCTTCATTACAAATGGAGAGTAATAGTAAAGGCTTTCCCCCTCCGAAAAACAAATAAACAAAAAAGTCACAATAGTCATCAGAAGGAAAACTAGGCACAGCTGAAATTACACAGGAGCGAGTGCCAAGTCCTCACAGTCTCCATTCGCTCAACCTCTTTCACTACTCCCATCCCAGCCAAAGTGGCTTGTTGCAAAGGTTTTTGGCCACTCCTACAGGAAGTTGAAGCATTAATAAATAATATCTCATGCCTCTTAAGGTTGTGGCCGCCCTGTGTTTATGCTCCCATATGTTGCATGCCTCCTGAACACATGGGCACAGTGTCGGCAGCCTCTTAGGTATTAAAGTAAGAGCTTTGTTAGGCTGGGGATCGCTCTCCCCAGCTTCCTCAGATCCCCCTAGGAAAATATATCTCTTGGAAGAGCATTAAAAGGCTCTTCCAAAAGAAGAGTCACACCTTGAAGAGTTACGAAGAGTCATACTCCAGTAAGTAGACATGCCTTGTCAAACTCCAAGTCTGTCACTTAACTAATTGCTGATTTGGAGCAGTTAATTATCCTCTGCGAACCTCAACTCATTTCTGTGTAAAATGAGGGGAAATGATGTTGCATGGTTGATATAAAGAAATGATTAAATACATGAAAACACCTGTTGCACAGTAGGTTAATAGTAAATATTGGTTCCCTTCCTGACGACTCTTATAAGAAATGAGAGTATTTTTTCTTTTAGTCCTTTCTTGATTATTAGTCATCTCATAAGGAATAAAGTGTCTGGTGTGGTTGGGCACAGTGGCTCACACCTGTAATCCCAGCACTTTGGGAGGCTGAGGTGGGTAGATTGCTTAAGCCCAAGGGTTCAAGACCAGCCTGGGCAACATGTCAAAACCCCATCTCTACAAAAAATACAAAAATTAGCCAGACATAGTGGTACTTGCCTGTGGTCCTAGCTACTCAGGACGCTGAGGCAGGAGGATTGATTGAGCCCAGGAGGCAGAGGTTATAGTGAGTCAAGATTGGGTCATTGCACTCTAGCCTGCGTGACAGTGAGAGCCTGTCTCAAAAATAAAATAAAAATAAAGTGACTGGCTTTATTCAGACCTTATTTTCCTCCCTTTTCACAATCTTCCTACAGCAGTCTGTGTATGAAATGATTAAGAGTTAGGCCTTCTCAACCATCCAAATAAAGGCCCTTACTTTCCCTGGTACCTTTATTGAAAAATAAGTAATTTCTTCTACCTTTGTTTCCACTTCAGATAGGAGACAAATGCCTCCATAAATCCTCCTAGCACTAGTGCCAGGCAAGGCAGAGGGCTTCGTGTTCTGGAGCTAGCGATGTGGCATAAACACAGGTCAAAAATACCATATCACCCCATTCCTCATTCCCATAGACATTAATTATATATATGACATGACTTCTACATACTTGTCTTCTAGTTAGAGAAATTTTACCAAAGATCAGACACATGCCTCCGCTCCCTCTCCCTCTCACCACCTCAACCCTGGATATTTAGATAGTCCCTTTATGAAAAAATAAGCCATAGGCTCTACATACCCGTTCCATGTAGCAAAAACATGAAACAAATAAGCACAAGGAGCCCCCCACCTTTTTGAAGAGACATTTAAGAGCAGTATTCCCGTATTAAAGAAAGCCCACATAGCCCTGCAGAGCATTTCTGTATATTTCATATCTAAAAGAATAACCACTCCCAGATCAGAGCATTATACATCACAAATGTAGGAAACGGCTTGGCAGATTGCCTGAGCCAGCTTGCTTCATTGGCCATTTAGCCAGAAATGAGACTGGTTTGTTAGTATAATAGGTTGTAGGTTACTTCTTCCATCTGAGCTTCACAATCTCATAGAAGGATACTGTTCCCATTTTTTAAATTGAAAAGCTGGCGTTCTAAAGTTGATTAACCTACTCAGTATTGTAAAGATGGTACTAGCCAAGCTAATATTTTTCCCATTAGTGTCTTCTTAAGTAAATATGAACACTCTAGTGTGAGAGCCTTGTAATTACTGGAAGTTTAAAATGCTGTTGTGGGGAGAGGTCTCTAACTGTTATGACTTCACCCAGCTTCAACTAACTTGGCCACTGCACAGCAACTGTGCATTAACTTTCCTTCAGCCTCTGACTTGAATAAAGAATGATGGCTTTGCCCTTTCTCTGATTGCACTTGCCTGGCTCCAGCCACTCTTTCACTGGGATATGAGACTTTCCACTCTTTCACTGGAAAATGTCTCGTATCTTCTATTAGTTGAGTACATAAACTTTGAGATTTTCTAACATAGACCTTTTTCAGGTCTATTGTTCCCAGAAACCATGAAGTATGTGGAACTGTTGGCATCCTATTTTATATCTCTCAGATTGACACTTAAAATATGGCTTAAGTATCCAGTATCAGCTGAACTTTGGCTAGTAAACTACCTTTCTGATACAGAGGGCCATAAATTTACCTAGGAAGCAAGTCAATAATGAGTGCATATATAAGATTAGGACTTTGCCCGTCTTCTAGAATGTTGTATACTAGAGATATGATTGTGAGCAAGATACGGTGCCCAAAGGAGCTTTCTTCTTCATTCTGAAGAAATTAACAAACAAAAGGCCAATTCAGTGCAATTTGAGAAATGCTACAAAGAGAGGAGGGTGCTATGGAAACACATATGGAAGGGCACTTAACCTGAGCAAGAGAAGGGAAGCTCATGAAAGAGTTCATGAAGAAAGTGATATCTAACCCCACACTTAAAAACACAAATGGAAGCTAGTCATATAAGGGAACTCAGAGACAAACGTGTATGGATACTTAGATGTGATACAGCGTGTTTGGGGAACTGCAGGTTCAGTGGTGTTTGAGGCAGAAGAGCCTAGAGAACCATGTTAAAGAGTTGAGACTTTATCTTAGAGCAGTTGGAGCTATCACATGTTTTAAATGGGGAGTGACCTGATTATTTTACTTATTTTTTTGAAACTAGGTCTCACTCTGTTACCCAAACTGGAGTGCAATGGCGGTGTCTCAGCTCACTGCAGCCTTGACCCCAACCAGGATCAAGCAGTCCTCCAACTTCAGCCCCCTGAGTAGCTGGGACCACCACCACACCTGACTAATTTTTCTATTATTTGTAGAAACGGGATCTCACTTCGTTACCCAGGCTGGTCTTGAATTCCTCAACTTAAGCGATCCTCCTGCCTTGACCTCCCAAAGTGCAGGGATTATAGGTGTGAGCCACCATGCACAGCATTTATATTTGTATTTTAAAAAGATCAATCTGGGTCAGATGCGGTGGCTCACGCCTGTAATCCCAACACTTTGGGAGGCTGAGGCGGGTGGATCATGAGGTCAGGAGTTCAAGACCAGCCTGACCAACATGGTGAAACCCCATCTCTACTAAAAATGCAAAAATTAGCCAGGCGTGGTGGCACGTGCCTGTAAAATCCTAGCTACTCAGGAGTCTGAGGCAGGAGAATTGCTTGAACCCAGGAGGTGGAGGTTGCAGTGAGCCGAGATCTTGCCACTGCACTCCAGCCTGGGTGACAGAGCGAGACTCTGTCTCAAAAAAAAAAAAAAAAAAAAAAAAAAAGATCAGTGTGGCTGCAGGTTGGAGAATGACTTGGAAACAGGTTCTATCAAAGACACAGAGACCAGATTAACTTGAACAAGGGCAGGGGTAAGATGGAGGGGGAAACATAGCTCTACTTGGAGAGTTTAGTTTGAGGTGTTGAATTCAGAGTGTGTGGAATAATAAATGGATGTGTCCAGTAAGCAATTATGCATACTTTGATCTGGAGCCAATGAAGGGGCCAGAAATGCAGATCTGAACAGTCATTAACAAAAAATTGGTAATTTAAGCCATGCAAGTAGATGATGTCACTCCAAGAGTGAGGAGAAGATGGAGGACAGAGCCAGTGGACCATATACTCATATGTGCCCTAGGAGGAAGAGAAAGGAGGAGGAGCCTGTGCAATGTGGCCAGACAGCTAGGAAGAAAACTAAGCCAGAGAGAAAACTGGTACCAGAGATGTTAAGAGATGTTTGAAATGTGTCCTGTCATGAAAAGGTAAGATAGGGAATTGGAGAGTGCCACGTCAATTCAGCAAGTAGGAAATTATCGATAAAGCAGTTTCAGTGCAGTGGTGAGCGTGGAAGGCAGATTGGAGAGTTGAGGATGCAGAGGCAGAGAGGACATAGACAACTACTCTCGAGAAGCTCACCCAGAAGTTTCCAGTTTGATCCACTCCACTCCTCTTTTTCTCATATTCCCCTTCCTGTGACTTTTGAAAATAATAAGTCCCCGGTGTCTGTCTCATTTCCATTGAATCTTGTTTCTTTCCTGTTGTTGATTGAACTCTAAAGTAAAGTAAGTCCTTATCTTTGTTCCTTTCCCCCAGACAGTTTCTTACATTATCCAGAGCTCTTGTTTTGCTTCTCTGAGTTACACACAATCTGCCTCATCACCATTTGCCTCATTTTCCTTTCTGGCCACTTCCTTAATGTTACTTAGTCACATATGCCTTTCACTTTCAAGCAAAGAGTAAATCCACGGAGTATCACGATAGTAATGTCAGATCCCTTTACAAAATGTCATGTTGGGAGCTATGTGAGAAATAAACATAGCGTCTGGTCCCTGAAAACACTTGTCCTGACAGTGTGGATGAGAAGACCAGTATTATGCAATGAATGGCTAGTGGACTCTTAAAATCACCTGGTGAAAAAGCACCAGTTAACATGATGTAAACCAAGTGTATAGGTGAAGGTTGGAGAAAACACAGGGTGAATGGAATAAATTCGGGTGAACACTTCTTTCTACTTGCTATAACTCTCTGAGATAGAGCTTGTGATATACAACACCAGCATAGGGGCTGATTTAAATATTTGCACATTTCAAAACTGTTCCAGAGTCCAGGTATCAGTCATGATCTGGCATAATAGGACTTTTATGGTACAGTGTTTCTGTCTGTTTTATAGCTAAGTAAGAGCACACTCCTATCTGTGTTTTTTCTAGTACTTGCAGTGCCCCTGAGCCCAAGAGTACCTAAAAAATGTGTGCCCTATTGGTAGTTAATTATTACTATGGGAATGTGAAGCGTTCATGGAAGAAAAGACAAATATTATTTTAATATAATACTAATAGTTCATATGTGCTTTAAAAATTAGAAAGTGCTATGAATTGAATGTGCATTTTAATTGACATTAAAATGATTCCATTCCTGTTGGTTCTGATGATCCATCATGGTTGACATTTGGGTAGTAACTTCATATCCACTTCGTTACAGAGTGAGTCATCCGCTAGCCAAGTGCTTTGACAAGCCTTTGCTATCACAAAGCTTCAGAGTTTCTCTCTCAGTTTCTGTCATGGGCTTTGTGTCTGTCCCTGCCAGTCTCTGCTTCTCTCTTGAAAGTATTTTTGTAAGGCTTGTGATGTTATTCTTGTTCCAGTTCTGGTTGTTACAAAACTGAACTGCCCTAGAGATGATTGATGGAATGGTTAAGAGCGACGGGTGTAGGTGGCTCGTTAGTGCATGGCAGTGAATTACTTAGAGTTCACCTCTTGATTATTGTAGTCTGCAGATCAGGCTCTCAAGAATCTCTATGTGATTTTATCTTTAGGGTCTAGAAAGCAGCTGTTCAAACCTGAATTTATTTACCTTTACCCTGTCTTTAGAAGTGAAAAATCAGTTCGTTATCTAAAACGTACATTTACTATCACAGATCAGGAACTGTGTCCTTGGTGCAGAATCATCTTTATTCTCTGGCTTACTCGGAAGAGAGATTTTGTTCCACCTGCCTATAAGGGGTTTTTGTTTGTTTGTGTTTTGTTTTGGGGGCTTGTTTTTTTGTTTGTTTTTTGACACAGATTCTCACTGTTTCACCCAGGCTGGAACACAGTGGTGCGATCACAGTTCACTGCAGCTTTGACCTCCTAGGCTCAACCAATAGGTTTTGTAAAAGTTTAATTGGAATTAAACTTTTTGGTTTTTACAAAACCAGTAGGTTTTGTAAAAGTTTACTGGGTCGCATCAGGGGAGGGCTTGGTTCAGGCACAGAAGGAAGCCACTGAGGATTCAAGGCCTCCCAGACTGTGATGACAGCAATCAGTCTGGAGCTGATGTGCCCAAGACTGTGGCACCCGGAGCAGGTCCATCTCTGGCCTGGTCTCCTGTCACTCATCCTGCTTTCTTGTGAGCTCATGGCGTTTTTATTTCCTTTTGTGAAACTGCTGGTTCTGTGCTCTTTTACATGTTGAAATAGTTATTAGGACGAAGCTGAATGAGTTTTAGAAAGACGCCTAATCAGACATACTTAGCATTTTTTAAAAAAGATATTCATCAAATTATAAAAAACATTTTTAATGCCAGTTTCAAAACCATGAATTAATAGACAATTTAGGACCCAGCTTGCTTTAATTACTAACATTTTTATTAATTTCCACATAGCTCCAAGTAACAATGTGGTCTCACTTTCCCTTTTTATATTCTCTCAGTGGAAATCAAGACCATTTCAACTGTGTTTAAAATTGTTTTAAGTACATGTAGCTATTTTACCTATTTAATGAGGCATGAAGTAAATAGTACATTGAAAACTGGAGTCTTTAATATGCTTTTTAAATTGATAAGAATTTTAATTACAATTTGGTCATTTTCCAAATTGTAGTTTATATTACCTGAAAGTACAATTTTTCAGACTTGATGCCAATTTTTTGTACATATGTAGATGATGTTTATGTTAGTGTGTTAAGATTCAACTTCACAAGAGGTTTAATTAACAAGTTTCTCAGGGAAAAAAAGCTTTTTATTTCATGCTTTTAATGGATTTAAAATAAATAGCATTGTGAAATCACATTCTTGGTGTTTATTGGGATGGTGGAGTGCTCTAATGAATCCTGTTACATAAAACGATGTAGATTGCAGGGAACACGAGAGAGTAACATGTTTTTAGTCATCATTTTCACCCCTCATTTATTTGAGAAAATGGATAGTAATTAGATGTCGTGGAGCATTTTCTTTTCTTACAGAAAATTTCTTGATTGGATTTATCTTGCTCACTGTTTCACATTTAGTTTGCACAGCAAATAGTCCTTGGTTTGAAATGGTTTGATTACGATGATTTATCCGTTATTTCTTCCTGCCCAATTCTACCATTTAAACACTATCCTCTCCTTTAGTGAAAAATAAAGATGTCAGAATGAACTTAGTAGGATAAAGTCATTTTTTTAATCCAATTGTCAACCCTAATGTTTCCACTCTACTCTTGGTTTTGCCCTTTGTGTGTGTGTGTGTGTGTGTGTGTGTGTGTGTGTGTGGACTTGGAGCTTTATTTTCTAGTAGGAATTCAGAATGCTGAAAATATTTTAAGGTTTGCATTTTGCCTTTTTAAGAAAAAATGGTAAAATTGTATTATCAACTAGAAAAGCGGAAGCTTCCTAGACTTAAAATTTTTCAACTTCAGTTTAGCCCTAATTAAATAGATCCTGTCTTCCACTGATGCCGTATATAGTGTTCTCCTTCCAGTATAAGGTAATCTGGCAGTTTACCTTAGAGTTTAGGAAACTACCTTGGAATAGAGTCCTCTTTTAAAATAATGGTGCAGTTCTTCCAAGGTGACAATTACTGTTAGCTTTTTCCTGGGTCTGTAATAAATGTAGCATTAAATTTTTTTTTTTTTGCATTTTTAAGAGTAGCATAAGAATGTCATCCTTTGAGCTTGATTTTAAATGAAGATATCAGCAGATAATATACTCGAAGAATATTTATAGTGGCTCCAAATGAGACAGTCTAAGTCATTCAATAGTAATAGCTACCAATTGGTTTTGTGTTTCCTATTCACCTGTAGCAGTTTGTTAGACATTGTGATATATATCTGGAGTTCAAACCATCCCAACGGTTACATAGAAGGGCATGAAGAAGAAGAGATAGCAAAATAATGATCAGAGAGGTAGGAGAGAAACCAGGAGGGTATTGTAACAAAAAGCTGAGGAAGAATTTCACAAATCATGGAGATGTAAAAGAATTGTAGGTTGGCACTGGATGCAGCCGTAGCTGGAGACCTTAAATCTGTCTTAGCTACAGTCTGCACAACTATGTTTATTAGTTTTGTCAGCAATTATCAACCCAAGTGAATGGTTACATAAGGGAGAATAAGGGTGGGACTTTTTAGTTTCAGACTAAATGGATGGCTAAGAAAAGTAAGGCATAGCCTAGCAAAAAATCCTGAATCCTAAGATTAAAGGAAAACCCATATGTGATTCCTAAGAGAAAAAAACAAGAAAAAGAGAAAATAATTAGATTGGCATTGGACTTGTATTAAACTGGAAGCTAGAAGATGGTAGAATAGCATCTCCAGACAATAAGTAAAACCAATGAAGAAGACTGCAGCCATATGTTCTATATCCAGTTCTATACCTATCAAAGAAATGAAAGATACTTGAGGATAAGAATAAAACAGTATACCACCTACCTAAAGAAAATACTTGAGAGAAGAGAAAATAGCAAAGGTATGAGAGGAGAGAGGTCAAGATGGAAAAAAGAAAGAAGCAGGTGAGCGAGGAAACATAGATGCAGTTAAATCTATGAGGGGAGACTCAGAATGTATAATCTAAATTCAAAATAAGGCTTCTTGAAACAGAAAATGCATAACACAAGATAATTTTAGTAAGATTGCAGAACAAAACATTTTTCAAAGTCTTATCTTGTTGATGTGGGTGAGGAATAGATAAACAGAGCATTTTCGTAAAAGAAAGACTCTTTTAAATTTCCATCTTATATGACTAAGCATTAAACGGATAAAGAAGAACATTTTAAGTAATAAGTGGCACATAGTTATAAGGAAGATGATAGTTATAAACCTAAATGCACCAGACAACATAGCAACTAAAATATGTATAAAACTTATCAGAAATGCAACAAGAACTTGAAGTGGAAAAGGTTAATATACGTGTCTGAAGGGGATAAACTAGTAGAAAAAATGATGTAAGGGCAGAGGAACCGAGTCAATAAACTTGAATATAAAGACACATTCATTCCTCAAAGAATAAATTTTTTGTATGTTTATGGAACATTAACGAAAATCAAACATGTGATTGGCCACAAGAAAAACCTTACCAAATTTGGGGAAAATAGATTTTCTAGACCATATTCTCTGGTCATAAGCCAATAAAATTATGAATATCTAATAATATATAACTAAAACTTTACCTTAAATTTGAGAAGCACATTATTTGATATTACTAAGATTAAAGAAGAGATAAAAAATTAAAACTACAAACTATCTAGAAAGCAATGAAAAAATACTCTTCTTTCCCAAACTCTGCTACACAGTGTAACCCATACTCAGAGGAAAAATTGTAACCTTAAATTCTTTCTTAACCAAAGAAGAAATATGGAAAACAAAAGAACTAGGTAATCATCTTAAGAAATTCAAACAACAACAAAATATTAATTCAAAGAAAATAGGGAAGAGGAATTAAGATAAAAGCTTAAATCATGGACCTAGAATATAAAAAAAAAAAAAGTACACACAAATTTCTAGGCTAACCTTTGTGCAAACTCAATCATTAGGTGTGTTAGGGGATCAGTATGTATGGAAATGGAGGTGGCATATAAATTCCCTCAAGTGATTTTGGCCCTCATCATTTCTCCTCATTCCAGTTATTTACCTACCTCATGTTTTTGTCTGGAATCTAAGTTACACTGCGTGGAGAGCCACATGTGCCGGGTTCTGTTATAGCGTAATTATAAGGCCAGAGGGGTTTTGTAGTCATGCTACCTCTAGTTGAAATTCCTACTCTGATGAAAATTTCCCTGGAAGGAGATTTGTGAATATTTGGAATGCTAAATTACTGAGAAAAATCTCATTTAAAAAATGACAAGGCAGATCTTAAAACATAACTAGATTATAGTTTTATGAATTAGTGGGAATTAGTAACAGGTACATATAAATACCTTGTATTTGTTTTTTAAATTCTCCTTTATTCATCATACCACTCGAGAAGACTGTCATTGTCAATAGCACTTCTTATCCTGGGAGGCTTAATAAAGTAAGACTTGTTGCAATCCCAAAGTAACAATTTTGTCGTTTAATATTATAAATGTGGATAATCTTTATATTACCACTGGTATTTACATCATATTGTAGAGGGAAAACCTTTGCCTCACAGCATTGTCACATGAAGGATTATTTTTGACTCAATTTGAATTGATGGCAATAGTACATTTGAACTGCTTGGTTTTTGGAGGGGATAAATGAAAGGGAGGGGAAGTATGGAGGACTGGCATTGTTTTTGTGAAAATTTGTAAAAGCAGACTGATAAGAAAACAGACAATATCTTTCTTTAGGCTTTTACTACTAATTAGAAGGTGATGTGGTGTGTGTGTTCGGGGGTACACGTGTGTGTTTTACAGAATGCATGTTTATCTTGTTTTTGATAAAATATGGGAAGGAGGAAGGGAGGCCTTAAACTCTAGAAAATATCTAACAGTTGGTAGCATATGCATTTACCTATTTTTCAGTTTTTGATAACAAGCTAAGCTTTCACCTGATTATTGATTTTCCTCTTTTCTTTCAGCAGAAGAGCTGGAGTAATTATTTTATTTTACTATTCATTTTTCTTTTGATAATATTAGTCTAAACAGAAAGTAACAGGAACATGTAATATCTTCAGAGCAAAGAACACAATGGCATTGTTTTTATCCTCGGTATAATTCTGTTGACAGTTACCTGTAAGGTTGTGCTTTTAACCATTTAATCCTGAAACCAAATCACACTATTGGTCCAAGTCTCATTTCTGTTCATTATAAAATGTGTACGATAGATATTTATTTCTGCCTTTGGCCTTACTTAGCTATTTACCTCAATTATTGTATATCAGTTTTTTAAAAAAACTGATTTTTAAAAAAATGCCTTGGGTAGATGTATTTTCTCATTCTCAGCAAATTTTTCAAACAACATAATGTTCTGTAACATTTATAAGGTTGTTTTTACTCACCGTTTGTTTCATTTTTTTCATTCACTTACTTGGATTTCCTAAAAACTATTTTTTTAGTTTTTGCTTTTAAAAAATTAAGTTGAAATCTGATCGTGATTTTTGCCTTTATTTTCTTTGTGTCCATCTATAGGATGAATACAAGCCAGAAAAGGCCTTGTCTGAAGAGGACTTGAAAAACGCTGTGAGTGTGCACCACGCATTGGCATCCAAGGCCACGGACTATGAGAAGAAACCAAACGTGTTTAAACTTAAAACTGCCGACTGGAGGGTCTTGCTTTTTCAAACTCAGTATGTTTTGTTGGTTTTTATTTGATTTTGTGTTTTAGTTCACTTAGCACTACTTTATTGCAAGGAACAAAATCAAGCTCTGCAGGGGAAATTTTTTGAGTTGGAATCAAAGTCATCAACTGCTTACATTAGAGAAATAACTGCCTAAGAAGATTAGAGTAAAAAAAAATAGAAACCCAGGATTTACATTTTTACCTGTTACAAAGTAGCCCTTTGACTTTTAGTCAGCCACTTACCATCTCTAGAATTCAGTATCCTCATCAATAAAATATGAGGGTTTTAGTAGACAAGTTTTATCGCAAAATGAGTAAAACAGACCTAGATAACACTGTTTCTCTAGCTCTTTCTCCTAGCACATAGTTTAACCTCTGAACCTCAGCTCGTCACTAGTGTGGGGGATAACGTTTATCTTACAGAGTTCTAGTGAGAAGTCAGTGAGATAAGTGTGTATAATACCTCACACAGTGCCTGGCACATAGGAACTGTTCAATAAATGTAAATGTTTATTTTTTTGTTTCCCTTCTGAGCTCTAGTAGTCCATGATTATACTAGAAGGAAAAGATGTCATTCTACTGTGAGCAAGGAAATGGGATGAATTGCCAGTTTTAGGGGGAGGTTATAAGGAAACAAGTTGCCCGGGGTTTTTGAGTGTAGGAATGGGATGGTTAACATCACACAGGGACCCATAGCTGGATGTATAATTACAGCTATTGGGCATAAAGAAACTTTCAAATTATTCTGTTCCCTGATTTTTTCAATCAAAAATACCAGATGTAATAACTAAGGAGATCTAATTACTTTGGACAGAATTGATGCAAAAAACAGTCCATTGAAATAATAATGGAGCCAGAGAGATCAGCCTAGAGAGGGTGCCGTGAGGAGCTGACATTTAGAGTGGTCTCAGGTTTGTTTGTGTGGTTTCTCTCAGAGTAATTGATGAAGGAAATGACTTTGGCTGACTTTTTTTTTACTTTTTGTTTATTGATTATGTGTATGGTAGATAATCTGTCCTGATTCATGATCATTTCTACCATTCATTTATGAGTTTGCAAATATTTATTAAGTGCTGTGAATCTTGGGCTTTCTGGATATAATGACACATAAATTAAAAATATGATCACATCAGATGATTTTCACCTCCTCTCAGGTGGGTTTTCTAAATAGTCTTATTGAGGTATGCTTTACGTACCATAAAATATCACCAGTTTGAAATGTACATTTCAGTGATTTTTTTAGCATATTTACAGAATGGCTCAGCCATCACCACAATCTAGTTTTGAATCATTTCCATCACTCCAAAGAGATCCCCGTGCGCATTTTGTAGTCACTGCCATTCTCACCTCCAGCCCCAGGCACCCACTGATCTACTTTCTGCCTCTGCAGTATTGCCCTTTCTGGACACTTCATATAAACAGACTAATATATGATGTGGTCTTTTGTGTCTGGCTTCTTTTATTTAACATAAAGCTTTGGAAGTTTATCTGTATTGTAGTGTGTGTCAGTACTTTATTGCTAAATACTGTTCAGTTGTGTGCATTTACTGCATTTTGTTTATCCATTTACTGGACAATTTGGATTGTTTCCCTTTTTTGACTCAGGAATGATGATGCTATAAACACTAACATACAAATCTTTGTGTATCTGTATGTTTTCTTTTGAGATGGAGTCTCACTTTGCCACCCTAGCCTGGAGTGCGGTGGCGTGATCTCTGCTCACTGCAACCTCCGCCTCCCAGGTACAAGTGATTCTCCTGCCTCAGCCTCCCAAGTAGCTGGGACTACAAGTGTGCACCACCATGCCCAGCTAATTTCTGTATTTTTAGTACAGATGGGGTTTCACCATGTTGGCCAGGCTGGTCTTGAACTCCTGACCTCACGTGATCTGCCCACCTCGGCTTCCCAAAGTGCTGGGATTACAGGCATGAGCCACCACGTCTGGCATATCTATATGTTTTTATTTCTCTTGGATAGTTACTTAGGAGTAGAATTGCTGGGACGTATGATACATGCACAGTTAACTTTCGAAGAACCTGTCAGCTGTTTTCCAAAGTAGATAAATCCTTTTACCTTCCCTCTACCAATGCATTCCTCAGTTAGATTTTAAAATTAAACAGTACAATTAGAAGAGATGAGTAAATTTTATAATTTATTTTTGGCCTAGCCTCGTATCAAACAGAAAGTAGGGGTTTAATCAATATTTATTGTCAAGTGTTTCTCTTTTTTCCCTTCTGTTTCCTAGGGAGAGAATCACAGTCTGGCACTGTGATGATCATAGCTTCTTTGGTGATCGTCGAATGACAATGTTCATCTCTAATGAAGTTTTGTCAGGGATTAGTTGTACCAGGAGGAGTAAATGATTTTCACATGCCATTGCAAATCAGTAACGTGAAATAGGCAAAGTGTGATGCTACTTAGACATGGCAATATCCTGATATAAACATATCTATTTCTCATAGGAGCCCAGAGGAAATGCAAGGGTGGATAAACAAAATCAATTGTGTGGCAGCTGTATTTTCTGCACCACCATTTCCAGCAGCAATCGGCTCTCAGAAGAAGTTTAGCCGCCCACTTCTGCCTGCCACTACAACAAAACTGTCTCAGGTAATCATCTTGATAGTGCTTTGACCTTGGGAAAAAGTACTTTGTAAAATAATGTGATAAATATTTGTCTTTGGATAGTAGTCCATGTTTTGGGGGCAGGTGTGAGACCTTGCCCTGTGAGAGCGTATCATATAAATGAGGCAGATATGCAGTACACTGGGTTTTACACTTCATGTAGGAAGCTGACATAATTGAGTCTCAGTTAGTAGGACACGTACTTTGATTCAGTTTCTAAGGTTTATATTAGTTCATTATGAGCAATACTTGATGTTTTGTTTGTTTTAACTGCCAGCTCATAATCTGGCTTGGTAACAAGCTTTTCTTGCATTCATTTATTAGCTCATTTTTATTGAGCATTTACCATATTCCAGGATGTGTTTAGTGCTAGAAATACAAAAATATTTTCAGGAATCCACGGTTCATATTACAATGGGAAATGGCCTGCCCTACCCCTCAGAGCAGAGCTGAATGGAACATTTGGATTTTCCAAGCTAATGAAGATAAAGTATACCAGAACTCTGCTCCAAGTGTATTTACATAAGCCTCCTTCTGTGGTCAGATTAATCTTACTAAAAGCCATATTTTATCATGTCCTTTTTCACTTAAAACTCTTCTAAGGACACTACCTACCAGCTAGGTTTGCTCATTTTAAACCTGTCTGTAGTACCCCCTTGCCATTGACTAGTTAAAGATTTTGGAAGCTACTTTGATGTCTTTGTGAATTTCTTATTACATAGAGACAGTTTTATCTTACTATGATCGACCAAGTGTTGGTATTAACTAGCTCCCTATACATCTTTGATATCATAAGATGTGTCCCATGGCAAGAGAGGGAGCAATTATCAATGATAGATTAATTTAATAAATATGTATTGTGTGCCTGTTGTACATCAGAGACTATTTTTGGCCCTGGAGATAGAAAGGCAGATGAAGGCCAGATCCTCTGCTGAAGGTGTGGCAAATATAAATAAGGAAGTCATTGTAAAATGATTTGATAGAAGTACAGGAAGGATAAGTCCAGAGAGCTGTGGAGGTTCAAGGAAGGGACATTATCTAGCCTGGCCTTGGAGGTGAAGGAGGAAATGTGGTACCTAATGTGCAGCTTAAAGGATGAGAGGCAGTTAGGTGAGGTGTGGGACGAGATAGGAAAAAGAGCCATCAGAGGAACGAAGGCCTAGAGAAGAGAGCGCTGGATGCAGGAACCACACACAAGTTATTAACTGTGACATGAGCACAGTGTTGAGAAAAAGCAAGAAATGTACCTCTGCAGAGGTCAGCAAAGGCCAAATCATGAAAGGCCTTGTTTGTCGTGTGTAGGATTTTGGATGCTGCTGTGGTTCCCAGCATCCTTAAAATAATAGCTTTAAGACTGGGCACAGTGGCTCATGCCTGTAATCCCAGCACTTTTGGAAGCCGAGGTGGGCAGATCACCTGAGGTCAGGAGTTTGAGACCAGCCTGGCCAGCATGGTAAAACCCTGTCTCTAGTAAAAAATACAAAAATTAGCCAGGCGCAGTGGTGGATGACTGTAATCCCAGCTACTTGGGAGGTGGACACAGGAGAACTGGTTGAACCCAGGAGGCTGAGGTTGCAGTGAGCCGAGATCATGCCACTGCATTCCAGCCTGGGCGACAGAGCAAAACTCCATCTCAATAATAATAATAATAATAATAATAATAATAATAGTTTTAAGCAGGACAGTAATGTGATCACATTTTTGCTTTAAAAATTATTCTCATTACAATATGAGAAATTGTTAGAAGAAGATACTACTTGCATTTCTCTGATGGCCAGTGATGATGAGCATTTTTTCATGTGTTTTTTGGCTGCATAAATGTCTTCTTTTGAGAAGTGTCTGTTCATGTCCTTCGCCCACTTTTTGATGGGGTTGTTTGTTTTTTTCTTGTAAATTTGTTTGAATTCATTGTAGATTCTGGATATTAGCCCTTTGTCAGATGAGTAGTAGGTTGCGAAAATTTTCTCCCATTTTATAGGTTGCCTGTTCACTCTGATGGTAGTTTCTTTTGCTGTGCAGAAGCTCTTTAGTTTAATTAGATCCCATTTGTCAATTTTGTGTTTTGTTGCCATTGCTTTTGGTGTTTTAGACATGAAGTCCTTGCCCATGCCTATGTCCTGAATGGTAATGCCTAGGTTTTCTTCTAGGGTTTCTATGGTTTTAGGTCTAACGTTTAAGTCTTTAATCCATCTTGAATTGATTTTTGTATAAGGTGTAAGGAAGGGATCCAGTTTCAGCTTTCTACATATGGCTAGCCAGTTTTCCCAGCACCATTTATTAAATAGGGAATCCCCATTGCTTGTTTTTGTCATGTTTGTCAAAGATCAGATGGTTGTAGATAAGCGGCATTATTTCTGAGGGCTCTGTTCTGTTCCATTGATCTATATCTCTGTTTTGGTACCAGTACCACGGTGTTTTGGTTGCTATAGCCTTGTAGTATAGTTTGAAGTCAGGTAGTGTGATGCCTCCAGCTTCGTTCTTTTGGCTTAGGATTGACTTGGCGATGCGGGCTCTTTTTTGGTTCCATATGAACTTTAAAGTAGTTTTTTCCAATTCTGTGAAGAAAGTCATTGGTAGCTTGATGGGGATGGCATTGAATCTGTAAATTACCTTGGGCAGTATGGCCATTTTCACGATATTGATTCTTCCTACCACATATTCTCACTCATAGGTGGGAACTGAACAATGAGATCACATGGACACAGGAAGGGGAATGTCACACTCTGGGGACTGTTGTGGGGTCGGGGGAGTGGGGAGGGATAGCATCGGGAGATATACCTAATGCTAGATGACGAGTTAGTGGGTGCAGCGCACCAGCATGGCACATGTATACGTATGTAAGTAACCTGCACAATGTGCACATGTACCCGAAAACTTAAATGGAATGTTCTTCCATTTGTTTGTATCCTCTTTTATTTCCTTGAGCAGTGGTTGGTAGTTCTCCTGGAAGAGGTCCTTCACATCCCTTGTAAGTTGGATTCCTAGGTATTTTATTCTCTTTGAAGCAATTGTGAATGGGAGTTCACTCATGATTTGGCTCTCTGTTTGTCTGTTGTTGGTGTATAAGAATGCTTGTGATTTTTCTACATTGAGATACCATCTCACACCAGTTAGAATGGCAATCATTAAAAAGTCAGGAAACAACAGGTGCTGGAGAGGATGTGGAGAAATAGGAACACTTTTACACTGTTGGTGGGACTGTAAACTAGTTCAACCATTGTGGAAGTCAGTGTGGCGATTCCTCAGGGATCTAGAACTAGAAATACCATTTGACCCAGCCATCCCATTACTGGGTATATACCCAAAGGACTATAAATCATGCTGCTATAAAGACACATGCACACGTATGTTTATTGCGGCATTATTCACAATAGCAAAGACTTGGAACCAACCCAAATGTCCAACAACGATAGACTGGATTAAGAAAATGTGGCACATATACACCATGGAATACTACGCAGCCATAAAAAATGATGAGTTCATGTCCTTTGTAGGGACATGGATGAAATTGGAAATCATCATTCTCAGTAAGCTATCGCAAGAACAAAAAACCAAACACCACATATTCTCACTCATAGGTGGGAACTGAACAGTGAGATCACATGGACACAGGAAGGGGAATATCACCCTCTGGGGACTGTTGTGGGGTCGGGGGAGTGGGGAGGGATAGCATCGGGAGATATACCTAATGCTAGATGACGAGTTAGTGGGTGCAGCGCACCAGCATGGCACATGTATACGTATGTAACTAACCTGCACATTGTGCACATGTACCCGAAAACTTAAAGTATAATAAAAAAAAAAAAGAAGAAGAAGGTACTACTAGAAGCAGAAAGGCCCATTTTAAAGGAATTTTCAGTAATCCAGAGGAGAGATAACCAAGGTAGCTGCAGAAGAAATGGATCGTAGTGAAAGTGCTTGAGAGACCTTGAAAGTGTAGAATGGACACTTCTGGTGGCTCATGGAAGTAGAGGAAACAGGCTGTCATTGTGGCTTGGACAGCTGGGGACTGTGGTGTCTGACCTGCTTCTGGAGTCTCACCTCACTGTCTCTTGATTTCCCCCCTTGCTTCTTAGACTCCTTTCTTGGATCATTTTCTTCTTTCTGTCTCCAATTCCTGCAGTGGCCAGAGCTCAGAAGCAGACTAAGGCACTTGATAAGCAATTTTCCAAAAAGTTACTTAGATTTAATACAAACAGGGAGAATGTTGTGCCAAGAAAGGGGGGAAAAGGTTCCATGAAGATTTAGATTTAAAAATGTGATATTTAGTGGCTGGGAGGTCACTGGGTATCTTAGCCCATTTTGTGTTTCTATAAAGAATACTAGAGCCTGGGTCATTTAGAAAGAAGAGAGGTTTATTTGGCTCACGGTTCTGCAGGCTATACACGAAGCATGGCATCAGCATCTGCTTCTGGTAAGAATCTCAGGAAGCATCAAATGATGATAGAAGGGGAAAGGGAAACAGATGTGTCACATGGCAAGAGAGAGAGGAAGGGAAAGTGCCAGGCTCTTTTTAACAACCCACTTTCACTTGAACTAATAAAGCAAGAACTACCTCATTATCATAAGCGTGGCATCAAGCCATTCATGAGGGATCTACCCCCATAACGCAAACACCTCTTACCAGGTCCCACCTCCAACATTGGGGATCACATTACAACATGAGATTCGGAGGGGACAAGCATCCAAACTATATCATTGGATAACCTTAGCAAGAACATTTTGGTGGAGTCATGGGAAGACAAACCACATTGGCCTTCTTTGATGGGGGAATGAATGGAAGGTAATAAGGAAGTGGAGGAGGAAAATGTGCTCAAGTGTTGCCATAGTTATAAAAACAGAAAGACTAGTAGTAAGAAGGAAGAATCTGTGGTTTCAGGAAAGATTCTTCTGTTTTTAATTCATAATTATCATTAACATATATTGAATGCTTACTTGTAAGCATTACTATTACTGTACAGTTCTTGCAGGACACAATGGCATTGAATTTTTAAGGGTAATAAGTACACTACAACTTTAAAAGAAAAGGAATGCTCTTACTGATGACCAGAAGGTATGTTGGCAGACATCTCCATCTATCCAACTAAAATATGAACTCTTAAAGCAAATGCATTTCTCTGCTTTAAATATGCATACTTAACATAAGCAGCATACCACATAAAGAGCATGTCGCATAAAAGGTAAATCACATTACACGATATAAGGGGAGGGAAAAAATCAAGTAACTGGAAGCAAAAAAAAAAACCTTCCAAAATTGAGTTTTGCTCTATTAATTTTACGGTGGACTTTCCCATTGTTCTTTTTCAGTAGTTTGGGTCTTTCTCACATTCAGTTCTATAAAAGATCCAGGGGAGAAGGTGAGTTGAACTAAAGAGGGCTGATAATAAGCATGTCATTCATGGAAGGTGAATGTAACTTAGAGCAACATATGAGTGTTTCCTTGATTTTCCCTCACTAAAATCTACAGTTCTGTTTACTTTATACTTTAAAAAATGTACTGCTTTCCTATTTAGGGACTGTATACTAGTAAGTGATATGTACGTGAAAATGAATGTGTTCATCTGTTTGCGTGTTTTCCCCAGAACAGGCAAGCACACACATTTATCATGGTAGGCACTCTTATTTCTAACAGATGACTTACACTGGAACCAAAAATAGAATGCATAATTTTTAAAAATGTTTTCCTTCATTTTGGACATAAATCCACAGAGATGCAAAAACATGCATATGTAGTATAATCACAATTAGGGATTGAAGATTTTAAATAAGAAGGTAATAACCAAAAAGAAATATCCTGCAGTATCATGTAAGACAAGGTAACCGTATCATTTCAGGAATTTAATTTATTTGGAAAGAAATGAGATGATCTCCGCCACCCCACTGAATTGCATCACCCAGCATTTGCTTTGTGGGCCTCAGCTTTCCATCTAGAAAAATGAGATGGTTCTAGAATGTTTTTAAGGAATTTTTTTTTTTTTTTTTTTTTTGAGACAGAGTCTGGCTCTGTTGCCCAGGCTGGAGTGCAGTGGCTTGATCTCGGCTCACTGCAATCCCCACCTCCCGGGTTCATGCCATTCTCCTGCCTCAGCCTCTCGAGTAGCTGGGATTACAGGCGCCCGCCACCATACCCAGCTAATTTTTCGTATTTTTAGTAGAGATAAGGTTTCACCGTGTTAGCAATGATGGTCTCGAACTCCTGGCCTCAAGCAGTCTGCCCACCTCGGCCTCCCAAAGTGCTGGAATTACAGGCGTGAGCCACCCTGCCCAGCAAGGATTTTTCTATCCAAAGCTCTGTATTATTTCTTTGCCGAGTCATAAGGTTTGTTTCTAAAGATAAGATTTTTAGCTTTGAGAAACACATATGTAAAATTAAGCATGTATTTGGAGTAGCACCTGAGGCTCTTGGGGATATCTATACTGGGGTCATAGTGTGCCTCCAGCAAATCCTGGAAGATGTCTGGCTGCCCCTAGGATTCCTCCAGTACCTCAAAGACTAGCTCTCATCCTTTAACCCAGGCATATTCGAGCGCAGCAGCATTAACATTTTGGTGTGGATAATTCTTTGTCGTGAGGGCCTCTGTGAATTGTAGGATGTTTAGCGATATCCCCAGCTTCTACCCACTAGATGCCAATAGGGACCCCCCAGTTCTAACAACCAAAAATGTCTCCAGACATTGCCAAATATCTTCTGGGGTCAAAATCCAACCCACTCCTATTGAGAACCACTGCTTTAGCCAGTGGATGTGAAGCCGTGAGACCAGCTATCTTTTTTTCCCCATACTCCCACAACCTGGCTCTGACTCCCCTAAATGCCACAATTTTTTGGATAATTTTACTTTACAAAATACAGGTATAAAAATGTGAGTGCCTTGCTGGAAACATTGATAAAGAAAGATAAACAGTGTGGGGAAAAATTAGACGTTCAATTAAAAGATTGTTTGGTGCTTTTTCAAGACACAGTGTTTGTCACCCTGTCATTTGTGGGCTTTGCTTTAATTTATTCTTGTCTTTTATGCAAAACACATTAGCCTTAATCATTAAAATTGATTATTGCCAGTGCAGCGTGGTACTTTCTGAACAACTCTGCTGTGTAGGAGGAGTCGCCTTCTTTGTTTTTCATGACAGTGCTGCCAGAGCACATTTTTCTTCTATTGGGGGTGGAAAGACTTGTTTGAAAATACAAGTTTTGCTTCTCCTTCTGGTGTAGCTCTCCAAACACAGAAATGCATGGCCGGCCCTGTTCACAGTCTGCTCACAACCTCCCTTTCTGCCCACCAGAGAAGTCTTTTCAAACTTCAGTGTGCACAACAGCTATGTCGGGACTTGCAGAAAATGCACATTTCCCAGCCCCACCAGGTCGTTCAGGTCCAGGCTGGGCTCAGGGACACATGTGTGTTTCTTTTCCACTCCAGGCCGGCAGGTGGCTCCAGATCCCACTTAAACCCTACACTGTAGGAACCTGTGCCTACCCTAGGTCTTTCCTTGCTTCTTTAGAGAATGGTGCCCCAGGACATCTTCATTTCCTGATATCTAGGTCTTTTTTCTTAGAATTCCAACCATTGTCTTATAAAAGTTTGAATCCATGGGTACTAAATACTTTTTTGGTCAGACTTAAGATGGATACTGATCAGAAGCAAAGCAGTCCTATGCTTGATTCTCACGCTGAAGTAACCCCCACCCCTCCTTTTGTCCTGTGGTATGACCACAAGGCAGTGGTGCTCAGAGCCAGGTGAGTGGAGCTGACCTTACGGGCAGTGGGATTTCAGGGGAGGAGGTCATTCTTGTAGTTGCTTCCTTCACTGCGCCCCCACCCACCCATTTCCACAGTTTCTGTCATAAAGTCCTGTCACTTCTACCCTCTAAATATCTTTTTTTTTTTTTTTTGAGACAAGGTCTCACTCTATCACCCAGGCTGGAGTGCAGTGGTGCCATCTTGGCTCACTGCAACCTCCACCTCCCAGGTTCAAGTGATTGTCCTGCCTCAGCCTCCCAAGTAGCTGGGATTACAGGTGTGCACCACCATGCCCAGCTAATGTGTTTATTTTTAGTAGAGACGGGGTTTCACCATGTTGGCCAGGCTGGTCTTGACCTCCTGACCTCAGGTGATCCGCCCGCATCGGCCTCCCAAAGTGTTGGGATTACAGGCGTGAGCCACCGTGCCTGGCCAATGTCTTTCATATTCTACACCTACTGCTTCAGATTTTTGTCATATTCTACCTAGATCACTGGTCTACTCACTTTTTTGACTATTCACCTTATCCCAATACTAAATATTTCAGCAGATATCTTTTAATATATGATGCTTTTTTAAAGAAAATAAACTACATTTTCCACTGTCAATCCCAGTAATAAATATTAGTAAACCTTAACATTTTGTAGTGCTTAGATTAAAAAAAAAAAAGAAGAAGAAAACTTTAAATTTTTTCCCAGTGCCTAAGGAGCTATTAAAATTTTTGAAAACTCATAAACGAGTTCAGCACTGTTAGACATGCAGGGGTGTTTTTATGGTATGTGAATTGTATCTCAATACTGATTTTAAAACTCTTTGCAGTGGGTCATCTTGCCTGGGCTACACACACCCCACTTTGGAATAATCTGACCCAGATGATTTCTGTAACCACTTGTGATCTCTCTTCCAGTAATCTTATGTCCTTCTGATCCACCCTTTACAGTTCTGACTAAAATATGATTCTAATTATGTCACTTACCCTTAACTGATTCATTTTTTCACATTCAAACTCTTTGATGTGGCCTTAATTGTTACCCATACTTTTCCTGAATGGATAGATTTTTAAAAATTCATTTCTTCGAGGTCTGTATTTAATATATATTAAGTACCCAATAAAACAAGTAATTAAATCATGTGGAAGCTATTTTGCTTATACTCATTAAATACTGTGTTTAAGGTCTAAAGCTGTCTTAAACATGAAATTATGAAACAATCTTTTGGATTGAGCCTCCCTCAAACTGACTCAAAGACAGGTGTTCTGTATTCTAAATTCTGTACCACTTCGTTTTGAACAGTTTCCAGTGTTTAGCAATTTGACTTCTAAGTTGCACTGCGGATCCCTAGATACATGATTACCCTGAAAATCATCTGTCTCCTTTAAGACAGCACAAAGGAAACAGTCTAAGCCCTCCCCTCTGTATCTTCACTTAAAAAAAAAAATCTATTTGTTCAGCTACTGTTTACCGAAGATCCTGTATAGCAGGTACTATGTTAGGTTTTGTGGGCATTATAAAAACAGGTGAGACAATTGCCTTGGCCCTCAACTTCTGAGAGCTTAAGGTATTTGTTCATGTTAGGCAGGTAATGTCTATAAACCAAAAGCTGCCACATACTATCTCTCTGCTCAACACTTTACTGGATACTGGAGGATTTAAGGGAAGGAAAAAAGTGACCTTTTTTGCCTTTTTAAGAGCTTGTAATCGGTAAAGGAGATAAAACTCACACAAAGGTCAGGGTATATTTTGTGCTAAGCATATGACGTAGACATTTAAGTGCTGCCGTAATGCAGAAGAGGAAGAAGTGGTGTGATCTAGAGTAACATAGGTTTGGTTTTGTTTTGTTTTTGTTTTTTCTTTTTCTTTTTCTTTTTCTTTTTCTTTTTCTTTTTCTTTATCTAGACAGAGTCTCACTCTGTCGCCCAGGCTGGAGTGCAGTGGCATGATCTCGGCTCCCTGCAACCTCCGCCTCCCAGGTTCAAGCAATTCCCCTGCCTCGGCCTCCAGTGCAATTGGAATTAAAGGCGCATGCCACCACACCCGGCTAATTTTTGTATTTTTAGTAGAAACGGGGTTTCACCATGTTGGCCAGGCTGGTCTCGAACTCTTGACCTTCAGTGATCCGCCCATCTCAGCCTCTTAAAGTGCTAGGATTACAGGTGTGAGTCACCAGGCCCAGCCTGTAACAGAGGTTTTGAGTGGAATTTGGAGCAAGGTGAGTAACCCTGAGTCCAGCCTGCACGTTTGAGAGCTATAGCAGAGGAGACCCGGCAGCAGTGGAGTTTACCAAGAGCTCTGAAAGCTGAGTTCAGGATTGATCTGTCAAGTAAGACAATGTGCTGAAGCTATGTTGTTGACAGCCCTTTGGATTTCAGAAGGCTGTTCCAAGGTGACTTCATGATAGAAGTTGGGAGAATGTGGCTTCTGCCACTCTGTCCTTTTGTCTGAACTGGAGCAATTACTTGAACTCTCTGGATCTCCATCTTCTCTAAGACAAAGAGGGTAGAAAGGACAGTGGCCAGGTTCTCTTCCACCTTAGAACATCTAGGATTCTGTATCCCACAGCTTGGAGGAAAAGACTGGTGGCAGCCACTGTGGCTGTTCCCTCTTCTTATTCCCAGCACCCAGCACAGTGCCTGCTGTATGGGCGCTCGGTGAGGTTCGCGGATGGATAAATGTGTTCTCTGTTTCCCGATTCTCTCTGCCTTCTCTCTCATTCTTCCTCCTTTCCCTCTTGGAGCCATCTGCATTTCTATTTTATTGTTTCCTTTAAGTTTTCACAGCTTCTCTCTCATCCTTCTCTCCATGATAAGTACTATGTAAATCTTATACTTGGTATAAAAAGATAAAAAGCTAATTTCTGGCCCTTGGTCCTGGGCTTTGCACCGGGGGAGAAGGACTGTAACTCCAAGTCAGCCCTTGACTCACACTGCAAGATCTTCAACAGCCAAGTTGCCTGTTCCCATTGCCTGATCAGTTAAGCAATACTGTCTTCATAGAGATGACATTAGAGCTTAATATTTTAAAGGAAATTCTGAAATTGTTCTCAAAACCTAAGTACTATATAAATAGGAAAAAAATTAAATATTTTTTTAACAATTTTAATTGACCATATAATAATTATATGTATTTCCAGGTATAATTGTGATGTTTTGCTATATCAATTTTTTATGGTTAGAACACTTAAATTCTATTCTTTGAGCAAGTTTGAAATACACAGTGCATTATTATGAACTCTAGCCATCATGATACACAACAGAATTTATTCCTCTTGTCTGATATTTTTCATCCTTTGACCAGCATGTCCCCAGTCCCTTGCCCCCAGCCTCTGGTAACCACCATTCTCCTTATTTCTATGAGTTCAATTGTTTTAGATTCCATATATGAGATCATCCAATATCTGTCTTTCTGTGCCGGTCTTACTTCAGTTAGCAAAATGTCCTCCAGGTTTGTCCATGTTGTCGCAAATGACAGAATTTCCTCTTTTTTAAGGGTGAATAAATAATACTCCATTGTGTATATATACCACATTTTCCTTATCCATTTTTCAAAGGACACTTAGATCTCTTCTAGATCTTAGCTATTGTGAATAATGCTGCAGCCAAGAGCTGTTCCCTCTTCTTGAAGAAGATACGGCATGGTCTCACCATGAGAATGCCACATCTTTTTGAGATACTGATTTCATTTCTTTGGCTACATACTCAGAAGTGGGATTGCTAGATTATTTGGTAATTCCATTTTTAGTTTTTTGAGGAGCCTTCTTACAGTTTTCCAGATTTTCCTGACAGCATTTGTGAGGATAAATGTTGTATCCTCACATGACAGAAGACGGGGGCAAAAAAGGGTCTAACCTATATCACTCCAGCACTTCTATAAGACACTTACCGCTTCATGAGGGACTCAATCACTTTCCAAAAGGCACCATCTCTTAATACTACACAATGAGGATTAAGTTTCGATATGAAGTTTGAAGGGGATACAATGAAACCATAGCAAAGTCCTTTGCCCATTTTTTAATTGCTTTGTTTTCTTGCTATTGTATTGTTTTGAGTTCCTTATATACTTTGGGGATTAACCCCTAATATAAGTAAATGAAATCCTAAGTGACTTCGAAAACTTGCCTTTTAGATAAAATGTTGTTGTATATATTATGAAAGGTCTTACTGATTTAAATCTATTGACATATAACCACAACAACTTTTCTTGTATCTAGTATTTTCAATTTCATTTTTTAAAAATTATCACTTCCTAACTTAAAACAATTTTATGAGTTTGTGGTATTTTCTATCTCCATGCCTTTTCTTTGTCAAATGTAATATTTTTCTGCCATCTCTGAAATCTATTTTGCTAGTATTGTCTTCTAAAAACAGTATGTATGCATCCCTAAAGAACTGTAAAAGCAAAGACAAAAGGTGGGGGAATAAAAAAGCAAATTCCTACTTTGTCTTTCTTCATCGTGTCTATTACAAATGTAGTTGTCCTGAGTCTGAGAATGTGACATCTCCATGGCTGCAGCCTCTCTCCCGTTGTTTTTTACCATTGTTTTTTGTTGTTGTTGCTGTTGTTGTTTTTTTGTTTGTGTGTGTGTGTGTGTGTGTGTGTGTGTGTGTGTAAAATGTGTATCTTTCTTATCATGGGATTCTAGCACTGGAATAATTTGCATGGTCAAGCTGTGTCCGTAAGAGCCACTTGGCATTTCTATTTCACTGTTCAAAATGGACAGATTTAAGGAGATGTGATTTTAAAATGCTTTATTTTGAGCTTACTTTATTGACTCCTGCCTTATGAAGCCAGTGAAATAGTAGTGAAGCATTTCTCATTGAACATCAGCACTTCCTCGGTTAGTTCCTTTGTAAAAATATAGCCTAAATGACTAGCCCTTTATGCTGCTGTAGAAACAGATTTACGTACCATAGCTTGGTAACAGTGAACAAACCCGAGCAAGCCCTGGTATTGGGAGGAAAGTGAAAAACATAAGATGTTGCACATATTGTCATTCTAGCCTGTATTCCTCATTAAAATAAGTAGAAATTGGGATTTGTTCAACAGAAAAAGAGACATTTGAATATTCAAGATTGGAAAGCCTAAATCTAAAGCTTTTAGAAGAAGCAAACATCTGAAAGCATATTTGCATAGATCCAAAGTAAAAAAAAATAGAAGTTTGTAAATTCTTTTACCAAATTACCTAAAATCCTATTTTTTCTTAAATAAACTGGATTCTATCATTGGATTCTAATTATTGGATTCTAATTATTTCCTAACCACAAATAGAAAGAGTTTGATTTCTTAACATATATATTATAAATAACTATACTGATACAAATCTATTTTTTAAAAGGCAAACAACCCAATAGAAAAATGGGTCCAGTAATCCACAGAAGAGGAAACCCAGTAAACCTATGAACAAAATCTCATCCTCATTCATATTCAGGGAAATATAAATTCAAATCACAGTGGCTTATCATTTCTTACCTATGAAATTAGCAACAATTTACAAGTATAATAACATCACATTTTGACAAGAATGTAAAACAAAGAGAACTTTCAGACCTGCTGTGGAAATGTAAACAGATAAAAACACTTTAGAAAACAGTCATCTTAAAGATGCGCATATTCTAAAACCCAGAAATGCCAACACTTTGTGACACACTATAGAAAAACTCTTGCTCAGATTCCCTAGGAGACATGTGTAAGAATGTCTGTTGCAACATCATTTATAACAGGGAAAAAAAATCCCACAACAGGAAACCTGAAAACAAGCTAAATATCCTTAAACAAAATTGTAATGTGTCCTGCAGTGGGGTACTATGCAATGTTTAAAAGACAGGAACTAGAGCATACATGTAGATAAATCTTAAAAACATGTTGAGTGAAAAAAAAATTACAAAAGAAAGCCTTTAATTAGTTTTTATATCAAGTATAAAACCTAGAGAATACACTTCTGGTTTTGTTTTGTTTTGTTTTTTTGAGATGGAGTCTTGCTCTGTCACCCAGACTGGAGTGCAGTGGCGCAACCTCGACTCACTGCAGCCTCCATCTCCCAGGTTCAAGTGATTCTCCTGCCTCAGCCTCCTGAGTCACTGGGATTACAGGCACGTGCTACCACGCCTGGCTAATTTTTGTATTTTTAGTAGAGACAGGGTTTCACCATGTTAGTCAGGCTGGTCTCAAACTCCTGACCTTGTGATCCACCTGCCTCAGCCTCCCAAAGTGCTGGGATTACAGGCGTGAGGCACCCCACACCCGGCTACACTTCTGTATTTTTATGGTTACATATCTTTATATATGAATAACACTGAAAAGGAATGAGATGAGCACGTACATGTGTAGGGAGTTTCCATTTATTTATATTTTATTTCTTAAATTCCTATGTTAGATTCATGGGTGTTTTTCATATATCATTCAATATGACTTTTTATATATTTAAAACTTTTTTTAGAAAAGAAGGAAAATACATCATGCTTTTATTTTTTGAAGTGGTCCAGTCACTAAATATCATTTGTCAAGAAGTCTATTAGGTAATTTACATATTGCAATAAATACACAAAGGAAAACAACTTTGAAAGAAATAAAAACTATTGATATAGTTTGTCTTAGCTCAGGCTGCCATAACAAAACACTATAGATTGGGTGGCTTCCATAGCAGACATCTATTTTCTCACAGTTCTGGAGATGGGAAATCCAAGATCAAGGTGCCAGCAGAGTTGGTGTCTGGTGAGGGCTCTCCCCTAGGGCTGTGGATGGCCACCATGGCCTTCCATTGGTGCTTGCACACAGTGTCTCCTCTTATAAGGGCACTAATCCTATTGGATATATGCCCCACTCTTATGACCTCATTTAACCATTATTACTTCTTTAGGGACCCCATTTTCGAGTATAGCTACACTGAAGGTTAATTTTGAGTGGACACATTCAATCCATAACATAGTTGATAGTCTCCTTGCCTGAAAGTAATAGATGAGTAAGAACTTGTAAATAAAAGCTACCTGAAGCATTTTTGACTTTCAGCATTATCAGTATACAAATAATAGGTTTGGAGATGTAGACGCCTTTCTAAAATCTCAAAATAGGTTTCTTTTCTCCTTCGTCCTTTTCTGGGACTTCTTGGAGTGTTTCATTTTGTTTTGTTATAGTTGGCATTTAGAAATGAATCTTGTCATTTTTAGATCACTCCACGTGTTCATGCTACCTTTCTTGTTCATTTTTCCATTCGTGTCCTCTGCTTTTTACTTGTCATTGTTTTCTTCTGTTTTGATGGTTTTTGACTTGGATTTTGTTTTTGTTGTTTGGCTTTTAAGATGTACATTATTACAAAAGTCCGTAAGATATTATATGTGACGCTCATAATTTCTGGACACGTTTTCTTCTAATTTACAACAATATTATATATTTGTAATTTACTGTCCATAGTTATTCATTTTCTGTTTATGTAAAAAATTATTCCCCTCATTCTACAAGATTTTTGTGTTCTACAATTATGTTGGTGTTATATAAAATACATTTATCACCTAATTTAGTCAGATCTGTTTCATTTGCCTTTACCCATTTATCTTATTGTACCTGTGAAATTTGGATAATTTGCATGTGAAACTAGAACAGTAAGGAGTCATACATTTTCAAGAATGCAAGAGAATTCCAAGAATGTTTTTAAAATGCTGGCAGAAGGTTCAGTAACATATCTTTTTGGGTAGCCTATTGCTAAGGTGATATAAATGGTACCCTTAGAATGGAAATCCTTTGATGTAGGATCAACCATATTGCATTGGTACACGGTACCTATAATAATGCTACTAAGGCAATAATTGCTAAATAGGTAGATACATTTTAATTGACGGGTTGCTTTGGGCCAATCAAGTTGAAGGAACTAAGAACTCTGCTGCTTTGGTAAGAGAAAAGCGAGATAGCTGCATGTTTTAGAATATCATCTGGTAAGCTTCAGAGAAGAAATTTTTCTTCGTAGCTCTGCTTCTTTCAAAAAGGAAAAAAAATATGCACATAGACAATTACAATTCATTCATTGTGATGGATGGAAAAGCTGGCAGCATTGCTGAGTGGGCATGAAATGGGAAAGCCAAGGTGTGCAGCTTCCATGCTAGCTGCTTAACTGTTCAGCTGGTGACATGCCTGTCAGGGCATCTCTTAAGGCCTGGTCCCAACTCAGGGGCATTTACACCTGATAAAGAGCTCGGAAGCCATTTGGTTTTATGACAAGGGACCTAGTTAAAGAGGTTGGCCTTGATTGCCATCCCGGGAAGGAATATATGAAATATGTGGACAGGGGCGTGAGAAAGCTGGAAGGATGTGGCAGCAGAGGCACATTGGGCTGTTTTAGTGAATTAAAGTCATTCAGCACAGGGGATTTTTTAAAGTATGCTGTGCTTTGTTATTGACTTGTTTTTTTTTTGAACGCTAAATGGCATCATGATTTCCTGCAGGAGGAGCAACTGAAGTCACATGAAAGTAAGCTGAAGCAGATCACCACCGAGCTGGCCGAGCACCGCTCATATCCCCCCGACAAGAAGGTCAAAGCCAAGGACGTCGATGAGTACAAACTGAAAGACCACTATCTGGAGTTTGAGGTGTGTTGCACCCAAATGTTAGTAAATGCTGATTTCTGAGTTTTCTTATGATCTGTCCATGAGGCGGTATCTTTCTTTGCAGTGTCACTGAGAGAGGCGTGTCTTGCCCCTGGCTCTAATTTGGGAGCTCCTGGCAAGGTCATGGTGGCCCCTCTTGTTTGTGATTCTGTTTAAGTGCCAAGCAAACATCAAAGAGTAACCTGCCAGTTTATACACTTAAAAGTAAATAGCCTGCCTGGTTGGAATAGTGTGCGCCCGCTGTGAGGGGAAGAAAAAGAACAGTAGAGGGACACACCAGGGTGGACAGCTGCTTTCTGTATCCCTGTGTCTCTTCCGGCAGAATTGGAGTCAAAAAAAGCACAAGGGAGGAAATGAGCCACATAGTTGATGTGAGGCATCAGCTTTTCCCTGCACATTCTTGCTGTTCGGCAACACTATGCGTTTTTCTTCTTGTCACCCACTGCCCTTCAGAAGGGGGTTGATAAATTAAGTTGTGGCACATCCATCTATACAGTGAGTGTGCTTATTAAAAAGAATGGTGAGGATCCATATGCTATGGCATGGAAAAGTGTAAAATTTAAACCCAAGTTGAAAACAGTATATTTCCAAATATTTCCATGGCTCAGTTTTCTTCCAAATTAATGTCAGGGTTAGAGTCCCTTAGCCTCTGCCTTCAGACATTTAAAGTGTCTTTTTATTTTTAAAGTAGGTAGCATGCAATACAAAATAAAAAGAATTAATTATCGACTAATTTGACCTGTTGTTTTTTGTTTTTGTTTTTTTTTCTGGTGGGTGTGCTGAATCTGCCTTTAGCTGTTCTTTTTCATTGTAGCTCTGGCCCCTTTTACTTCTCATTGTTCCTCTCCTTTGTTTTCATCTTATCTGATTTCCTCCTCAGGCTTGAAATTTAAAATCTTCTAAGTGTCCACATCCTAGCGATCAGTGTCTGTGGCGTCTCACACCTGTCCCTTCCTTGTATTGCTTTATAACTACTTCCTCTGCTGAGCCCTGGCTTTCTCCTCTCACTCCGCTCTCCTTCCGTTCATCCTAAATCCTTTGGCCGGTTGTTTTTCTGAGGTTCAACCCAGATGACGGCATTCCTCTGCTTGACAGCTGCCTACAGCTTCCCCGATTCCCCTCCCCCAGTTACCTCCTGAAGAAAGTCTCATTTCTTTCACTGGAGAGGATTTGGCGTCTCCACGTTTCCACAACGTCCGTCTTTCCCACACTGGCCTCCCTACGGTAGTCACATTTCTGCCTACTCTCCCCAAACACACGTTTATACCTTTGTTCACTTACTTTCCTCTGCCTAAGATGCTCTTCCCATCATCTTCATTTCTGACAGTCCTGTTCGTCTTTTGAGGTACAGCCCAAATTCCTCCTATGAAAAACCTGATCCAGATATACTAGCTGGGATTCATCTGTTTCAGTACTTGGCACAATTTTTTTAAGCTGAAGTTATTTTCATCTGTCTTTGTTACCTGTAGCGGATTCCGTAATACCTCCCCCTACCCAAAACTATGAGCCTAAGTTCATTTCCAGGCCTTGCTATGTGTGCTTGCTGAATTGGATACAATTTCATAGAAGCCTTAAAAAGTCTCTGAGTTATAATATTTCTGTTATCAAATGTAGCATTTGATTAAAAAAATGACACTTCCACTACAGTTCCATGTACTAGTTTTCTTCATGGTCAAGCAAATCCTTGCTCTGGGCGGAGAACTCTACTAAGAGAACTATTTATTTTGGTAAAGGTAAACGTTTCTTAGCAAAAACCGTAGAAGCCTTACCAGCAAAATGCTTGAAAAAATAAAATAAAAAATAAAAATAAACCAACAACAAAAAACTAGGCAGCTCATCTTTCCCCAGGCTTGTTCATTCTTGGGAAATGGGAGTTCTCAAAAAGCAATCATTATTCTTCACACTTCTGAAGTGGCTTTAAGCCATAGGCCTGTTTTGTTTCACACAAGCTAATTAAATTTCCCAGCACCTCAGTCCCTGCTTCCAGCACTCAGCACCTCGCTGGAGCCCTTGATGCCGAAGGTGGAAGAGCCTGTCCCCAGGAGGTGGGGGGTGGCTGCAAGGCCATGGAAAGCTTGCCATTGCTAGGAGCCCTCCCTACTTTTGAGTCGACAGCGCTACCTCTTTTCTGAAAATGTAACCCACCAAGAGCCAGCATTTTCAATCCCTGACATGAAGTTAGACCAAGTTTTGCAGGGATTAAGTCTTGCTTTCATCAAATCGTCACCTCAGCGAGCTTGCAGACTGCGTTCCAGGACTCATTAAAATCAGACCCATATGCTAATATGTCAAGCAGGTTGACTTGTCTGTCAAGCTCCTTCACCTGTGTCTATCAGAAAGGCGCGAGGATAGCTGACTTGGTACAGCTAATATTTATGTCATGAAAGAGGGAAAATTTCAGCTGTCATCTAAAAGGGGTTTTGTATAAGTAGTGCTTTTTAAGAAGTGAACAATTGTTTTTCAGTAATTTAAATTAACATTGAAGTCATATATCATATTGAGTCCACTTTGCTATTGTTGCAGCCACCGGAATTTTTCTCTCGTGAGTGCTTGCAGAGAGTCTTTGCACAGCATCCTTTGCTTCATAAGCAGCATTCCCTGAGCAGGCCGCTTCATAGCAGATATAAGAGTTATTGACCATTTTTCCCAGTTTCTGGAACACTGACTAATTGACGCACGTTTGTTGACAACATGCGTGAAATTTTATTATTGTATATAAAAGATAACATCAGAGGAAGTAATTCTCTGAGAAACCTTAGTATTCATTGTTTTAACAGGACCAGAAGCTCCCATGAAAACAAACCTGGTGACTGTTCTCACCCAGGTGAGAGCAGACAGCAGTGTCTGCAGTTCAGTGGGAGCCCACAGATGGGCAGTGACAGGAAGAGGAGCTTTAATCACCAGGGAAGATCATAGGCATGAATGGGTGCTCTCACCTCCTCTTATGGTGGGTCCTCCTCAACAGGGCCTCCCTTGGTTTCAAAGCAATTCTTACCATTTTCACAAGTCCTTGGTAAGGAAAAATACTTTTATTTTGGCAGAATATTAAGCTGTTAGTAATAACACCAGGAGTGTTACTAATTGTATGCATTCCAGTTGTTTAAATCCCAGGTTGCTTTGAGTACAAACAGTGCTTCATGGTGAGCCAAATTTACCTCTCTTTCTATGCCTTAGAAACTGTCCAAACTCTGACTGACAGTAAATAATCAGAAATTCTGGTAAATACAGGGTTTAAAAAAAAATTTACAGAGAGCAAGGAAACTTCCATCTTAGCCTGTTAGAAAAGAGGTTCACTTTTACTTAAAGCAGCAAACTTTACTCAGAATGGGCTCTCTTCATTGACTTAACTCTAAGCGAAGGGATGTTACTGAATTGGTAACCTCCAAGCTGTGGTTTGGAATCTAATCTTACTTCTAAAAGAGGCTTTAAGCATGACAAGTCTACATTGAGAAACTCACCATCATTTCCCAATTTCAAGAAATAAATATCAGAAATAGCCACATTTCCTTATAAATTAACTTTTTTCTATTTTATTCAGTTCCCATTTTACTTAAAAATATTTAATTGATCCCTGTGCTTCTAGTATATTGGGAAACAGATCAAGTTCTGGGGCAGATCGATGTTTTGTGTCAATGTAAAAGTTTACAAGGCTCCAAACAAAGCACAGTTGGTTGAGCTGTTCTGGAAAACACCTGGGCCCCTTAAGACACAGCACCATTAGAGAAATTCCCTTGACAGCAATGCAGTTGGCCCTAATGTTTTGGTTTTATGTTTCTTCAGCTTTAAAAACAACAGCAACTGGAAGGAGATGACGCTTTTTATTTCAAGATATTTTTCCTGCAACATTTAAGATGTTACAGATGCAACGTTTAAGATGATTACAGATGTTAACATACTCCTTAAATTAAGCTGGACCTGAGTAGGGAGAGGGAAAAGATACACCAGCCCAAGCCTATTAAATCCATGACTGGGCTACAAGAGATTTACTACAGGGGAATTGCTGAAGGTCAGGTTAATAGCTGGCTTTCAGGTCATTGTAAAGCCTGTTAGAAAACCAGCCGACGCAATGCCAATGAATTGTATGTTGCCAGCCCACCTAATGTCAACGTGTTTTCTTTGGCCAACATAATACTGTATTTGTTTTCATTGTAATTTAAATGCGTTTAGGAAAGACAGGTCTTGTCCTTCTCACCATTGCCTGTTATTAATATATCACATCTGATAACTTTCTACAGTAAGTGTCATTGCTCTGGTCCCTGAAGGCTTTTGAGTTTGCAAACCCTGTACTAGAGGCTGCAGCCAGTTTTATATGTATTAAGTATTAGTTAGATCTTTGAACATGGGCTTGGAATTAATAGTCCCTTCATGCTTGGAAGGAAGATACTTCTCGGTATATGTGTTTTCAGGTTCCAATCCAGCAGGAAAAAAGAGAATGTCCACTTCCCTCATGACTGAAACCAAAGACTTAGAATAAAGGTCACTTGACTTAATGGGCTTGAATTCAGCTGAATACCCACTCCTGAATTGCGACCCAGAGTAGCATATGCTTATGGCTTAAGGCAGTTAGAGCCCACACCAACCACATGGCTAGGAAATTCAATTTTAGAAACAACAAATGTCCACTATAACAAAACTTATAAATTTCTTGGGACAGAATATTTTCTTAAAAATCTAGGACATTCTTGAAGCATGATGCACCTTTTTCTGAATTTCTAATTCTTGGTGACATTTAAAACAGCATGATTCCTTCCAAAATTGATATATGTGCAAAAAAAGAATACATTCTATTCAAAGTCATTAGGGAAGCCCATAACCATTCATATCTGGAAGCACAGATAATATAAATTTCAGATAGTAAACCTTTCATTTTACTGTTGAGTATCTTGTTGCATAGTCAGTAGCGTTGGGTAGTTTGATATATTTCCTTTGGAGAACACTTTCTGGTTGTGATCCTAGCCTTATTCCTCAGATGGTTTATTTTTATTTGTCAACATTGGGGAAGCAATTTTCATAGTAGGGGCCATTATCTAGGTCACTTTTGCTTTCACAGGAGCAGTGCAGAGGCATATCTCAATACAGTGCCAACTGTCACAAGGCAAACCCACCCTCTGAAACAAAATTTTCTAGCAATTAAGCTGCAAGTGGTCTGGATCATAAAAGTGCAAAGATAGCCATTATTTCCCTTGGTCTTCCTAGCGAAAGCAAGGGAGAAATTCTGTTAAACTAGTTAAAGAAGATTAGTAGCAAAAGTCTCAATCTTAGTAAGTCAGTCTAGCGTGGAATCAAATGCTATCTCCTTTACAGAAGACATGACAGAGGTGATTATACATCTGGATCTGGAACTGAGATAGTGTAGGTTAATAGAATTATTGAGGAAATTGAAGACTTTTCTTTTTTTCGTGGGATACTAAGTACAGATGGTTCCCGACTTAAGATGGTTTGACTTACAATTTTTCAACTTGATGATAGTGCAAAAGTGGTATGCTTTCAGTACAGTTTTTAGTATATTACGTGAGGTATTCAATATTTTATTATAAAACAGGCTTTGGGGTTAGATAATTTTGCCCACCTAAGTTAATATTAAATGTTCTGAGCACATTTAAGGTAGGCTGGGCTAAGTTAATGATGTTCAGTAGGTTAGGTGGTGTAAATATATTTTTGACTTACGATATTTTCAACTTAGAATGGGTTTATCTGGGATATAACCCTATTGCAAGTCAAAGAGATTCTGTATTACAATTATGAGTCAAAAGCTAGAGATGTAAGATCAACAGTTTATACCCTGAGTCCAGTTAATAATACAGACATGATCCTTGCCTTGTCATTTGGAATTGCATTTTGTATTACATAATGAAAGAGGACTAAGAGCTCTGAATTTTAATCTTTAAATGATAACAGCTGCTTTTGAAGAGAAGCGGAGCCTAGCAACAGGATTCTTTGAGCCACATTTTTAGTAGATGATTGCAAAGAATTAGGGCCATTCCTGAGAAGGAAGAATAAGCAGCCAATCATGTGATTTGAAATGACTCCCTGTCCTTAAATCCCTCCTTCATCAATCATTTACTGAAATGCCTGCTCTGATAAGGGTCACTCTATTGGGTAAAGGTATTATCTTCAGGAAAAGGACAAGAAAGCTGAGAGACAAAAATCATAAAATTAGAAAAAGGACTAGATTGGGAATCCATTTTAGTCTTGTAATTGGTGTATTTGGCATGACCTTATCCTTTCTGAACCTCAGTTTCCTCGTCATAGAAATGAGATGGGATTGGGTGAATTAGCTGATAAGATCCCTTCCAACTCTGTATTTTTAGGAGAATGACACATTAACAGCAATTTGTTTTAGATTATGTCACCTTCACAAAGATTTCTATGAGTGTTAAACATAAAACAAAAATATTTCAGTTCAGGAATGTCAGGTGATATAGATCAGTGCCTTCCATTAGAAATAAATGTAAACCACCTAGGTGTGAATTTAAATTTTCTAGCAGCTACATTTAAAAATTGAAAGAAACAGGTAAATAGGGTGACATCAGCAAGATGGCAGAATGGGAGCTTTCTGTTGTCGTCTCCCTGCAGAAGCATTGATTTAGACGTATACCACAGACAAGAGTACATTTGTGGGAATCCATGAGTCCAGTGGAGAAGTTTTAGCACACCATTAGATTATAAAATCTGAGAATAGGGCCAGGCGTGGTGGCTCATGCCTGGTAATCCCAGCACTTTGGGAGGCCGAGGTGAGTGGATCACCTGAGGTCGGGAGTTCAAGACCAGCCTGGCCAACATGGTGAAACCCGTCTCAATTAAAAATACAAAGAAACCCCATCTCTGTTAAAAATACAAAATTAGCCAGGTGTTGTGGCACATGCCTGTAATCCCAGCTACTTGGGAGGCTGAGGCAGGAGAATCACTTGAACCCGGGAGGCAGAGGTTGCAGTGAGCCGAGATCATGCCATTGCACTCTAGCCTGGGCAATAAGAGTGAAACTCTGTCTCAAAAAAAAAAAAAAAAAAAAACTGAGAATAGACAGAATAATGAGTATAAGAAGAACAGTTTCACTTTATCTATGTCACCCCTACCTCAAGGCAGAAAGGTCACTGCCAAGAGAGCCCCCTGCAACCATGACCTGTGATTTCTTCCACTGGGGAAAGTGGGAGTGTAATGAGTGAGTGTCTGGCTCCCTGAGACGTGTAGGATGCTGCCTAAGAGGCTAAACTGTTTGACATCCCACTCAGAATATTAAGGCAACCAGCACAGCTGAGTGGTTGAGAAAGATTGAAAGCAGGGAAGAGAGGCCATGGAGGCTTCTAACTACTCTGTAGACCTCCATCAGAAAGTTCTCCCCAAGCTGCATGGGATGCCTCACCTACAGATCCTTTCCCCCAGGTGGTCCACAGGCACTCCAAATGCTCCATGCACCTCACACTCCCATCCCCACCCCAAGCCAGCTCCCAATGCATGCACTGCAGATAGCAAGTGCAAACTACCTGTCATACAGTCACTGAGCTCAATTCGGTGGGATTCAGAGAGGGCACACAAATTTGAGCATTAGAGGACACTGGCCAAGGGCACGCAAATGGGAGGCTCTCAGCACTCAGCCTTGCAGGATCAAGAGAACACGTACAGTGTAAGAATTACCCACTAATTGAAATGAGAAGTATAGAGTAGATATGTCCATAGAAAAGGTCTGAGAGAGCCTCAAAATCCCTAGCTTGGCTGTTTGGAGAAAGTATTCCTCACCCAAAGACAGTAAAGACTGAAGATAACTGCTTCTTCTAATGCAAAAACAGCAGTGCAAGACGTTAAGTAACACAATCCTGTAAAAATCAAAAAATAATAATAATAATATTCTAGTAACCAATTTCAAAGAAATGGACATCTATGAGTTGCCTGAAAAAGAATTCAGAATAATTATTTTAAGAAAACTCAGTAGGCCACAGAATACAAAGATAAGAATACAAGAGTTCATTGATTCCTCAATGAAATCAGGGAAACAATACAAGAACAAAAGTTCAATTAAGAGAAATTATTTAACAACCCAAACAAATTCTGGAGCTGAAGCATATACTGAATGACATTTTAAAAATGCAATAGAAAGTGTCAACAGCAGACTTTCTTATGCAGAAGAAAGAAGCTGAGAACTTGAAAACATGTCAGTTAAAAATACCTAATCAGATGGGGGAAAAAAGGAAAAAGAATGAAAAGGAAGGGAGAAAGAAATCTACAGGATTCATGGAACACCATCAACAGAGCCAATTGCTGCATCATAGACTGTAATAAGGGCAAGAGAGGGAACATGGCAGAAAGCTTATTTAAAGAATACTTATTTAAAGACTGAATACTTCCCAAATCTAGAGAAAGATATGAATATCCAGGTACATGAATCTCAAAGACCTCCAATCAGGTTCCACCCAAAGAGGAATTCACCAAGACATATTATAATCAAACTGTCAAAAATTAAACATAGAGAATCTTGAAAGCAGGAAAGAAAGGGAGTTGAGAAGTGATGTCTGCAAGATGGCTTACACATACCTGCCACTTATGCCCCTCACAAAAAACAACTGAAACTCAATTAGAGTGTCAGAGGGAAAGCATTAAAGTGTAGCAAGAGAGTAGTGAGATTCCCTGTAGTGTTCAGAAGCCCAGGAAGGCAGCATAGTGAGGGTGATGGGGCACCCTGCCTCTGCCAGCTCATGTTCCCTGCTGAGATTAGCTTGGAGTCAAGAGGGACTACCCCCTTGAGGGGAAAAGGTAAGCAAAAGATCCCCACCAGCTTCCATTGCCACTGAAGAGACCTGCAGTTCTTACTACAAGAGTATACCACAGCCGCAGCAAGCCCTGAGCCTAGTTTGGGGAGCTGCCTGTAGTTCACACAGCTACATTGCTTCAGATTAGGAGCACAAGTTGTGCATCCCTCACTTTACCCTCTTTATGTAAGCTACCATGATATGGCACCACCTTGAAACCAGATCCACTGCTAGAGTGTGTCCTGCTCTGAGGGTTGGTAGCCTCTGTGTGCCACCAATCTTGGGTCTCCACCGTCATTCCACCAGGCTTACATGGGTGGGTGCCCAGTGCTAGGGCCCAGGAACAACTGTGGACTCAGATCCTGCACACGAGACAAATTAATCCCAGGCTGGCTGAATTAATGCAAGCTCCTGCCCCTGTCTAGAGAAACAGCCCAGATGACCCACCAAAGGCATACCTGCTCTTGAGCCAGCAGAACCACCATGTTCTCTCACCTCCAGCTGGAGGTACAAGCCAGCAAATATGTCCCTGGCATTCTTATCCCCGAACCATGGAGCAGTTATAGCCTGTGCAACTTATATGTGGAATCTAAAAAACTCAAACACAAAGAAGCAGAGGGTAGAATGGTGGTCATCAGGGGTTGAGGTGGGGGTTGGAGGGAAATAAGTAGATGTTGATCAAAAGGTACAAATGTACAGTCATAAGATGCATAAGTTCTGGAGACCTAATGTACAACATGGTGATTGTATTTAATAATAATGTATTATGTACTTCAAATTTCCTGAGGATAATAGATCTTAAATATTCTCAACATAATGAATAAATAGATGAAACAGGTGAAATTAATTGTAGTGAGATTTTAAAATTTTTACATTATATGTCCAAAATATTTTACATTCTTTTTTCCATATTAAATCATCAAAACCTAGTGTTTGTTTTACACCTGCAGCATAGCTCAATCCAGTCTAGCCCCATTTGGCATGTCTCATAGTCACACATAACTTATGGCTCACTGACTCCTTGGGTTGGAAGGCGCTTTACCAAGACAAGCTCAAAATTGGACATGGACTGGTAAGATGACTACTTATGATACTTCCCATTTAAAGGATCACTTAAACTGGAAATTCAGAAAGTTTAAAATTACTTCAAGGCTGGGCACGGTGGCTCACGCCTGTAATCCCAGCACTTTGGGAGGCTGAGACAGGTGGGTCATCTCAGGTCAAGAGTTCGAGACCAGCATGGCGAACATGGCAAAATACCTTCTCTACTAAAAATACAAAATATTAGGCGGGCATGGTGGCGGGCACCTGTAATCCCATCTACTTGCTGAGGCAGGAGAATTGCGTGAACCTGGGAGGTGGAGGTTGCAGTGAGCCAAGATCGCACCATTGCACTATAGCCTGGGCGACAGAGTGAGACTCCATCTCAAAAATAAATGAATAAATAGACTACTTCAGGTCCAAAAGGAATAAATAAATGTAGGTGATGAAATGTCTTAGGAGATCACTGGGGAAGGTAGTTTAGATCATAGTTCCTTCAGCTGCTCCTCAAATCACACTTTAAGGATTTCCTGGAAGAACTGACCCTGTCCCATTAAGACTGGCATTAGCCCTTTTGGAGCTGTGAGTGTGACACACAAGCTGACATGGAGAACTCTGGGAATGTGCTTCTGAGGGATACCCGGTATGACTTCGGGGAATTCCAGTACAATCAGAAGGAAAAGCAAAGTGTAAACCAAAAGATTAACCACGTGCCCTATATTAAAATGTTGCCATAACAAGCTACCTTTTTTGTTTTAGAAGATGTAAATTACATAGGGAAAAACTTAATGAGTGACAAACTTTTATCCTTAGGCAAAATTTAGTCTCTTACCCAGATAGCAGTACCTCTTTAGCCCAGATTACTTATCTTGGGTAAGTGGAAGCTTAACCTTCTATCCTTGTGTTTCAGAGGCTAATTTTTTTTTTTCCATTTTGTTGAACAACAAACTCGGTAATCCCATTAATCAAATCAGGGTGTGTTTTCTTTTTTAATTTTATACTCAGCTATAGTCAAAACCATCACAAGGCCAAGCTGGGTGGGACCTTTGGAAACAGCCAGAGCCAGAGGCCTTGTGGGTGGCAGATCTTCGTAAGGTTGCTCTGTTTGTGGTTTGGAACCGGACAATTTATTTCTTGAGTTTTCCACCTAGAAAATAAAATGTGTGGTATTTTCTAAGTAAGCTTTGTAGACTTACAGAATGTTCATTTTAGTTTCAAAAAAGAGATGAAAAGCTGAATACTTATACAGACTGAGTTTAAAGAATTTTGAGAGCTAGAGAAACAGTGTAAAGAATGAGAGAAATCATAGTATTTTAAAATGAGTTTTCAACAGGAATTGCATACTCTTCTTAACAACTCATATCTCCTTCTTCTTCTCCACAAAGACAACAGTGTTGTTATTCAAAGGTAAAAGCACCTGCTTTCTACTCCTGGTCTTGGCAACTGGTTGGACCCTGAGGAAAGGAATAGCAGGGCCTGGAGGTGGGGAGCGTCTACTGATGGTCACTCAGCTCTCCTTCCTCTCTGAAGGGCCTGTCCAGGAAACTCCGTAGGGGCACTGAAGAGTAAGATAGAGCTGAGTCCACAGTCAAGAGCAGATTCCTATGAGAGCTTCCTGGGGCGAGGTGTGGGAACAGAATGCAGACAAATGAAGTTCTCAGAACACTTTCTACAGACCCAGGCCTCCTGGACTGTGCTAGTGTTGAGCTCTGATTGTACCATTATATTAAAAAGTAAGCTTTTTAATGTTTAATTTTTAAAAAAATGAAAGTCACAGAGTTCATTTAGAGAGCAATAGGGCAGAAAGGGAGAATGAATCAAAAGAACGGAATTCACACTTTCTTTGGATTTCCCAGAAAGCCACGAACACGAACTATATAAATAAAAATGTGTGGTTATTTGCTATATTTAGGCAGTAGGTTACTACTGTACTCTGAAGCCTGACATGGGAGTAGCATAGGGAAAAGAAAAAAAAAAAAACCTGAACATTTTCTTTTTAAAAATGTTATTTCCAGCATAGCTTTCATACAGGAACTCTGTTTTGAATGCAGATGCTTTCTTAAGTCAGTAGGTAGTGGTGGGTGGGCCACCTGGTCAAGGAGAGTCTCTGCAACTCAATTCTGCCATCATCTCGTAGTACGCAGAAGGGAGATGAGCAGTCCTTACTTGAATAAGCAGTTCCTTCAGAAGCTCCTTGTTTTGTTTGGTTTTTTTTTTTTTTTTTTTTTTTTTTTGGTTTGTTTCTTTGTTTTCCATTGTAGAGATCTAGGAGCAAAGTGTATTGCTGTGTACATGAGATTATTGCTTTTCTGCTCATTTTGTCTTAAGATGGCCTTTTGCCCTGTCTGCATGAGAAAACGAAATGTAAGGAGGATATGTATTCAGGATTTGGTTGCTAGAGCAGTGAGGTCTGAATGCAAATAGGAGCAGTCAGTTAAAATTGCAGCCCAGCTGTATTTTCATTCAGGTTGTTACTATCGTATTCATGTATCAGAGGTCAAAAGGAGATATTATTCTATAAAATGGTATGCAGGGCTCTAGAGAGAAACTGTTCAGTGAGATCCATGTAAATATATGTGTGGATATGATTAAACTACTTTTCAAAGAATATCAATAGTTGTAATTTTTTTCAAAACACAATTAACATTCAACCCAAGTAGCAGTTTACATGGTCTTAGACACGATAATTTTTATTTATCCCTCGTAGACATTGATGCTAGTGAAAAGGGATTTTTTCCCTACATATTTGGGAAGTTTTGTTTTTGTTGTTGTTTTTTTTTTTGTTTTTGAGAGAGAGTCTCGCTCTGTCGCCCAGGCTGGAGTGCAGTGGCGTGATCTAAGCTCACTACAAGCTCCGCCTCCTGGGTTCAGGCCATTCTCCTGCCTCAGCCTCCCGAGTAGCTGGGACTACAGGCGCCTGCCACCACGCCTGGCTAATTTTTTTGTATTTTTGTTAGTAGAGACGGGGTTTCACCGTGTTAGCCAAGATGGTCTCGATCTCTTGACCTCGTGATCCGCCTGCCTCGGCCTCCCAAAGTGCTGGGATTACAGGTGTGAGTCACCGCGCCTGGCCATATTTGGGAAGTATTTTTACAGATAATCGAAGATCAGCTTAATAAAGAAATACAGCAAAAAAATGTAATAAGGAGGGGTTACACACTGAAGAAAGAATTTTACTTGAGTAGACAAAGGCGCCATTAAACACTTGAGTTGCCTTTGGCTCTTGGTGGTCACAAAAGGCTTTATCAAAACAGCAAATTTTAGTTAATTAAGAGAGAGAGCTCACTGAATGGGCCAGGTCCAAGAAAACGGTATGTAGATTCTTGTCAGCAGAGATCTGCCATTGCAGTTGTATTTGGTAAAATTCCATCCCAAGTTATTTTTCTGATAGTGGAATTATATTATGCTTACACTGCTGGAACTCTATTTACCCTGTTGGAGCATTCCTAAGGAAGGAAGCTGAGTGTGGGGCTCTGAAATTATTTAGAATTGACCTGAGAATGAATCTGCAGAGACAAAGATAAAATCTTTAATAACATAACCAAAGGTAGCAAAACTGACCCTGAGGCACGCATTTTTCTGGAACTGTCTTTGTCCTTGTAAATGAAAGACACATACCTGAAAGGGCTACATTATGAAGACTAAACAACAATTTCAGAGAATGAATTAAGGCCAGTCTTATTAGTTAGAGGCATTGTCAACAACAGGCTACTTGACTGCAAGACTCTTCTTTTTACCGCCACCATGCTTTCCATGGGCTCATTATTAAACATCCCATCTCATTTTTAATGTGCCCTATCTGGAACTATGTTAATTTTTGTGTAGTGATTACTTTGTGGCCTGAAATTATATTAGTTAAAACATATTGTTGCTGTTTCAGATTCCCTTTTCTACCATCTGGCTATAAAAAATTATCAAAGCGAAGATATAATACTTGAATATTGTTATTATTTGTTTAGTACCAACAGCAGATTCCGTCCTGAATTCATGTTGATGAGGCTAATATCCTCTGACCCAGAGAACTTAGAATCTTAGGTTAGTATGGAATTATGTATCCAAAGGTAAATGAGCTCCTGATACTTTACATGTCAATTTCATGTGAGAATGATCAGGCAAGTAGATTCCAGATATAAATAATCCTTGACAAATCCTTATCTTTTTAATGTATGCTTTTAGAAGACAAATGTAGAGCATTCTCTTCATGTTGTAATGAATTGTAATGAGACCTAGTAATTATCCAAATGAGGACTCACTGGAGTCCACCTACAGTGGTCCAGTTTCTCACTTTATTTTGAAGCTCACAGTGGGCAATAAAGTCTATTTTTCATGTACTACTACGTAAGAGATTCTCAGGGCCGAATGAGGTGGCTCGCCCCTGTAATCCCAGCACTTTGAGAGGCCGAGGCAGGAGGATCACCTGAGGTCAGGAGTTTGAGACCAGCCTGACCAACATGGAGAAACCCCGTTCTCCAGTAAAAATACAAAATCAGCCAGGCGTGGTGGCGCGCATACCTGTAATCCCAGCTACTTGGGAGGCTGAGGCAGGAGAATGGCTTGAACCTGGGAGGCAGAGGTTGCAGTGAGCCGAGATCGCCCCATTGCACTCCAGCCTGGGTGACAACAGCGAAACTCCATCTCAAAAAAAAAAAAAAAGATTCTCAGAAAATGGGTCTATGTTTTATGAACCTCAAAAGTGTAATATAACCTACGTTTCTCTCTAAAGAGAGAGAAAAAGCCCCAGTCCTAAGCAAGGCAGGCTATACCTCAGTGCACTGTTGAGGATCTGACACGTGTGGCATCTTGACAACAGAGGTCAAGAGAATATGCAGTGGAAGTGGACAAGCCTTTGTCATGTGGTGGCTTATGAGCTTCAATACTGACAGGGTCAGACCTTAGCATTTTTGTGAAAAACATCATTGGAACGGTGGGATACTGAAGATAAAGGTGTGTTCCCAGAGGATCCTGAATTAGGAACACATCAGGCATCTGCCATCAACGTGGGTATCCGTGTTATTTTTCTTTTTCTGGATTTGCCATATTACGAGTTCAAAATATATTTTCTACCGTGTATGGAAAAATGTGTTCCTCCTCTTTCTGTTCATGCACTCAGTGGCGCTTATTCCTTGTCCACTGTGTGTTCTTGGCCCTGGGGATATATTAGTAAACAAACGCAAAGTCCTTACCCTCATGTGATGGTATCTAGTATTGGGGGGCAAAGGAGGAAATCAAAAGGTTTTTTTTTTTTTTTCAAGTAAAATATAAGGCTGACAGATGGGGAGAAGTGCTAAGGAAAACATAAAGCAGTAAGAGTAGGTGTTCCAGTTTTAGATTTTGATGGCCAGGGAAGGCCTCAGTGTCAAAGTGATGTTAAAGTGCACACCTGAAAGAGGTGAGGGAGGGGAGGGAGGAAGTCCTGTGGGCTTTTGGAAGAAGAGCTTTTTGGACAGAGAATAGCAAGTTCCACAGGTCCTCGAATAGGAGTGTGTGCCATGGAGGCAGATTCAAGCCCAGGGACAGAACTGAGAGACTGGGCCACGGGAAAGGGGTGGCCCATGGGTTTTCTAGGGCATTTTAAGGATTCCTGGTTGAGAAGGGTTTTAAGGATGAGAATTAAGGATGAGAAACCACTGGAGTACTTTGGGCAGAGCTGACACACTCTGTCTTGTGTTTTAACAGGGCAGTGTCTTTTGAAAGGAGTGCACGTGGAGGGCAAGGAGGGAACAGGGAGAGCAGTCAGGCGACTGTGGGAGGAACCCAGGCGCAAGGTGATGAGCTCGGTCCAGACTAGAAATGGGAGAGGTACTGAGAAATGGTGCAGTTCTGAAGATAGATGGACAAAACCTGCTGACTGAAAGGATGTGAGACATTAGAGAAAAAGAAGAGTGAAGGAGCAAAGCTTTTATTGTCAAATTTCCTTCTTCACCACTTAAGAATTATCCCTAAGCTTTCTCCCTAAGTACTAGAGTGCTAATCATTTCCTAGAACCTGAAAGTGGTTACAGACACAGGCATACCTGAGATACTGCAGGTTCAGTTCCAGAGTATTGCAATAAAGCAAATATCACAATAAAACAAGTCACCCAAATTTTTTTGTTTCCCAGTGCATATAAAAGTTGTTTATAGCATACAGTCATCCGTTAAGTGTACAATTGCATTATGTCTTAAAAAACAATGTATGTACCTTAATTTTAAAATACCTTATTGCCTACCACCTTCTATCAGAATAGCAAAAGAAGCTGCTTTCATAAACTGTCCTAGCAGACTTCTACTTACATGTCAGGGGCCAAATCTAGGCCACAGGGCAGCAGTGGAAACTAACAGAGACAAGGGTCATCACGCCTGCTTTAAACCATAATTCCTCTCATGGGGCTGGGCACGCTGGCATTCTTAATAAAGCGCACAGTTCCATTAGTACGAAAGAAGAGGCTGTTCAGGAAGCAGGAAACACCGTCTGCCGCAATATGATTGATGAGCTTCTTGGGTCCATGATGACCACTTGAACACTGATCATTGTTTTCAGTCTCTGAGCTGGTGTGTCAAACCTTTAAAAAGTAATTTACTGGCCGAGTGTGGTGCCTCACGCTTGTAATCCCAGCAGTTTGAGAGGCCGAGGCAGGCGGATCATGAGGTCAGGAGATCAAGACCATCCTGGCCAACATGGTGAAATCCTGTCTCTACTAACACAAAAAAAATTAGTCGGGCTTGGTGGTGCACGCCTGCAGTCCCAGCTACTCCAGAGGCTGAGGCAGGGGAATTGCTTGAACCCAGTCGGCAGAGGTTGCAGTGAGCCGAGATCGCGCCACTGCCCTCCAGCCTGGAGACAGAGCAAGACTCCGTCTCAAAAAAAAAAAAAAAAAAAGTAATTTACTAATATACTTCTTGCTGCTCCTTTACTTTTTCTTACACACCAGCTTTCATTTAAAACTTAAATTTCACAATCGGTCTTAGGAAAAAAGATGCAAATCACATCTTCTCTGAAAGGAAGAAAGGAAATAAAGTCTCCAAATGATGCTGTTGCATAGTTAAGAAATATGACCTTCCTACTGCCCAGAAAGAGAATATGAGGCGAAATCAATGAAGAGAGAAATTTCAGTTATGTTTCTTGCCCTTGCTCTCCAGAGCATCATTCAGAGTTATTTTTCTTTATTCTGAGACAATTTTATTTTGTCCTCAAATCCTCTGGATAGCATTTACATATGTGGTTGAGTCTGTAATCCTAGAGATACTTGGCTAAAACTAATACCTGCTGGTTAGTCCTGAAGTTAAAGTTACGTTTTCCTAAAATGTTTTGAAGAGGTATATTTGGTTTGGTTCAGTAAAATCTAGACTCAGAGACTGGTAAAATGCAAAGCTACATTTCTGGGTTTTGTAACCTGTGTCCCTATAAGCCTTTTTTAAGTCAGAAATGGGGCACGGCGTTTGCAAACTCATCAACCCTCGAAGGCTTCCTTAACAGCAGGGCAGGCTTTGTTTTCTGGCCCCTCTCACCCCCTTTTTTCTGCTTTGTCTTTACTTCTGATCTGATGACTCATGCACTGCCACACCTCTGTGCTGTGCCTTTTGTTTGTTGATTGACACACTGATGTAATTTATTTAAGACAATAGCTTTGCAGCTGGAGCTGTAAAATGAGTGGATGAGATGGCTTTCCTTCATGTATTTTTCAGGTGGATTTTCCTAGTAGTATCACTTTATTCAAAGACTACTGGAAAACTGTCCCTATCATCTTTTCTCCTTTTGTCCCCTTTCAAGTGATCTAAACAATTTTTCTTCATTCTCTTTTCATTGTGTCAACGCTCCAGCTTCATGAAATCGTATGCCTTACGCTGGTTTCCTGAATCTATTTTTAAACTTACCTTTAGACTATTTTACCAAACTTTGTTTCTGTTGGGGGTAGTTCTTTTCTGTTTTTTAATCTTGCCACCAAGGCAGTTTAGGAGTAGATTAATTAATAAATTCATAAAATGAAGAGGCGTTTAGAATCTTTATGTCCTGTGGATATTATCTTGTTCAGTCCTCTGATTTCATAGTGCATCTACTGATGGGTGATACTGATGACATTTTTTACTAGCAAACCTTATGAAACTATCATGTGGCCTTCTGAGATAATGCTTAGCATGCTATTCTGTATTTTGTTACTTCTTTATTGAAATTGGAATGTGTGTTTAGTAATGCTTTAAACTGCAAATAACAATACTTGATAAACAGTGGTTTAACCCATAGGATATTTATTATTCATATTTAACATGATTCCAGAGGTTGTAGCCTTAGGGTTGGATCCAGCTCATCATGTCAACATGGCTCTCTCCGTCTTTCCATTTTTCCTCAGGTGCAGCATGTTGTCCTATTTCCTCATACCTACTGCCCATGTCACGGGGCAGCAGCTTTAGGAGTCATGTCCATGTTAAGGAGGGAATAAGAGTAAGAGGCTAGGCCACGTGCAGTGGCTCACGCCTGTAATCCCAGCACTTTGGGAGGCCGAGGCGGGTGGATCACCTGAGGTCAGGAGTTCGAGGCCAGCCTGGCCAACATGGCGAAACCCCATCTCTACTAAAAATACAAAAATTAGCTGGGTGTGGTGGTGTGCGCCTGTAATCCTAGACACTTGGGAGGCTGAGGCAGGAGAATTGCTAGAACCCAGGCGGTGGAGGTTGCGGTGAGCTGAGATCATGCCACTGCACTCCAGCCTGGATGACAGAATGAGACTCTGTCTCAAAAAAAAAAAAGAATGAGAGGCTAACACCAGTGACTTCTCCTTAAAGTCTGTCCCTTTTATCAGAAAGCAAAATCTCTTTCCCAGAAGCCCCCCAAAAGACTCTTCCTTACGTCTTACTGGTCACAATATCACATGGCCCAACTTAGCTACAAGAGAGACTGGGAAAGTAAGTATCTCTGGTTTTATCAGTCTTTGTAGTGAAAGGCACATGAGAGTAGAAGGAGTTGAGAATGGCCTTTGACTGGCCAAACAACAGTGTCTGTCAGAGGAGTCATCCTAAAATCTATATACATATAATCTATATTTTCATATCAATGGAGGTAATATAGCTTAAGAGCCGTGGGTTTTGAACTCAGATTGCCTTGGTTCAAATCCGAGTTTCATTTCTTCCTTACTTTGACTTTGAACTTGTCTTTGCCTTTGTTGCCTTAACTGTAAAGCAGGGATGGTAAGTTATCAGTTGTGTATGAATATTGTGTGAATGACCTGTGTTAAGCTGTTGGTACTCAATAAATGTCATCATCGGCAACCAGCGCTCACACCCCACTTGAATCCTGGCCAACCCCAGAACATACTGAATGTCTAGCAGCTTTTTCCCATTGTTAAACGAAGCAGCTTGAAAAGGTAGCACTTCTAAATTACTAACTTAAAACTGACACGTACAAAACCCCAATCTGACTAGAAAAATCCCTAAGACGGATGTATAGTCAAAACAGAATTTGCCTGCCTTTGTTGGGACAGTTTATATCTGACATGTTCTTTGGTTTAGAAATAAAACACTTTAAGCTTTCTATAAATTCTTCATGCGTTGAGGCAGGATGGTGGAATACTTACTTTACCAGAATGTGTCAAATTAAGAATCTGAGACCCTTCTCTAATTTGCAACATATATGATAGTTCTATATATTGATTGGGATAGAAACTGGAAGAAAAAAAAAGTGCCAGAGCCATGGAAAAAGAAAAAAAAAATCTTAGATATCCAAGAGACGGAGGAATCAAGGAACTGTTTGAAACATAGTAGGTACTCAGTACATAGTTGGTAATGAATATTGTTGATTTGGAAAAGCATCAGAAAATAACTTGAAATTCTGCCAGCTTCATACTGTTCATAGCAGCACCTGTTCATAATAACCGGAGAAGTGGGTAATCCTTGCAGAAAAGCAACGGAGGGAAACCCAGAGCAGCTTCTAGAAGGTGGTATGGTCTCATAGGGGACTGACTGTCCAGGAGATTAGCCACGGAATGGTCCCTCAAGGCAAGCCTTTGTAGGGTTACAGGGAGTCAGAAAAAGAGTAAACAACCATATCCAAGCCAGTTTCTTGTGAGGCCTGGACTACCTGGGGAGGCTCAGGTGACTTTGGTACAGAGCCACAAGAGCCATGCAGCCGCCGAAAACCAGAGGTGACAGCTCCTCCAACTTAGACCCTTCTCATGCCTGAGTGTTCTAGATTCATGGTGTTCCATCTGGTAGCCAGCAACTCCAAGTTGACATTCTGTCAGAATCTAGAACAAATGAGAACTAAAATTCTAACTTAATTTCTTATCTACATAAGACAGTCTCTGTAGTTGCCTCTCATGTGCCCAGTAAGTGCCCAAGTAATTTGTCAGTTTGGGAAATGAAGCGAAGTCTTCAACAGCCATTCACACTCTCCAGGTGGGTAATACACAAGTGTGCTGCACACGTGCATTTTGAACAGTTTTCTGACTACCGTTGTTCTCTGGCTTTGCCTTCAGAAAACCCGCTATGAAATGTATGTCAGCATTCTCAAGGAAGGAGGCAAAGAGCTACTGAGTAACGATGAAAGCGAGGCTGCAGGACTGAAGAAGTCGCACTCGAGTCCTTCGCTGAACCCGGATACTTCTCCAATCACTGCCAAAGTCAAGCGTAACGTGTCAGAGAGGAAGGATCACCGACCTGAAACACCAAGCATTAAGCAAAAAGTTACTTAGAGTCCATCTGCGGCCAGGAAGTGCTGGTCATGGAGCAAAATAGGGTTTTTCAAGATCTTTCTGGTAATCCGTGAATATATTTAAAAAAAAAAAGTCTGTGACAAAACGGTGCATTAGTAATTTTTTCTATTGTATATTTTTGTTAGTTTCTGTACAGATTGTCTTTGCTCTTGATTTCTTTTGCTTTGATGATTTTTGCAACTTGATAGCTAATGCACCTTTTCTGTGAGGAGGAGGGGATCGTGATTTCAGAATGAATTATGTATCCCTTCTCTTTTGGTTTTCTCTTGTTTGCAGTCTGCTCAGTTGTTTTATGTATTCTCATATCAACTGTTAAACTTTTTTTTAAGGTTAAAGAATTTAATCCATTGTGAAACACTTAACTGGACAAACTGTAGTTTTAGTAAATTCTAGCTGGAGTTAATATACGCCTTTATATGTGAAATCTTGCCCAGTCACAGAGGTAGAATTGAGCACTCACAGATGCTCCAGTAAGAATCACAGTGCTGGGAATCTAGTTGCTCCAATATGAGGCAGCTTCATGTGCAGCTTAGCACTTGTTGTTGAGATCGGACCCTGCTGGAAGCAGGGAAAAGAAGCGTGAAGATCGTAGGATTGAGAACTTAGGGAAGCACATTAGCTTGCTTGAAGTGCTGATTCCATTTCAGCCAAGCAAGGGAAAGAGGAAGTGGAGTCATTTTGCCTTTGAAGGCTGAGGAAAGATTGATACCCAGTTAATTTTGTTTGCTAAAGGATGGGGGCAATAATCGGCCCTTGAGGAGCTGCAGCAGTAGGCATGTGCTCAGTCTGCAGGAATTGTTACCTCACTCCCACAGGGTCTAGACTAGAAATCCATCATCTCTATCGTTGATATCCTTCCATCCAGGAATAGATTTTTCTTACTCTACATATGTGTGTGTGCGTGCGTGTGTGTGCGTGTGTGGGCATGGGGTTGTGTCCTGGTTGTGATATTGAGGTCTTCCTTCCTAACAAATTAATACTAAAATGAAACAGCTTTTCTTGTGTCCTTAAGACAAAATAAGGAAGGAAAACGTAGCTGCAGTTGTCCACGATGGATATTGGTTCTTTAAAATATATCTGAAAGTAGTAGTCAGAATGAATTATGGTTGGAAAACTGAGGAATCTTCTGGTTGCAGGTGCAAAGTGACTTTGTTTATTCTTGTCTCAGTCTCCTTGATAGCCACTTCACTCTGCTACTACTCAACTTTCTCCTAAAAATACTTCATCTATTTTCAGTCCTTTCTTTCTGTCTACTCAAAATGGTTCTATTAACTTTGCAGTCATGAGCTTGTTCCAGTTACAGTCCCTTTGAAGTTCAGGGTGATAAACAGAATATTCTTCTGTAGAGGAAGAGAAAGGAGTGAAAGTTTAGCCCACTGAGACCTAGAGCTTTGTGATTTCCTAACCTTGAAACTCTGTAATCCCTAAAGTTAAAATCTCCGCAAGTGGCACAACTTCAGAACTAATAGTATCACTTTGATTTTTCTTTTTCCTCCCTTAGAAAGTTTCTCTAGTTCTATAGTTTATTTGTTGAAGGTACTATGACCAAAGAATCAGCTGCTCTACAGGAATAGCATGGTTCCAGTGAATTAGAGAAAACCTGCTGTAAAGCCATGGTAGTGTCTAAGTGGTATGTTATTATGATGTACTAGCATTTATTTACAGAATTATTTATTAACGTTTACTTCCTTCCCCTCTGTAAATGTCCATGACTATTGCCCAGAGAAGGCTTACCCCTCTCTAGGGTTGCAGTTGCTTTCTTTGTAATAAGTATTTTGCCACACCTGTAAAAAAAAAAACCTCACTTTTAACTCTCTGCCTTGTTTGGGTAAAGGCAGTAACTAAGTTTATGTTTCAGAACTGCAAAACAAACAGGATAGTTACCAATATGGCCCATGTATCAGATTGATTTTTGTAGCCTCTCACTGAATCCAACATATCCACAAGCAAGTTATCTGTCTTTCTACCTGATAATCTAAATTATCAGGATATTTGTTTTCTGCCTAAATGTTTATACTAAGCCGAGGGGAGAGAGGTACCTAGACCATGTCATCTACAAGCTTCAGTAACTAAAGAAAAAGGAACTTCCCTGAGTGGCTTGAATGTGTTTGCCCACAGTCTATATCTATGTATATAGAATGTCTGTATGTATTTTACTTATTTAATATACATTGAATGGTACCTTGCTACAGTATTTCTGACATTTAGAGTAGTGTTGAAATACTCGGCTAGCATCAGCACCACTATAGCACTGTCCGTGTCATATGAGTCACTAATATTAACTCCAGGGACTTCTGGATAGGCTAATAGATCATTGGATACGAAGGGCTCTTTTGAAGCTTCAGTATACCATGTTTGCATAGTTTATCTTTAAAAACAACTTTAAAGGTTCTTTTGTGAGCCAGGATCTCAGACTGCCGTAGCATGATGCTGTCCATCTTTAGCGCATGGGCTGAGAACACCTCTTCCCTGAGGCTTCTGAAGGTTGCTGTCTGTCATGAGTGCATGAAGGAGGCCAAGAGTTTATGCTATGGGAGGAAACAGTCACTGATTTGCCTAGATTCTGAGAGTCTGGCCCATAGCCAACCACATTTTCCTTTGGGATAATTTATTTCCTGTGGCATCTAGCCAGAAGAAATTGAGGATGTTTCCTTTCACAGCTGCTCCAAGCCTGTTGCCCAATTCACGGTACAAGGGAGCACCCCTTCCCTTTCCTCTGAAGGTACGCCACCCACCTCCGTCGCCCACCTCAGCGCCCAGGAGCCTTGGGACTTCCTTCCATATGATAAATCATTCTTCTTCACGTCAATACACTTCATATTAATTTCTAGTACAGAAAATCTTGACAGCTATCAGAATGCCTTGGTCATAGTGTTGTTGCAAAATTGACCATACAGGTGGCCCATGTATAAAATCTGAATTTTAGGGGTTTGTCCCCACCTCGCATGCTGGCTTTTACAGGGAGGTGTCTGGGATTCCTCATTAGCAATCAAAACTTAATTACTGGGATGCAGAGTCCTTACTTTATCGCCAGCCCGTAGGCATTTCTGAAGTGCACTTTTTTGAAACATCATTTTGCTAACTCTCAGCAGTGTCTAATTAAACTGAGCAATACTTTTGTGAATTTTAATTAATCTCAGCAAAACCATGATGGGAGAGAGTCCTCTGATGGAAATGTAGTCCCTGGATTATGTGTAACCTTTTTATTCCTCTTAGATGCAGAGGATAGAAAGCATTTTTTGGTGCAGTGGTCTTGTGGCAAACACAAGACCCTCTATGCGTCTCCAACTGTTATCCTAATCTAGAAAATGAGGACTGGCCCCTGGGCAAAAGTGACATGAGGAATTTACTCTGGAAGAGGAAAATCTGGGTGGCTTTCCAAGGCTAAGATAGGTTTGTATTTCACCCTGTGGCCAAGCTACAGAACTTCTGAGATTGTGGAAGAATTTTTGCAACCAGCAGGGAAAGAGGCCTCTTACTGCCTAAACACAAAGTTACACTGAGCTTTTCTACTGTCCTTTGCCTATTGCTCCCTCTATCATGTAAAGATCTGGGAAGGATGAGAGGCAGGGCCTGCTTGTCATGAGCTGCACTCTTTTCTTTTTAACTAATCATTGACAATTGGAAGAAAATTGACGTTAAAGAAGTTTCTCCATTGTCTTACTAACAAAACCTTTTGGGTTTCATTAATTGTCCTTGAAATTGAGTTCCTTTGGCATTTTTCCTTGCAGTCATCAGTTAAGCATGTTGCATCCTGAATTCACAGAAGTTTAGCTTTGCAGGTTTGAATCTCTGTAATTTAACTCCCGTGGACTTGGTCGAGTTTTCAGCAGGTTGGGAGCCACCTCTCTTCATTTCAGCAGTGAGTCATCCCTTGACTTTTCAAATGACAGAATTTTTTCCAATTGTAAAATTAGCACTGTAAAACAAAGAACCAAAGTGGCATCCTAAGAGTTGTTAAACCTGAAGTCTAGTTTATGAGGAATTGTCCAAGTTGGAGTTTAAATAGTATCTGCTTTTGTCTCAAAGCATCTAAGTTATTCTGACAGAAAATGGTAAGTCAGCTTTGCAGGCAGATGCGCCTCTGGGCCTCCTACCTTGCTCCACAGCTTTCTGGCCATCTTGTCTCCCAGGCCATGCCACTGCTCTGCCACATGTCAGCAAATTTCTTTCCACCAGTCTTATAGCATCTTACATGATCAAATCATCACAGAATAACCCCGTGATAGATTATTGATAGCAATAGAGAGGGGCTTTGTCACTGATTTTTCTCTCAGATTCCTTTTCCATCTCTCATCCATAAAGGAAGGACTGAAATCCAAAGGCATTCTCCTTTTGTACCTACAGTATCCAGAACCCACGTGGGCAGCCTTCTGCTTATGACAATAATTGGCCCATTGCATGCAGAGAGAATGTCTTCATAGAGAGAATGTCATTAAATACTTGAATCTGCATGACAGTTTGACTTGAATGCAACAGCAGGAAAATTTTGCAAGTTACATAATTGTATATACAGTAGGTTTTCTTAAGTCTCTTCGGTTCATCCTTTGTAATTTGTGTGTGTATCTGTAGTATTGCAGGCTTTTGGAGACTATTCTTACAGGCAGTATGTCAGTCATCAAAGAAAATGCTGTCACCTGCCATTGTTGTATTTGTGGGTATTTATAGTTGTATGTATGTAAATGCATCAGTGTGTAGATTGCATATCAGTGTATGGTACATGTACATCAAAATTATTTTTGTCCTTAATCAGTGTGATATGAAAAGCAAGTACAACCTCATAGGACTGATTATATAATGAAGTTGTTGAGAGTATATATAGTGGTATTGTTTTATTAAACTTAAACTCAAATAATATTTTGATTAAAATTTTTAATAAGACTTTATGCTAGAAAATTCTTTGAGCTTTGAATCACCAGGGCAAAAATGACTTTCAACTAACCTTGTGAATCTTTTGCAGTGTACTGTGTGCAATACCAAGGGCATAGCTCCCTGTAATTTGGGAAATACAGAAAGAAAAGAAAAAAAAAAAAAAAGGCAGCCTGTGCAGTCTTAGTAACTTTAGTATTAAGAGCACTTAAAGTCAAACTGACAATTTTGGGCTTATTACAAAATGTGATGCTTTAAAGCACACGTTCTTTATTGTTGTTGTAATTAGTCCATAAAAAATATAGCTTTCGGAAGAATTAAGTACCCACCATATCATTTATGTATTTGTGTATGTTTTACGGGAGATCAAACCACTCTCGTGGTGCCGCATCCGTACTCGCTTGACTTGGAAGAAATATCACAAGCACTAAAGTATATCAGGGCATCCCAGGATTGGGTACTGTATCCTAGGTTTGCAGTTGCAGAAATTAGCATCTAGTGTCACAGGTAAAAGAATTTCAGGACCAGGTTTAAACTTTATTTTAAATATTTTTATACTTAGGTCTCTTTTTCCTGCCTCTCCCCAAAGAAGAGCCACTGGCCTTAGTTGTTTGAGCTTACTGCTTATATTATAGAGTGTAAATAGGTAACTAGAGACTAAAATTTTATTAACCAGCATGTTTGGTATATTTAAAGCAGTGACTGAGTGTGTTTGAGTGAGTGGCTGAGTGCAGTGTCTTTTGTTTAAACACACTGCCTCGTGTCTTTGTAGCTGATTCAGAGAGTTTGAATTGTGGGGTGGGAGACTAACTTCAGCTCCAGGCTGCAGTAATGTGTTGGTAGTTACACTTGAGGCATTTTTTTGTTGTTGTTAATTAACTCTATAGTCTCAAACTATTTTTGCAAATATATCATTTTTCCTAATTGGTTCTTGACGTGCAGTGGACTGGCTCTGTGAATGATTGGCAGGGTCTTAGTTTTGCGAGAGTATTTCCTTCTAAGAATTATTGTGATCTGCAGAAACAGCCATTTGATTCAAAAATCATGTAGAAAAGGAGTAGGAGAAGCAAAACGTTTCATTTTTGGGCCTTAACCATTTGAAATGTTTGGACTTTAAACATAAAGCCATGGAGTTTATAAAGCCAAGTAACCATTTGATATGGATAATAATATCTACTCTAGAGAGAGTATATATATGCACATTGATTTTTAATGCTGTTAAGATACTTTTGTAAAACTGTAGGAACAAGAGTAATTAGACCAAATTGAAGCTTAGGGGACAGTAAAGTGGTTGCTTTCCATTTAGGGTAACCATGCATGTGGTTAGTCCTCTCCTCCTGAGATTCAGAACCAGTTGACTGTCCCCTTAGGTGTATAAGGAGAAAAGTTGACATGTCTGGGACCTCTGACATGTGTACACATGCTTGCACACATGCACACACAGTGAATGTTTTAAGTTATACAAACATAAGACCTTAAGATGCAAAGAGCCAGAATATTCTAAAGAGGTGATGAACAGAGGGGGTGGAAACTGCATCACAGATGTTTTCCAAGGGCCAGGGTGGAATCTGAGCTCTAGTGTCTGACTTTGAGATGCATTATATTTTTAACACATAAATGAGGGGATCCATATCACATTCTTTCTTGTGGACCACCAAATTGAAGGCTTTCTTGTAATTCACAAGCAGCAGCTCTCCAGCATCTCTCCGTAGCCTGGGTGAAGTCCCAGAAGCTGGTGTGCATCATTTTCCAAGGTGGCAGAGCTGCTTGCTCTGCAGATCATTCCTTTGAGAGAGGAGTACAAGTGAAGAAACAAGGAGGCACTTCCTGTAGGAGCACTGATGTGCCTTGTCCACACTCCCCTCTGAGCTTTACTGGTAAGAGAGCTCCGACTGAACATGCTGAGCAGTTGAGCACTTTTCCATCAGCAACAACAGCGAGGATGGAAATGGAAAGGAACCGAACTAAAATGCATTTCCCTTTGCAGGGCAGAGAGCTAAGCTCTTAGGAATAGTGTTATAGAAATAAGCACCCTAACTTCAATTCCTGAAAATGTTGGTTAATGGAGAGAATTTTGGAGTTTCACTTAATATTTTCCCATCGGTCGCCATAAATAAGTCTTCAGGCGCTCCTAGAAGAGTCCCAGCCCAAGGCTCGATTAAGGACCACACTGCAGGTCTGAGGCTCACTGCTCTGAGTCCTGAACACCAGAGCCCTGCAGAGAGTGGTGATAACACATCATCTCTGCAAAGAGGAACCTCTCCCCCGGCCGCCACTTCACTCAGGCTTCTACTGAGCAGCAAGGACAGCCTGGGTTTCAAATGCCACTTCCCCTGCTTTAGGGATCCAGGTGTCCTGATAGCGTGACCCTGCTGAGGCAAGGTATCAACTCCGAGAGTGACTGAGTCACTGAGCGTGGCACATGAACAAACGTCATGACAAAGATTCTCTGAGTGAAGTTAACACCACGTATTTTACCTTTGCAAAAAACAAACTGGCACCCTGAGTTCTAACTACGGACGGACGATATCTTTGCCTCCACACCCAGATTCCTGGAAATGGCTAACGTTTCCTTTCTAGGGGAAGGGTCGAGGAATACTCAAGTGCTAGCTTAGCAGCTTTGTTCAGTCCAGATCAGAGCTGTTAGGTAAAGGCCTAACCACCTCCCTGCAGTCTCTTATATCTCAAGCTTTAGGAACCCATTTCTAAATGTACACTAGCGGAGAATTTATATTGTCAGCCTTGATTACCATAGGACAGGCAGAAAGGCGATAATTTGTATCTTTTAATATAAAAGAAGCTTTTAACTTTTCCAGCCTATTATAATAACTGAGTTATATTCACTGTGGCTCAAACTAATTGGCATTGTGGAACATTTCTTTACCTTCAAAGTTTTCTCCACCAATCATTTCAGTTCTATTGCAGTCCTGGTGCCATATGTCCCCTGCAAATTGTGAAAGTAATTAGTGACAAAATAGCAGCCTGCTCCTTTTCAATGGCGAAACTGTCGGCATTAGCAGTTTTGGGTAAGCTGGCGGTACTATAACACGTACTGGAAACCTGTTCCTCATCACCACCTACCAGATTCTGGAAATGCCGTCTTCTAGAAAACGATGGCGTTTGTGGTGGTCTTCTTTTGAAAGGAACAGTAATTTGTGTGGATATTGTTAAAGTGTTTAAAGAATATTTTGACAATTAAGTTTACATTTTACAATTGCTTTATTTTTTATTAAAATAGTTGTATATAAATATTACCCTATTTCACTGTTGTTCAAGTAAATCTAAACCTTGTAGACAAGTGAGTCATCTGATATGTATAGAAGCTGTGATATATAGAGTACATTTATTGTGTAAATGTTTATGAATATAATTGTTCCTGTGTTTTTATAAGTTGGGGATATTTTGTTGTTTTACGGCAACAAAATTTATTGCATTTAAATGGTTTTTATGTAATAGAAATCACGCAAAATAGTGAAGGATTTAAAATATGTATATGATACATGTAAATGTACAAACTTTAGAAAGAAATAAATCCAACAAATTTCAATCATTTGAGGGAATGTTTTTATTTGCTTATTTAAGCAGCTATAATAATACCTTTAAAAATCAAATAACACCACACTCTGCCTGCCTCCATAAAAACACAACCGCAAGCCCCACATTGAAAGATGCCACCAGAGTGGTTGAACACAGTGGTGAGAAAATCAGACTAACACCGACTCACCTCCACACATTTCTGTGAAGATTTGTGTTTGAACACTTCAGAGATCTGTTGTCTTCACTAAGGGGCTTTGAGCAGGGGAGGAGAAAATAAACTTTTAGAAGCAATTTCAAGAGCCATTTGCATTCCCATTTATTTCTCATCAAGGCAAAGAGACCATGCAGCTATTTATTGTCCTAAAATGCAAATGCTGATCTCCAAATCACTGCCTTACTCTGCCTGGTGTGTACCTTTTTACTCTTTTCATCAAACCTAATGTTAAAAGTAAGATCCGTTGACTTGGAAATTCAAAAATAAAATGCCATCCTATTCACTTCTAAATATTAGAAAGGATGTCTTATGTTGGGGGATTTGGACTTTTTGAAACAAGATCACTGGTTACAGCCTCTCCAGCACAAATGAACATGATGTATGGCAGAGATCAAAATTGCTATGAGGTGTAAATCTCAAAGAAATCAAAGCATTGTGGGGATTGGGAGAGCTATATCCTTTACCATCCCTTCGCTTTCACTCCAGCTTGGAATGTGAAATGTGTCTGAAGACCACCAGGATGGCTGACTAGTAGAAAGGAGAGCTTTATTGGCCATATCAGTTTGCAAACTCGGAGAGTGGTCTCCGAAGTATACCGAAGGTCCTCTCTCTTCAAAGAGGGAAGGGAAGGTTGGTTTTTATGCCTCACAGGGCCTGTATTACACAATAGAGTCATACATATTCAGCAGTGGGTTTGGAGGAAAAGCTATCCATATGTATGTGGGGAGCCGAGCGCATGTGCAATAGGTAAATATATGCATAGCATACACCCTACGTTCATTTTAGGGCAAGGTGTTAGCATTAAAATGAGGTGTAATTTGGCTCTTCATGTTGAAAGGTGGCCTATAGGATACTAAGTTTGTGCACAGTCTCTAGAACCTGCTGAAACTGGTTTGAGCTCTGCAGTTTCTTACCAGGAAAGAATGTTCGTAAGGCTGGTCTTCTTTCCAATCAGCATTGTAGTAGTTGTATTAATAATTCAGAGTTAGAAAGGGTCAGACAATTTGTCTGTAGCTCTTAGTGTTAGGGAGTTTATCAAGAATGTGGTTTTTCTTGTAGCCATAGGAATTTAGGGGCCGTGCTAGTCAGGCCCTAAAGCCTCCACAGCAGATAAATTTGTTCCCTTAACCTCAGGGTTCATCTTAGTTGATAAAAGAGTGTCTATTTCAGTCTCTCAGATCACAAACTCAAATACGAATCTCTCCTTGTCAGCTGCCTGTCCTCTGGAGGTGGGGGGTTTTGTATCCTGTTGTATTCTCTGTATTGCACAGTTAATAACAGCACCAGTGGGACTATAGAGATATTTGATAACTCATAGGGGGAAATTAAACGTAGAGCAAATTAAATTGCATAAGGAATAAATAGAATAAGGATACAACAAGCAACTCTAAATGTCTCATCTCTAGATCAATTCTATTCCACAGAACTGAGATTCATCAATGAGACTGCTCAATCACTGTCCATTTTTATTGATAAATTATAAGCAATAGGAAATATTGCAGACAGGCATACATCTTTCTAATATTAGTGGAGAAGAGTGTGCGTTCTGTATGCTATAGACTAGTGAACTTGATATTAATTTTGGGCATATTTTTAGAGTAAATTGGAAGGGCAGCAGCAATTAATTGGAAGCCAGTGTGGGTTCCCAAAAAGAAATCTTTTCAGACTCCATTTATTCCCTATTTTATAAGACTAACCTGTAGATTAGAAAAACGCAGGAGACAAAATATCTGGACCATAACAAGGGATTTGGCAAAGTCTTTAATGAAATATGTCTGGGCAAAATGCAGAAATATTATCTGGACGTTAGTAGAGTTGGTGGGTGTGAAACCACTTGAACGACACTGATTAAAGGATATGTATCAACTCGGAAGAGCATTTCTATTGTCCCGCTGCAAAGCTTGCCTTTTGGCCCCATCCATTCAACATTTTAATTAATAACTTGATGGAAGCTGCAGAAGGCAAGTTTATGAAAAATGGTTATGTCATAAAGCTGGGAGAAAATGATTACACTAAATGACAGAATCAGGATTTGAAAAAAAATCTCATCAGGCAGAGAAATGGGGCAAATTAATGCAGAATGCAAGAGGGTGTAATGTCTTACACTTCAGTTACAAAAAAAACAATTAAACAAGGTCAGGATAGGACATTGTGTCGCACAGAATAGCGAGTAAGTGGGAAAGAAAGCCTTCAACTGAAATCCATAGCAAGCTCGATGAAAGTCAACAGATGATGCACCACCAAAAACACTAGTGCCATCTTGGGATCTTGGGTTACATTGATGTATGGCTTCTTTTTTTTTTTTTTTTTTTTTTTTTTGAGACATAGTCTCACTCTGTCGCCCAGGCTGGAGTGCAGTGACGCGATCTCGGCTCACTGCAAGCTCCGCCTCCTGGGTTCACGCTATTCTCCTGCCTCAGCCTCCTGAGTAGCTGGGACTACAGGCGCCCGCCACCACGCCCGGCTAATTTTTTGTACTTTTAGTAGAGACGGGGTTTCACTGTGTTAGCCAGGATGGTCTCGATCTTCTGATCTCGTGATATGCCCGCCTCAGCCTCCCAAAGTGCTGGGATTACAGGCGTGAGCCACCACACCCGGCCTGATGTATGTATGGCTTCTAAAACAAGGAAGGTGAGTCGCAGTGCCCTTGACACCAAGGCTAACCCTGGGTAAATTGCTTGAGACTTGGCACGTACACGAAACAGAGCATGTGCAAAAGCAGCAGCCAGGGTGCCCCAAAAATGGGAGCAATTGAGAGAAATATGGAAAACGTATGACCTGGAAATGGTTAACCCATGCAGAACCAGGGAAGACTGGTCTTCAATGTCAAAATGAGTCTTTCGTGGGAGGGACATGAGAACTGTCCTATAGCAATCTAAAGGGTTTAACTAGATTAGTTATTGGAACTTATAAAAATAAGATGGCAGCTCAACAGAAAGGAGGCATTTCTAGTATTCCAGGCTGTCCATGACAAACAAGTTGTCAGCCAGTGGAGCAGTTCAAGTGTGCTTGGGCAACCTCAGGTGGAAATACTGAGAACTGAGTGAGGCTTTGGGTAAGTGGTTGGATTATTATGATGATAGACAATATTATTACAAATATTTTCTGAGCCTGGCACTGTGCTGAACACTTAGCATGAATTTTTGGCATAATCTTTTTGCGTAAGTCTGATGCAGCTCTATTATTTACACCATTTTACAGAGAGGAAAAGCCTGCATCAGGCCCCCTTCTTCAGACATGCTGCAGCATTTGAACACACCTCAACATCTTCTGTTTTGAACTACAGAAGTCAGAGCTCTGACCCACCAACTTTGTCAGCTTCAGATTGAAGAAGCAATGATTCCACTCACGGGAATAGGATGTATGGGTGTCATCCAGGAAGAACTGGCAATAAAAATAGTCACTTTCACTCTGCATTGGAATCCCATGGATTTAAAAATCCAAATACTTGGGTCTCACCCAAGAAATTCTGATTAAATTGGCCTGAACTGTGGCTGGGGTGAGCTCTGTCACCCAGAGTGGGGTGCAGTGGTGACATCATAGATCATAGCTCACACAGCCTTGAACTCCTGGACTCAAGAAATCCTCCCATCTCAGCCTCCCAAGTAGCTGGGACCACAGGTGCATGCCACCACACCCAGATAATTTTCAAAATTTTTTTTAGAGATGGCATCTCACTATGTTGCCCAGGCTGGTCTTGTACTCCTGAACTCGAGCGATCCTTCCACCTTGAGCTCCCAAAGCGCTGGGATGACGTGGGAGCCTCCACATCTTGCTTCTCTGGAAATGTTAAAAGATCCCCAGGTCATTCTAACATGCGCAGCCAGGATTGAAAACCACTTCCCTAGAGTTTGGCAACTCAGCCTGCTCCTGCTGCATCTCTGGGAGCTTGTGGGAAAAGAACAATCTTACGCCCCTTCCCAGACCTAGTGAGTCAGATAGATGCTGCGTTTTAACTTGCTCTCCCGGTGATGTGTACGCACATTCAATTGTGAGAAGCCCCGCTTTAAAGCATTCCCAAGGTGTGCTCCTTGAAGCAACAGTAGCAGCATCTCCTGAGAAATGGTTAGAAATACTATGCAGCCATAGAAAAGAATGAGATCACATCCTTTGCAGGAACCTGGGTGGAGCTGGAGGCCATTATCCTTAGCAAACTAACACATGAATGGAAAACCAATTACCGCATATTCTCACTTATAAGTGGGAGCTAAATGATGAGAACACCCAGACACAAAGAAGGGAACAACAGACACTGGCGCCTGCTTGAGGGTGGAGGGTGGGAGGAGGGAGAGGATCCGAAAAAATAAATATTGGGCACTAGGCCTAGTACCTAGGTGATGAAATAATCTGTACAGCAAACCCCTGTGACACGAGTTCACCTGTATAACAAACCTGCACACGTACCGCTGAACCTAAAAGTTTTAAAAAATAAGAACAAAGAAATGCACTTCTCTGCCCTATCCCAACGTACTGAACCACAAACTCTGGGGATGGGGCCCAGCCATCTGTGCTTGATCAAGCCCTCCAGGAAATGCTGATGCCCCTAAAGTTTGAGACACACTGTTTAGAGTAACTTCCATGGCTACCAAAGCCCTTCATGCTCACAAAGGGCAACAGGGAGTTTTCCGCCATTTTTGTGCTTGGTGCAATGCTGCCCGCTGTCACTTGCATCTCTTAACTGTCCTTGTGAAGAAGGGAGACGAGGCTATCCCCACTGTGGAATGAAATGTTAACTGGAGAGTGCTACTTAGATGGCCAGAGGGCTTCCCTGTATGTAGGAGTGAAGGAGACTCAGCCCTGGCCCATTCTTCCCGTCTAGAAGTAAGCCTCCCTCGCTGCTTATCCCCACGGATCCACCTTGAGGCACCTGGCCTGGCCTGGCCCTCCTGAAATGGAATGCAGTGCATGTTCCCACTCATGCTTTAAGGACAACCTGTTCCTCCTTTCTAGGCAACCTTCCCTGGCTATTTAGAGCTAATTCTCTGGTAAGCACACCGTTTACAGAATTCTGGCCACACCGCTACAATTTGCAAAATGCACTCACGGTCTGGAAGAGTATAACCAGGGAACACTTACCTGGTAGTCTCCTGGGAATACAACTGTGATCAAATACAGGATGGCCAGTAACACTTGAATTTCAGATAAAGAAGATACTTTTTTAGCAGAAGTATGCCCCATGCAATGTTTGGAACATCCTCATGAAAGAAAAAAAAAAAAGTACTCATTGTTTATCTGGAATTGAAATGTAACTGAGCATCCTGTATTTTATCTGGCAGCTCTACCCAGGAGGCCTCCTAGGGTAGCATTTCCTCATGAATTTTCCCTTTCTCAGCTTGAAAGGGGATACTGGCAATATCTTTGGTTTTTCAGACTTACGGAGGTGTTGGGGCTCACAAAATGATACCCTAAAATATGGCGCTTTGACATGCTGAGTGCTTTGAACTAAGGGAGATTGGAAGGCCTCAGAAGCAGCCTCAATCCAAGTCTCTCTTACCTCCTGCCCTGCTGTCTCTCACCCTGACACTCACCCAAACTGCGGCATAGAAGCCAGAATTCCAGATCACCCCGTTTCTGCACCTGCAGAAACTTCTTCACACTGATCAAACTCAGAAGGAAATGAAGTGTAAAGCTAAATGCCAGTAATGGATGTAAAACCATCACGTGGCCTGGAACACAGGTATTGTGGTGACAAACATTTTCTCCTTCAGGCAGATGTACAGTGGAAGTCAAATTAGAATAAGAACAGAGATTTTGGAGTCCAGAGAACCTGCCTATAACTCCCCACTCTGCCACTTATGGACTAAGTGATCTCGGGCAAGTTACCTGATCTGTACCTGTTTTCACATTCAAAAATGAGAACACCTAGCTCATAGGGTTGTTATGAGGCTTAAATGAGGCAGTGCATACAAAACAGCCCAGCACGTGGCCCTTAGTAAGCCCTTGCTATAATAATGGTAAACAGTATTAACTAACATTACTTTATTAACATCATTCATTCCATTAATCATCATTGTCAGCTGGTTTTTTCCTGCTTCTGGCCCAGAAAGAATTATGCCTTTAGCACATACCTGGGCTCATCCACTGTGTGTGTTGACTTTGTAATTTAACTCAGCAGAATTTTGGAGAAGGCTACTTTGCTAACCCTTAGCTTGCACATAGAGGTGAACATTATCATTTATCATTTATATTGTCTATTTTTGTTAAGATCTTGATCCTCTAGAAACATCATTTTCCAGTGTGGTAGCCACTAACCACATGTGACAATTTAAATTCAAGTCAGGTAAATTTAATTTCTGCAATTCCTATTAAGTGTTTATATCAGCAAGGGGTATTACATTTTGTTAAAGCTTTTTATACACCAGTGGAGATAATTGTATGATTTTCCCCCTAACTTTACCGACATGGTGCATTATATGGACAAATTTTCTAATTTTTAACCATTTTATATTTCTAGGTCAAACCTATGTCAAAAGACACAATTACAAGGAATATAGTTTAAAAATCTGATTTTTGTTTGCCATTTTAGAATCAGGCAGCATTTCTTTCTATAGAATGAGCGCCCAACTAGGCATGACAGAGCAGTTGGTTTTTGGAAGGTGGGAACAGGGAAACAGAAAAAAGTGGGTTGGTTACCAACAGGTTACTTCAGTTTATTTTTTCATGTAAGGGTTAAAGCAGAAGAAACTTCCTTTTGACACTGTCTGAGGTTGACTGGGCCCTCTCTGATTGGTTGCTGTGAATCTCCTATTTTCAGGAAAAACAGCTCTGTTTGTGGATCTACCTGATTCCTTCAGGTTTCAGTTTTATTCTGTGGCACTTATCATGAGTGGCTCCATTTTGGTTTGGTTTGTTGGCGTCTAAAGCAGGAGCTCAGTCCCAAACACTGGCTTCCCATAATTTTGTTTAACACCTACACAAAATAATCCAATTGGTCATTATTCATTATTTTAAAATGTGCTGTCAGATTCTCTTTGCTAATTTTTTTGACTTTTGCATCAATATTCATAAGTAAAATTGGTTTGATTCTTTATCTGTATTTATTCATTAGTGTTATTCTTGTGTCATAAGAAGAATTTTGAATTTCCTAGTCTATATTTCAGAAGGTTAGAATTATCTAGACTTTGAAAAGCTGCCTCTTTGAACTATCTGGGTACAGTAGTTCTTTACAGAGTTGATGTCTAATAACATCCTCTACCTTTATGGAAATTGGTCCAGTATGGTGCATTAATGTCTACTAGGGTCAATTTTGATTAATTGTATTTTCCTAAGAAATTATACACTCCATCTACATTTTAAAATGTATTTTACATAAAGTTGTGCAAAGTAAGCTCTCATGGTTTTTGTTCAATACCCTGTGTTTCAATGACTAGTATTGGGGCTCAGAAGATAATATGCCAAAGTGTGGCTCTTAGAAGCAGCCTCAGAACCAAGGTCTCTCTGAACTTCTTCCCTCCTGGCTCTCTCCCCTCATTCCCCACTAAACTGACCCATAGAAATCAGAGTTCTTCTTCCCCAAGTTGGGTCATAGAAACCAGAATCCCTCTTGCCCAAAGCAAGCCAAAAAATCCTAGAAATGTTACTCTACCCTTCCCCCACCTTTCCATAAAGAAATTCTAACCTACCTTATCTGACCATAAGACCCTCATTCCAGAAGGGGTCCTGCCCCACATCCAGGAGGAAGAAATGCTACCCAGAGAGGCAAAGAAGAATCCCAACAGGGCTTGCTGCTTTTTCCTCATCAGTCTACTATTCTTAGATAATACCCTTTTTGTCCAATCACACTGCTAGCTTTCATTGAACCAAAGTATAAAAATAGACAGCTTTCTCTTGGTCTTTGGGTCTTTATTTCTGAAGTGTCCTGTGTCACCTAAAATTTTAATTACATAAATTTTTTATGCTTTTGTCCTTTAACCTGTCTTTTGTTATAGGAGTGTTGGCCATGAGTTTTACGATGGGTGAGGAAAGGTATCACACCTTTCTGCCCCTGCACTAGTTTCCCCATGACATTTCTTATTTTGTGAATTTGTGGATTTTTCAATTTTTCCGTAGTTAAGTTAGAGTCTGGTTTGTCTATTTCTCTGCCTTTTTCAAAGGTTTTTCTGTTAATTTCTGTTTTAACCTGTATTTTTTTAATGCTTTCTTTATATAGGATTTTCTTTTTCTCGCTTTTTGAATTGGAAGTTTAATTCCTTTACTTTTATTCTCAAGTATTTAATAATAAATATTGGTTATTATATAATGAATTAAGTATTTAATATTTTATTAGATAATTTATTAAGCATTTAATAATAAATATTGTTGACTTTGTCTCTAAAAATTTATTTCTTTTAATAAGTGAGTCATCTCCATTTTAACTGTGAAATGTAGTGATTATATCATGTTTTCATTCTTGTAACTGAAAAAAAAAATTTTGCAATTAAGGTTTCCATTTCTGCTTAAACCCAGGCTTGTTTGTTAGAGATATTTTTCATTTCTAAGTTGAAGGGCCTTGTTAAATGTTTGTTACTGTGGGAGAACAGAATATACCACCCCAAAATATGACTCTAGGAGACCAGAATATGCCACCCCAAAATAAGCCTGTTTAGCATGATGATTATTTTGAGCTGATTATTTTGAGAAACTGCAGACAGAGGAAAAGCTCCAAAAACGGGTAGAAGTTACCCTTTTGTAGAGGAAATCTACATGTACAAAGGAAACCTTCATTTGTAAGAGTGTCTCCCTCTGTACCAGGAAGAGGAGAATCACTAGAGAGTCTTCTCAATGGAGAAAGCATGGACTTGATCTGCATAACACACCTTACCCTCGTTTGCCAAGCTTGTGCTGGGCACTTACCCGTAAATGGCCTTTCCCACTCCATTCTTTTTTTGCTCAGTAGGCTAAGGTATTAAAACCTGAATTCACAGTGATATGACTTGGCTTTGTTTCCCCACTCAAATATCATCTTGAATTGTAATCCCATAATCCCCACCTGTCATGGGAGGGACCTGGTGGGAGGTAATTGAATCATGGGAGAAGTTTCTCCTCATGCTGTTCTCATGATAGTGAGTGAGTTCTCACGAGATCTGATCACTTTATAAGGGGCTTCCCCCTTCACCCAGCACTTCTCTTTCCTGCCACCATGTGAAGAAGGATGTGTTTGCTTCCCCTTCGGCCATGACTGTAAGTTTCCTGAGGCCTCCTCAGACAGGTGGAACTGTGAATCAAGTAAACCTCTTTCCTTTAGAAATTACCCAGTATCAGGTATGTCTTTATTAGCAACATGAGAACAGACTAATACACACAGCCACCACTTTGGGATTTACTCATTTCTCTGGGTATCTCCGTGAACCCAAAAAGTATCTGGGACAGGTCTCAATCAATTTAGAAAGTTTATTTTGCCAAGATTAAGGACACCCCCATGACACAGCCTCAAGAGGTCCTGATGACATGTGTTCAAGGTGGTCGGTGCAGAGCTTGGGTTTATACATTCTAGAGAGACATGAGACATCAATCAATATGTATAAGATGTACACTGGTTTGGTCCAGAAAGTCAAGACAACTCGAAGCAGGGGCTTCTGGTCATAGGTAGATAAAAGACAAACAGTTGCATTCTTTTGAGTCTTTGGTCATCCTTTCTCTGAATACACAATTTACATGTGAGAGGAGTATAGAATAATAGTCACTTATGCCTTAGACTGCCTCAGTGAATCTGCATTTTTCCATGAACAATAGGGTAGAGGAAGCAATCAGATATGCATTTGTCTTAGGTGAGTAGAGGGATGATTTTGAGTTCTGTCCTTTGTCCTGCACCTGTGAAAATAAGCTATCAATTTACATTGCCAAACTGAAATTCAAAAGAACTGTTTTAGGGGAATTACTTTGTGGACAAATTGTGAGGGAGGTATGTAGCTTATCTTTGTAGCTATCTTATTTCGGAATAAAATGGGAGGCAGGTTTGCCTGATGCAATTCCAAGCCTGACTTTGGCTTAGTGATTTGGTGGTCCCAAGATTTATTTTCCTTTCATATTCCCATGTTTACCTGAAGTATGCATGCTAATTAATTTGTTTTTCTCCTCTTAATGTCTTTTTTGTTGTAGGGACCCATTCCAACTGAGAACTTTAAAGGTAGAGAGAAAATTATATTTTCCTCCTCTACAGTATTAATGTCTTATTGGAATGTGTTGTGATCGGAGAAGATTGTTTATATTATATCTATTTCATAGATGATTGATATCCCTTTGTAACACAGTATGGATAATCTTCATGAATGTTCTTTGTGCTCCTGAAGAGAAGGTATGTTCTATAATATTAAGGTTTAAAGTTTTACATATATCGATAGATTCTACCTTAGTGATTGTGGGCTCTTTTTGTTTTTTAGGTCCGTAAATATTTAAGTATTTTCCATTAGCTTGTTCTGCCTTGGACTGAGAGTTACACATTCAAATCTCTTATTATTTGTGTGCTTCTCTCAATTATTAGTATAGTTTCTGCTTCATGAAGGTGGTTGCTATTTTGCTGGTGTATAGATCATGATAACTATTAAATCTTCATTCTGAAGTTTGAACTTTATCATTTTTAATCGTTTAATAGTTTTCCCCTGAATTCTACTGTTCTCTATAGGAATCATAACACTTTTTCCTTAATGTTTATATTTGTCTGGGTTACCTTTGCCTAGACCTTTATTTTTAACCTTTCTAAATAACTTTGTTATAGGTATGTCTCTTCTATGCATCATAGAATTGGGTTTGTGAGGCACTTTTGAAAACTTTCTTTTAATAGGTGAATCAACTCCGTTTATACTCACTGATGTGACTGGTATATTTGGTCTCAAATATGTAATCTTTTCTAATGTTATCTTTAGCATGCGTATGACATTGTGTATTTACTGTGTTTTTCTCTATATGTGATCTGTTTCATTGGATTATTTCTATCCCTTTTAGAAGTTAAAAAAAAAAATAAAAAAAATTGGCAAGTGGTACTGGTAAATGAAAAAATAAATAAAAATTTTTTTTTAGAGATGGGTCTTGCTGTGTTGCTCAGGCCGGTCTCCAACTCCTGGCCTCAAGTGATCCTCCCACATCAGCCTCCCTGGTAGCTGGGATCCTCCTGCCTCAGACTCCCTGGAACTGCCACACCTGGCTTTTTACATTCTTTAATCGCTTTGTTAAATTGAGATGAAATTCACATAACATAAACTTAACCATCTTAGGAGGGTGATGTCAGCAAGGTGACATAGTAGGAGATACCAGCCTTCATCTCCTCACAAAGGGCAACAATTAAGCAGCTATCCACAAATGAAAAAAGCCTTTGGAGGGCTCAAGGGTCCAATTAAGAATGTGCCCAGCAACACAGTGGAACAATGGATGGATAATGACCCCCGCTAAAGGATCACTGGAGAGACAGCCTAGCTGTGGCACATCGAGATGGCTAGGAACAAAGAAATTGGGAAGGGCCATCATTCAGCTATGCAGTCGGTTCTGTCACAGCCCCCAGTGGCCTGCTCTTCAGAGAACAGCAGAAGCTTTTGCCACTGATGTAACCAACAGCCATCACTGCCATGAACCCCTCAGAGAAGGAGATGCTGCTCTTTACCTTCCCACAGAAATTAGACACTGTTGTGCCAGTGGGGACCAGGACTGCCACCCACCCCTCCAACCCTCTACCCATCCCAGACCCCAGAGCTGTGGCTGCTCTGTGCACACCATGCTCCAGACCCCACCTCCACCACTGCGACATGAACTCCTGTGCCTCAGACGTCAGAGACAATGCCACAGCAAGCACGCCCCAGTCCCTGGAGCCCCTGGCCCCATGACAGCTCCATGAACACCTGCACGACAGACACTGGAGCCACCACTCCAACAGGCATGTCCCTGGAGCAGCAGTAGCCCTGCTCATACCTGCACTCCAGAGTCCAACTCCACAGCCACTGTAAGAGTACCCACACCTTGCATACCATTGCCAATGAGGCAGTGAGGGCTCCTGCACCCAAGATGCTAGTGCCACCGCCACAGCAAAGCTTGGAGCTGTCGTCCCCTTACACATGCATGCACTCACGATTCCAGCTCCATGGCCATTCCACAGGCACCACTCATTGACACCAATGCCACTGCTGCTGCCATAAAAAGATTTTCCTCCAAGATCAGGAACAAGACAAGGATGCCCACTCTTACCACTTCCATTCAACAAAGTAGTGGAAGTCCTAGCCAGACGAAACTGACAAGATAAAGAAATAAAAGGGATCCAAATAGGAAAGTAGAATTTAATTTTTTTTTTTGCAGATGATATAATCTTAGGTATAGAAAACCCTAAAGACCATCATAAAACTGTTAGAATTAATAAATAAATTCAGTAAAGTTGCAGGATGCAAAAGCAACATACAAAAAATCAGTTGTGTTTCTATTCACTAAAAACAAACTATCTGAAACAGAAATTTAAAAAAACTATCCAATTTACAATAGCATCAAAAAGAGTAAAATACTTAGGAACAAATTAAACCAAGGAAGTGAAAGATCCATACACTAAAACCTGTAAAACATTAGTAAAAGGAATAGAAGAAGACACAAATAAATGGAAGTACATCCTATGTTTATGGATCAGAATAATCAATATTATCAAAATGCCCATAATACCAAAGCAATCTGCAGATTCAATGCAATCCACAGATTCAATGCAATCCCCATCAAAATTCCAAAAAAGCCACAAATATCAACTCTGAATAAGAAGAACAAATCTGGAAGCACCGCATTGCCTGATTTCAAATTATATTACAAAGCAAGAGTAATAAAAACAGTATGATACTGGCATAAAAACAGCCACATAGACCATTGGAACACAATAGAAACATCAGAAGTGAACCCACACGTATAATTAATCCTTAACTAAGGCACCAAGAAGACACAATGGAGAAAGGATAGTCTCTTCCAACTGGTGCTGGGAACACTGGATATCCAAATGCGAAAGAAAAAAAGAAAGAAAAACTGGATCCTTACCTTACGGGCCACACAAAAATTAACTCAAAGTGGATTAAAGACTTTCAGTGTAACAATGTAAAGTACATCAAACTAAAAATATATGCACACCAAGGAAACAGTCAACAAAATAAAAAGGCAATATTTCTTCCACGAAATGGAAGAAAATAGTCACAAACCATGTATATGATAAAGAGTCAATATTGAAAATTTATACAACTCAATAGCATGCAAACAAATAGGACAATTTAAAAATGGGCAAAAGACTTGAATAAACATCCCTCCAAAAAATATATATAAATAGCCAAGAGGTATATGAAAAGGTGCTCAATATTAGTAATCATCAGGAAAATGCAAATCACAACCACAGTGAGATATAACCTTACTCTAGTTGTAATGGCCATTATCAAAATGTCAAAAGGTAACAAGTGTTGATGAGGATGTGGAGAAAAGGGATCCTTTATACCTTGTCATGGGAAACACTATGAAGTTTCTCAAAAAATGAAAAACAGAATTACCATTTGATCCAGGAATCCCACTACAGAGTATCTATCCAAAGGAAATGAAATTGGTTTGTTAAAGAGTTATCTGTACTCCCAAGTTCACTGCGGCATTATTCACAATAGCCGAGAGATGGAATCAACTTAGGTGTCCCTGGATAAAGAAAGAAATTGTGATGTCTACACACACACACACACACTCACACACACACAGGAATAATCAACTTAAAAAAAAGCAGTGTGGGTGCCAGGTGCAGTGGCTCATGCCTGCAATCCCAGCACTTTGGGAGGCTGAAGTGGACGGATCACTTGAGGTAACAAGTTCGAGACCAGCCTGGCCAACATGGTGAAACCTCATCTCTACTAAAATACAAAAATTAGCCGGGCATGGTGGTGCATGCCTGTAAACCCAGCTACTCGGAAGGCTGAGGCACGGGAATTGCTTGAACCCGGGAGGTGGAGGTTGCAGTGAGACGAGATTGTGCCACTGTACTCCAGCCTGGGTGACAGAGTAACACTCCATCTCAAAAAAAAAAAAAAAAAAAAAGAATCCTGTCATTTGCAACAATGTGGATAAACCTGGAGGACATTACTTTAAGTGAAATAAGCCAGATACAGAAATACAAATACACATGCTCTCACTTTCATATGAAATGTAGTAATGTAGAACTCAAGGAAGCAGAGTAGCAGAGCAGTTATTCCAGGGGCTGGGAGGTAGGAAAAATGGGGAGATGTTGGCTAAAGGGTACAATCTTGGAGTTATGAGATGAATACGTTCTGAAGATCTCATGTACATTGCGATGGCTGTGGTTAATAATGTATATGTAAAATTTGCAGAGATGGTGGAACTGATGTATTCTCACTACAGAAAAAAAGGTAACTATGTGAGGTGATGGAAATGTTAATTAGCTTGATGGAAATCATTTCACAATGTACACGTATATCAAAACATCACTTTGTATACATTACATATTTATATATTTTACTTGTCAGTTATACCTCCATCAACAAAACTGAAAAAAAAAAACTAACCATTTTAAAGTGAACGATTGGGTGGTATTTAATCCATTCACCATGCTGTGCAACCACCACCTCTATCTCATTCCAAAACATTTTTTATCACCCAGAGAGAAAACCTTGTACCTATTAAGCAGTTGACCCCCATTTTCTTCTTTCCCTCAGCCCCCTGGCAACCGCCAGTCTGCAATCTGTCTCTATAGATCTTCCGTTGCTTTTCTGAGTGTGTGGTAAAATATATATAACGCAAAATTTGCCATTTTAAACCATTAAGTGTACAATTCAGTGGCATTGATTACGTTTGCAATGTTGTGCAACCATCACTATTATTTCCAAATCTTTTTCATAATCCCAAACAGAAACTCTATACCCATTAAGCAATAATTCCCCATTCTCTCCTCCCCCCACTTCCTAGTAACTTCTATTCTACTTTCCTTCTCTATTAATTTGCTTGTTCTAGATACATCATAGAAATGGGATCATACAATATTTGTCCCTTTGTGTCTGGCTTATTTCATTTTGCACAGTGTCTTCAAGGTTCATCCATGTGTAGCCTTTATCAGAACTTCATTTCTTTTTATGGTGAAATATACCATGTGTACACACCATATGTTGTTCAGCATTCATCTGGTGATGGATACTTGAGTTTTTTCCACTTTGGGGCTATTGTGAATAATGCTGCTGCTATGAACATTCTCATACAAGTATCTGTTTGAGTCCCAGTTTTCAATTATTTTGGGTATATATCTAAAAGTAGAATTGTTGGATCATATGGTCATTCTATGTTTAACTTTTTAAGGAACTGCCAGACTGTTTTATACAATGGCTGCACCATTTTACATTCCCCCCAGCAATGTATGAGGCTTCCAGTTTCTCCACATTCTTGCCAACACTTGTTATTTTCTGTGTTCTTGATTACAGCCATCCTAGTAGGTGTGAGGTGTAATCTCGTTATGGTTTTGATTTGCATTTCTCTAAGAACTAATAATGTTGAGCATCTTTTCATGTGCTTATTGGCTATTTCTATAAGTTCTTTGGATAAATTTCTATTCAAATCTTTTATTTTGTTTTTTGTGTTTTTGTTGTTGAGTTGTAGGAATTCTTTATATATCCTGAGTATTAAACCTTTATCCCTTAATCAGATATATAATTTGCAAAAAAACATTTCTCCTATTCAGTGGGTTGTCTTTTCACTCTCTAGAAAATGCATATTTATTTTTATATTTATGGCATTTTTTATTTTATTCTACTACTGTTCTTTATAAAGATAAGTCACCCCTCCCCTTTCCTTACTTGCACATATTCTATGTGAATTGTCAGTTGTAAATCAAATCTTTTAATTCTATTTTCTATTTGGCAATTACTAAACTTATTTTACACTGACTTTCCTCTCTCTCCTCCCAGGTTTTCGGCTTTGTTGTTTCTTTGAATATGTATGTAAGTTTCATATTGTTTCTCCATTCTTGTCTTTATGCTTGTCTTAGTCTTTAAAGATTAATAAATTCAGTGCTCACTAAGAGATGTTTTGTTAACGTTTCCATGACTTTCTCTTGGTTGGATAAAGCTCATATTCAACTAAATTTCTTAGGTGGGGCTCCCAAATGTTGTACTATGTCTTGCATTTTCAAAACTTTTTCTTTACCTTTAATATTGGAAGGACAGTTTGGCTAAATATAAAATCCTTGGCTCACATTTTCATGAGTTTAAAAAAAAATCTTTTACTTTTGTTTTGCTTTGGATGTTGCTGTCAGGCTATCTAATGCCAAGCTGATTTCCTTTTTTATAACAGCTTGGGTTTTAACCTTGAGAACTAAAGGATTTTTTTTTCCCTTTATCAAGTCTGATTATTTTACTGAGATATCTCATGGTTGGCTATTCTGATTCAAAATTTCCAGGTCCACAGGAGATCCTTCCAATATGTATAGTTAGTTCTTCAATTTCAGAAATATTGGTTTGGATTATATTTAAGTATTAGTGCAGTTCTTTTTCCATTTTCTGAAACTTCAATTATATGTATGTTGAGTCTCTTTTGCCGACCTTCTATAGCTATCTTAATTTCTCTTGGATCCCTTCACCTCTTTCTTATTTTGTCTTCTTTGTTTTGGCTATCTTTACTCCTCTATTCAGTGTTCCTTATATTTTGAATCAGTATTTTTTCTTGTAATCTAAATTTTTGAGATGATTTTCCTTTTTTCCCTTTAGTTTGGTTAACTCTTATTTCACAACTGTTTTTTTGTATTTCCCGATTTCATGGAACATCTTGAGATGTCTTTCATATCTTCAAATGTTTGTTCAAGGCGAGTTACATTTAATGCTGGTTGAAAGGTGAGTCTTCCCTGCCTTTTGTGGGGAGAGGGAGGAGGAGGACTAGAAAACTTCAGTCAAATTCTCACGCTGTGTTTTCTTCTTACAGTAACTTTGTATGTATATCAGCTGTAATTTTCTGTTATTTGAAATACATTACGTTATTTTCATAGACCAGTAATAACACGTGATTATTTTAAAGGTAGGTGTAAAGAGTTTGCGTGGTTTACTAGGTTTCTTTCTCTTTTCTTTTTCATTTTTGTGATGGAGTCTCACTCTGTCGCCCAGGCTGGAGTGCAATGGGGTGATCTTGGCTCACTGCAACCTCGGCCTCCCAGGTTCAAGCAATTCTCCTGCCTCAGCCTCCTGAGTAGCTGGGATTATAGGCGCACACCACCATGCCCGGCTAATTTTTGTATTTTTAGTAGAGAAGGGGTTTTGCCATGTTGGCCAGGCTGGACTTACTAGGGTTCTTAATTTAAGTACTTTTTTTCTCGGCGTAGTAAGGTACAATTTTTTTTTAATAAATAGTGCCTCTGGGAAGGAAATGTTAACTGATTCTGTCATTTCCTTTTTTTTTTTTTTTTCTAAAGGCCCCTTAATTTTTGCCACGTGGTTCTTCCTTTCCTTTCACCTACAAGCATTCTGCTCCACGTTGCCTCCCCCTCTTCCAGAAACGGTGCTTTTCCAAAATAGCCATCATGTATTCTGAGCACTTTCAACTCCTTTCCTTCTAAGTCTCCTTTAGCCAGTGCTCTGCTCTACCAGCCCTGTTTTCAGAATTTCTTCAATCAGAGTGGGTCTCTATCTCTCTGGGGGTGATTTTTTTTCAGCGTTTTGCACAATTAGTCCCCAACCTGCACCGGGTTATTGTCTTCTCTTTTCTCTGTACTTTCATCTTTACTTTTGCATGAACTTTAGAATTGCCTTGGCTCATTCCGGATATTTCTCTTCCTGGTTACATCTGAATACAATTTTAAGACTTTTTTTCTCTTGTAGAGAAAAGCACACTGTAAACATATTTGGGGTAGTTTAACTTGTGCTTTTTTGCTGATTTGTATAGTTTTTGTAGGATGTAGGAATGTAGGAAAGATTTCAGTCTAGACTGCTGCTATTATTCCATGAGAATCAGGAAGTTTCTGTACCTCAGAGCTTTTATTTATTTATGTATTTATTTATTTTTGAGATGGAGTTTCACTCTTGTTGCCCAGGCTGGAGTGCAATGGCGCGATCTCAGCTCACTGCAACCTCCGCCTCCCGGGTTCAAGCAATTCTCCTGCCTCAGCCTCCCAAGTAGCTGGGATTACAGGCATGTACCACCACGCCCGGCTAATTTTTTATCGAGATCCGGCTGGTCTCGAACTCCTGGTCTCAGGTGATCCACCCACCTCGGCCTCCCAAAGTACTGAGATTACAGGCGTGAACCACCTCCCCTGGCCACTTTTATCTTAAGACAAGGGTGTGTAGAACTTACCTCCCAGTGTCATTTTTGGTACCAAGTGTCTTAATGCATATGGAACTCCTAGCACATAGTAAGTGCTCAGCAAATTTTGTTGTTATTGTTATCCTGATTCATGTTGTGAGTCTTCCCTACTTTGCTTGCTGTCCCAGGATCCTGATGCATCAAAGGTCCCCTGGCAGGGACAGCTCATCTGAGTCTCAGTTCTAGATTCTCTCTTAGTAGCACATATACCAGCCCTGTTTTACTTCCCAATTCGAGTTTGACAAGCAGTCATTTTTATCATTTCTAGAAATCCTTTTTGTAATATTCTGATCTTTTCCCACTGAGAATAAGTGCTTCCTCAAAAGCAATTAATCATAGAAGCAGATGGCATGGTAATGGTTACACATGCCTTATGGGTCCCAGCAGGAGGGCTGGGCGGGTGGCTCCGCCTTTCACTCAGCCTGCGCTACCTGCATGTGGTCGCTGTGCCATTTGGTATTTTATAAGATTCATTCTTCCAAATGGAGCTGCTTTTCCTTTCTTCTCCTTTGCATTTTTCAGTCCCCTTTTCCTGAGGTCTCATCCTTTTCTTGCACACTCTCTCTCCCTATTGTTACCATCTACCCTCTCTTGCACCCTTGACCACAAATAGGTAATTACTCTAGCGTGTGTAATTTGTATGGATAGCTTCCATTTACAGCATCTCTCTTCCCAGGTTGGAGTTAATATATGTCCCTCGTTCAGTTTCTCATTTTTTCCAGCTGCACTTACTAAACCATCACCATCTCAGGTACGGACTATATAGCAGGTAACAGAATGTAATGCATATATATATGTAATGCATTCTGGCCGTATGACTCACTTAGGATGAGGCACTGGGAAAAAAATTGATCCTTAGATCTCAAGCCCTTAATGAACAATGTTCATTCTTGTATCACCCCTCAAGCAATGGCTTATGCTATGCAAGGGGCAATTGTGGCAACACAGAAATGAAGAACACCAGAGTATTATTGCTCAAGAATACATGAAAGTCATTGCAGTCCGCTTCCTACTGTTGCATAGGAACTGTTCTTTGTATCTCTATTTCTCTAGTTCTCAAGAGAGTGCCTACTATGTAGAGTTGCTGGGAAATGTGGTAGGCTGAATAATGGTCCCCAAAGATATTCAGTTCCTAATCCGTGGAACCTGTGAACGTTATATCGTACAGCAAAAGGGCTTTGCAGTTGTGACTAAATTAAGGATCCTGAGATGGGAAGATAATCCTGGATTACTTGGGTGGGCCAAATATAAATTCAGGGATCCTTATGAGACAGAAGCAGGAGCTCAGAGAGGAAGTAAGACATGCAATAATTAAAGCAGAGGTTGGAATGAAGAAGGGGTCAGAGCTAAGGAATGCAGGTGGCCTCCAGAAGCCAGAAAAGGCAGGGAACAGATTCTGCTGTTGAAACTGATTGAAACTGATTTGGGACTTCTCGTTTCCAGAACCGGAAAAGAATAAATCTGTGTTGTTTTAAGCCGCTGTGTTTGTGGTAATTTTTTTACGGCAACAATAGGAATAGGAAACGAATAGAGGCGACAGCACTTACCTCTTTACAAGATTTATTTGCCTTTCACTTAACTTTTATTTTCATAGACAGGGCCTCACTCTGTTGCCCGGGCTTGTCTTGAGCACCAGGCCTCAAACGACCCTCCCACCTTGGTTTCCCAAAATGCGGGGAACACAAGTGTGAGCCATCATGCCCAGCCTTCACTTAACTTTTAACTCCAGAGTTAAGGGATTTGCTCAAGTTTGCGAGGATGGTTAGAGACAAAGTGGTCATTAGAACTAGGGAGGCCATATGTATCAGTTAGCTTCTGACACATAACAAATAACCTCAATTTTACTAGTTTTAAACAATAAAAATGTATTTAGCTAACGATTCAATGGATCATAAATTTAAGCTAGGCTCACCTGGATAGTGTATCTGCTGTGGAATAAGTTCATCTAGGCATCTGCAGTCAGCTACCAGGTCATTTTGGGGTCAGCTGGCCTGTGTTGGCCTCAGCCAGTAGGATTTGTTTGTACTCCACATGGTCTCTCAGGCTCCAAGAGGCCAGCTCAGGCATGTTCACATGGCACCTGGGCAGACTTCCAAGAGAAACAGTAAAAACAGGCAAGGTATGTGGAAGCCTTGGCTAGGAACTGGCACATGACATCCACTATGAGTTTTTTTGTCACTTTTTTTTTTTTTTTTTTGAGACAGAGTCTCCCTCTGTCACCCAGGCTGGAGTGCAATGGCACAATCTTGGCTCACTGCAACCTCCCAGGTCCAAGCGATTCTCTTGCCTCAGCCTCCCAAGTAGCTGAGATTACAGGCATGTACCACCACGCCTGGCTAATTTTTGTATTTTTAGTAGAGATGGGGTTTCGCCATATTGGCCAGGCTGGTCTTAAACTCCTAGGCTTGAAGTGATCCACCTGCCTCGGCCTCCCAAAGTGCTGGGATTACAGGTGTGCGCCACCACACCCAGCCACTTCCGCTTAGTTTTATTGGCCAATGTCAAGTCATAAGATGAGTCCAGATTCAAGGCAAAGGAAAAAGATCCCACTGTTTGATGAAGAAGCTGAAAAGTCTCATTGGAGAAGATGTTGATTCAGGGAGGAGGAGCCGTTTTTGTGATATTCCCTGTCATATGATTCACTTCTTAAACTGGTTCACTTTTGAGAATGAAAGGAGATGTTCCTTAGAATTATATCAAGCCAACGCATAGAAACTAGGACTGTCCCAGGTGTTAGGGTATTAAGACCCATGTCTCCTGACTCTCAGCCCAAGGCTTTTTCTACTTCCCCACACTGCATTATGATGCAACTTTCATGACATTGGGAAGACACCACAGAAACTTGCCGAAGATAGAGCTCAAATCCAAGTCCAAACCAAAGATTAGCATAAATGATATTCCTGGTGCACAGGTAAATACCTATAAATAATTTGTTTTCCCATTTCTCTCTGTAACCCAAGTATCTTCTTTACAACCCTTCCCTGAGGGCTTTTGCACATCTAAGCAGTTATCAAATGTATCATTGGCAACAAAGATAGGTGATGCTCTAAATTTGGCTAAGTTTGGTGCTAGGTGTACAGAATGTGTGTGTGTGTGTGTGTGTGTTCTATATGAACATGCATTTTATAAATATATACATAAAACGAAAATAATTTCCAGAGCTCCCAAGTGAAGCCTTTCATTTAAGTATGTATGGATGGAGTTCACCTCTGTGACATTAAACCTTGTCATAGATTTCTGTTGACCTGAGCTGCAGGGCATCTGGCCTCCTTTTCCAATTTTGCCAAGCCTCCCAAAAGCTTATTTCAAAAGCTTATTGTATAGCTTGGTTTATAAAAAGCACTATTTTTCTTTCAAATAATATAGTGTTTTTGAAATAGAATTTCTCCGTCAACTTTAGAAACTTTTGTACTATGGTTTAAAGTCATCAGCTGGGGCGTTTTGGAACTTACTTGAAAACCTAGAAATCCTAATGTATGTGTGGTAGCTTTTTAATAACATCCCAGCAGGCAGGCCTGTGGGCGGTTTCTCTGTTCTTGGAGAGACCACTCAGTTGAGAGTAGCTAATATATTTGGTTTCACCACTTCCGTTTTAGCATTCCTAGATCAAATCTCCATTTGATCAGTTTCCCCATTGATGAAGTCTAGAGGCCTCTGCTTAACTTTGGAGTCCCTCTAGAACCAGGCCTTACCTACATGTCCTGCCTTATCCTTGCAGCTCTCAGATATATATCATCTGCCAGCCCGTGAGGTTCATTCTCCTACTTTCCCCTAAACATGCATTTCCTGAGAAACACATCTCATCCCTCGTCTGATGGTGGAAGAAAGAGAAGAGCGCAGATGGCAGTGACAAAGGGAGACTACAGCTACACCATCACCGGGTGGGATGGTGGTGGGCAGCGTGTGTCTTCACACACAAATGCCTGTTGTCCCCATTCAGCATGGCTAGCATGGGAGGCCACATGCTCTGCAGTAAGAGAGGGCCCAACCTGCCCTCTCAGTCAGACTGTGCCCTAACCATCTGCAATGCTGTGCCCACCCTAAATTACTTCTTTGGTTCATCAGCTCTTCCCTCACCCTCGATCCCACCCCTTGCTGCTGCCAATTACAAGCATGATTGCCCTGCCCACTCCCCAGCCTCTTATGTTTGCACCCTTTACAGTTTCATCTATATACAAAAAGTGCCCACATCATAAGTGTACAGCTCCATACATTTTTATGGACTGAACATGTCCACGTAACCAGTATCCAAAATGAGAAGCAGAATATTGCCAGCATCCCTTAACTCCCCCCCTGGTATTTCCTTCTATTCCCTCACTTCCAAAGGTAACTACTATCCTGACTTCAAATACTATAGATTAGTTTTGCCCATTTCAAACTTCATAATGGGAAATCACACAGTGAATACTTTTCTGTGTCTGGTTTCATTTTCTTTTTTTCTTTTTTTTGAGACAGGTTCTCACTCTGTCATTCAGGCTGGAAAGCTGTGATGCGATCTTGGCTCGCTGCAATCTTGACTTGCTGAGCTAAGCGATCCTCCCGCCTCACCCTCCGAAGTAGCTGGGATCACAGGGGCATGCCACTGCACCTGGCTAATTTTTAAAAATATTTTTGTAGAGTCGGGGTCTTGCTTTGTTGCCCAGGCTGGTCTCAAACTCCTGGGCTTACGCGATCCCTCCCACCTTGGTCTCCCAAAGTGTTGGGATTACAGGCATGAGCCACCACACCTGATCAGGCTTCCTTTGCTTAATATTATGTTGTTCAGACTCAGCCATGTTGATGTATATAGTTGCAGATTGTTCATCCTTTTTACTTCACGATATCCCTTTGTTTAAAGATGCATGATGGGTTTACCCACTTTCTTGTTGCTGGGCATTTCCAGTTTGGGTTTTTTGTAAGTAGTGCTGCTATGAGCATTCTTATACATGTTTTTTGGTGAACCTGTATATGCATTTTTGTTGGGTGCATGCCTAGGAGTCAAATTTCTAGGGCCATGTGGCCCAGGCCTGTTCAGTTTTAATAGATCCTGCCGATTGGTTTCCTAGGATGGAAACGATTATACACAGCAGTGTGTGAGCTTCCTGTTTGCTCCACATCCTCATTAATAGTATTTTCTGTCTTTTCACTTTACCTATTTGGTGGAAGTGTAGTAGTATGGCTGTTGTTTTCATTTTAATCTCCCTGCTGACTAAGGAAATAGAGAGAATTGGATTTTTTTGGTTTTTTTGAGACAGGGTCTCGCTTTGTTGCCCAGGCTAGAGTGCAGTAGTGCAACCATAGCTCACTCCAGCCTTGACCTCTTGGGCTCAGGCGATCCCCCCACCTCAGCCTTCCAAGTAGCTGAATTTGCAGGCAGGCACCATCACACCTGGCTAATTGTTTTAATTTTTGTAGAGATGGTGTCTCACTTTGTTGCCCAGGCTAGTCTCAAACTCTTGGGCCCAAGCAGTTCTCCCACCTTGGCCTCCCAAAGTCCTGGGATTACAGGCATGAGCCACCCCACCTGGTCAGGATTGGGTTTTGTAAGCCCGCAGCCCAGTGCTCCAGGGGGTCCCATGGAGACCCAGGTAGTCTTCCACAGAAGCCTGGCCCTTGCCTGCTCTCTGTTGAGTATGGGGCTTCCCACCCAGGCAGCCTCGTCGGGGTGGAGGGGCTGGGTTCTGGGGAATAGCACATTTACTCCTGATGGAGTCAGTTCTCAAAATAGTCAAAAATTCATGGCTGTCATAAAAATTTAAACACTCTTCCCCAGCTCTCTGGAACTTTGATCAAAAATGCAAATATTTGACTAATGTGCTTGGTGCAGGGTTGTTCACCACTGGGACAAAGAGCTTATGAGCAACAAATTTGCCAAGATAAAGCTGTGCGTTGGGTTGTGGTTGGAGAAAGCCATACTCACATTGCACACCTCAGGCAACCCCTGAATCCTCTGGCCTTCCTGGAAGGCCACTATTCCTGTGGTCCCGGGCAGGAGGCCTGTGCAAGACCCAAAGGCCATTCCAGAGAGACACTAGCCACCCCAGCGCAGTTCTCCTCTCAAGTTTCTTACCCTCCATGAAAGTCCTGTGGACTCAGAGCCTCTCTTAACTGAAACAATTAGAAGTATCTCCATGGAAATATAAAAGCTTTTTTTTTCTTTTTTTGAGATGGAGTCTCACTCTGTCATCCAGGCTAGAGTGCAGTGGCACGACCTTGGCTCACTGCAACCTCCGCCTGCCGGGGTCAAGCAATTCTCCTACCTCAGCCTCCCATGCAGCTGGGATTACAGGCGTGCACCACCATACCCGGCTAATTTTTGTATTTTTAGTAGAGACGGGGTTTTGCCATGTTGGCCAGGCTGGTCTCGAATTCCTGACCTCAGGTGATCCTCCCACCTTGGCCTCCCAAAGTGCTGGGATTACAGAGGTGAGCCACCGCACCCAGCCCCAACATACAGGCTTTATCATTAGACTTTTGTCCAACAAGACTTTCCTGTTACGTGACCTCCAGTGAGTTTCCTGACCTGCTTTTTCACTTTGCAGAGGAAGATGCAAAGTTCAGAGAAATGACTCCATGCAGTCCTCTCAATCACTCCATGTAGTAGGTGCTATTATCATAAGTTCCTGTTGTGCAGATCTTCATGGCAGTAATTGTTTTTCCAATGAGGCGACCATTGCTCAAAACTATGATGTCCCATCCTCTCCTTCTGAGGATGGATAACCAAACTCAGCGATCTTCTTTTCAATAGAAACTTGAAGTGCTGAGATTGTTTTTCTTGGGTAGGCTAAAATAGAGCCACAAAAGGTCTTTCTTTTCCACCTCCATCCTCAGTTTCCAAAAAGATTGTTCTGGAGAGTGAGACTTAGCTGGTTGTTTAATTTATTTTCTTCATTGTCTTTTGTTTTTTGAGACAGGCTCTTGATCTGTCACCCAGGCTGGAGTGCAGTGGTGCAATCACAGCCCACAGTGCCTTGACCTCCCAGGCTCAGGAAATCTTCCCACCTCAGTCTTCAGAGTAGCTGGGACTACAGGGGTCCCAGCACCACTGCACTCAGCTAATTAAATCTTTTTTTGAGAAAAAAATTTTGAGGGGTCTCACTGCATTGCCCAGACTGGTCTCAATCTCCTGGACTCAAGTGATCCTCCGACCTTGGCCTCCCAAAGTGCTGGGATTACAGGTGTGAGCCACTGCACCTGGCAGGGTGTTTAATTTCTGTATGTCCACGGGCAAGCATCTGCTTTCTCTTTACTTGGTAATTACTTCTTGTCTAGAAGTAGAGGAGCTGTATCTAGCCCCCATCTGATGTTCTATTCGGCTGTTCTACTTTAAATTTCCTTCCCCTCTTTTCTTGACCGGCCTTTGTTCTTTTCACCAATCAAAGCTGAGCCCTTTATTGCCTAGAAAACCCCATCAACCACCCCTGCCCCTGGACTACAGCAACTTACAATTGGCATGAAACAATTTCGTTGGCAATGACCTTCTGTCCTAAATACTCTTTGCTTCCTGGGTGTTAGTCTTTTTGTACAGCCTACAACACAGTTATAAACTCTTTGAGGGCTGGCGCGACTCACTCAACCATTTACCTATCAGATCCCGGACGAGGTGATCAATATTTTGTTACTGATTATTTCAGTTGTGTTCTCAATCATATACATTAACGTTTTTCGTGGTTTTAATGCTTGCACCTTGTGGTGTGGTCATTTTTGTGTGTGCTGCTGCTGACTTTTTTCCCCAAGTAAAATCTTTTTCTTTGGGTATTGGGGAAAGTGGTGCAACATTTGGAGGAAGGGCCTCTACAAAAGTAGTTAGATGTTATCTGTATTTTCCTTTTTATTCTTGGCACGATCCTAATCCCCCCACATTTTTTTCTGGACATCTCCTTCCACGCTGATGGTGAGAATTCCTTAAGGCAGAACTTAATAGCTGCGTTGCCGATCTTCGGCTGTCAAGGTGTGGGTTCCTGGGAATAGCACATTCACTCCTATGGAGTCAGTTCTCAAATTTGTCAAAAATTCATGGCTATACTGAAAATTTAAACACTCTTCCCTGGCTCTCTAGAACGTTAATCAAAGATGCTAATATTTAACTAATGTGCTAGGTGCAGGGTTGTTCAACATCAGGATAAGGTGGTTGTGAGCAGTGAGTTTGCCAACATTCAGGAAAGGAGGAGAAAGAAAGGCAAAGTCTAGATCATTCCCAAGTTCAGCATCAGCCCTTGAACAACTGAGAGTTAACTGCCTTCGCTCTGTGTTTTCCCCTTAGTTTCAGTAGTTTTTGTCATTTTTCAAAGGCATGACCCCCTGGTTGCGCCCACAGTGATTGAGAGCACGTCTATCTCCCTTACAAGAAAGAGGTCATGGTGCCAGGGCCTCGTGTCACCCCCAGCTTCCACTCCCCCACTTCCAGGCTGGTTTCATTTCTCTTCTCTTTGCCCTTTGGCTTTTCTTTTCTTCAGAAATTTCAATTTTCCTTGCACCGAACGTATTAAAATTTAACAGTCACAGAATCTCGGTGTGTGACACGTGATGGCTTTCCCGATAACTTCATTTTCCTCTGTCATTGAAGAGGCCATTTTCAAAGTCACCCTGGACCGTGAACAGTTCTCACTTAATGCTTATTTGATTGTGTTTGTACACTGAAATTTTTGTCCTTTTGTCTCCTTGAGTCTGCTTTCTTTGGCCTACTACTAATAATATTATAATATGGGAAATAATAGTAATATAGGACATTTTAAATTCTCTCCTCTAAGAAGAGGCCAATACTGGAGAGTGAATACTTGATAAATCAAACTCCCCCTGTCCCCATCCCATACCACCCCATCTCTCTCAATTCCTCACTAAGTGGCTTCCAAGGATGGAGAATGAAGATGAGGAGGCCACATGTCTGGCTTCTGCCTTGCTGAGTGGGCGGTGGCAGTTGGAGGTGATCTGAGGAACTGTGTGGGAGAGGGGGAAGAAATAATGGGATAGATTTTGGTGGAAGGGTCTTCAGGAAATGAGGAGAGATATTGAAAGAAAAGTTGTGTGAGATTTTGCTATCCGGTGTGTGATTTCCTGATTTCCACCCCACCCCTGCCAAATCTCTTGTTTGTTTATTTATATGTTTTTGAGATGGAGTCTTGCTCTGTAGCCCAGGCTGGAGTGTGGTAGTGCAACGTCGGCTCACTGCATCCTCCGCCTCCCAGGTTCAAGCAATTCTCCTGCCTCAGCCTCCCAAGTAGCTGGGATTACAGGTACCCGCCACCATGCCTGGACAATTTTTGTATTTTTAGTGGAGATGGGGTTTCACCATGTTGGCCAGGCTGGTCTTCAACTCCTGACCTCAGGTGAACTGCTCACCTTGGCCTCCCAAAGTGCTGGGATTGCAGGTGTGAGCCACCATACTCAACCAAATCTCTTGTTTAGTTTCAGGATTAACGTGTGGCAGAGTGGGGCACCTATTCTACAAAAATGGTTTAGTGCCAGGTGTGACTTCAAGGTGAGCACAGACCATGAGTGGAAGTGAACTAAGCCCTTCCCCAGCCCCTCTGCTCCAGTTAGTTTAAAACTGCCTCCCTCAACGTGTGACCAGAGAACATAAAGTGCTCTGGGACTCTGGGATGTAGGAGTTAGTCTAAGATGAGAAAACTACCACCATCTCCTCGGGGTCTCATCTACACAGGGAGCCTGTGCACTCTCCGGTCCCCTCAAGCCCAAGTGTGCTGTGAAGTTTGACAGGTGTCATCTCTGGGGTTTCTAAAAGGCTCCCACTAAAGGATGCTTTGTGAAAGTCTGGTTTTCCTTATCAGACACGAATCACCTAAGTCTCTCCTTGTACCCAGATGGCTAAATTTGGTTTATATGATCTCACTGTGACCTTCTCTTGAACAGCTCTGTGCGTGCTGCCAAAATGAAAATGAACAATGTCAGTGCCATGATGTCCAGTTGAGCTGTGACCTGGATTCTGGTCTCGCATACACAGAAGCAACTGAAAGCTGAGAATGAGGGGCCGCCGATGGCTGGGTGTGTGGGGGCATTGTATTACTTGAGCCCATCCCTTGAAAAGCTTAGGAGTCCTCCACCTCCACTGGGAACTCATCAACTCCTGGCAAGAAGAATGTCCCTGGGCACAGGGGACAGGGATCAGCTGTCCGAGGTGAGAGTCCTCCCTGGTGAGCCCACACCTCCACGTGGGGCACTGCAGGCTGTGAAGAAAGGTGAGCAAGATGACAGTGTCGCTGCTGCTCCAGAAAGTAGGATGCAGGGCCCATCTGGCCTCGGCCCCCACACTTCTCACTCCCTGCTCTGTTGGTGCCAAGGCTTGACTTGCCTGTGAAAGGAAATGAGAAAATCACCTTGGAATTAAAAGACCAACAACAAATAGTCAACCTTGGAAGGGTCGGGCTGAAGACTCTTTTCGAAATACAGATGGAGGATAGAACAGAATGCTTGGGACCAGAAGTGTTTTGGACTTTGGACTTTTAGATTTTGGAGTATTGTCATTGTATTTACTGGCTGAGCATCTCAGATCTGAAAATCTGAAATCCAAAATGTTCCAACGTGCATTTCCTTTGAGCATCATGTCCGCCCTGAAAAAGTTTTGTATTTTGGAACATTTTAGATTTTTGGATTTGGGATGCTCAAACCTGTATTAGGTTGAACCATATAAAACTGCCAGCGTTGGTCATTTTTGACCAGCAAAAATGTCAATTTCATATGGTTCAAACTGACGTGATGGTGATTCCCCTTCTAAGTCTTCCCACTGCATTTGGAATAAAGACCATTTTTTTATTTTTATTTTTTTCTTTTGAGACAAGGTCTTGCTCTGTTCCTGGGCTGGATTGCATTGGTGCTATCATAGCTCACTGCAGCCCTGAACTCCTGAGCTCAAGTGATCATCGTCTCAGTCTCTTGAGTAGCCGGGACTACAAGTGCCTGCCATCAGGCCTGGCTAATTTTTTATTTTTTGTAGAGACAGCATCTTACTACATTGTCCAGTCTGCTCTCGAACTCCTGGGCTCAAGTGATCCTCCTGTCTCAGCCTCCCAAAGTGCTGGGATTACAGGTGTGATTGGCCTAAGACCAAATATTCTTGACTGAGCCCACCGGGCTCCCCCAACTCTCTGTCCAGCTTCACGGCTATACTTTTTGATCCTGCTATTCTCCTAACAACCTCTCCACCTCTTAGTCTTGCTCATTCTGTGCCCTTCCTGAAGGATCCCCTCTCTTCCCCAAGTAACTCATCCTTCAGATATGTGTTTGAATGCCAGTTTCATGGGAAGTCTTTTCTGACTAGGCTTTTCTGCTCCTCAATGTGCTCAGAGCACCTTCACTTTCCCTAGGAGGTGTGATCCCGGCTTGTATTGATGGATCAGTGTCCGTGTTGGATGCTTGCCTCTCCCCCAAGGGGCCCTGCAGCCAGACACCTGGAGGTCCCTCCATGTGATTGGTCATGGAAGCTTTGCCTTGTTGATACTTGTTTGAATGCTCTGTATTGAAGTAATAATTTGCATGACCATACGATAAAGGATTTTGCATTCTCTGTTCAATAGGAACTTTACCAACAGCCCTCAGACCATGAGAGTCAGTGAAAGTAATCAGAGGGCTCTGCCTTTTCTCTGCATCCCCTCCAGCGGTGCCACTACCAGTAGGGCCTTACCCCAGCCTGGCTCCCTGTCTAGACTTCTGGTAGCACCTCACTAGACTGAGTCTTGAAGGCAGAAACTGCTTGCCAATCGCTGCACAGGACATGAGGAAGGGCAGTGGTGAGTGCAATGAAAACAGTAGACATTCAACAAATATTTGTTGTTTGCATGAAACCTCAAGACAAGAGAGATAAAAGCTTTATTACCTTTAGGCTGGAAATCCCTTTACCCTAGGAAAACTTCCCCAGCCCCAAGGAGCCATGCAGCTTCCCCCTGCTTATAGCTCAGCAGTCTCCTGCTCGCTCTTTTCTTCCTGGCTCTCAGGGGCTAGCATAAGGCCAGCGTAAAAGCCCTTGTATAAACTTTCTTTCTTCCCTGGAGAAAACCTTTCAGCTAGCTCTAAGGACCACTGGGGTCCTCCCACTTCATTCTTATTTTCAGCCTGCAGTAAACATTTAGTTCACAACTGATTTGCTGTTCTGGGGTGTTCATGACAGTCACATGAACTCCAGTGAGCAACCTGGCTAGTCCAGCTCTTAGCTAAAAACTCATTCCTCTTTCATCTGCACATTTCTGTACCCCACTCAAGTAAGTCTTTGCCTGTACCAGTTATCTAAAATCGCAAAACCAGTAACTTACCAAAATAAGTTTCACAAGTCTATGGGCTGGTGAGGTGTTTATTGCTGGGCTAGGCATGGCTGCTTTCGGCGGGGCTGGTTCAGCAATCTGCTGTCAGCTGCATGATCGAAGGTGGCCTCAGATGGGCTGTGTCGGCCCTGCTCCTCATGGTCCTTCTCCAGCAGGCTGGCCTGGCCTTGTTCATATGGGGACTGCGGGGCTTCAAGAAGAAGTACAGAAGTTGTAGCCTCTTGAGGTCTGGGCTCAGAACTGCCTGGCTCCCTGTTACTTCTTCACATACCACTGACCTACCCAAGTTGCAGGGCCAGTGCAAATTCAAGAGATGGGCCATAGATGCTACCCCTTGATGGTAGGAGAAAGTTACATTGCAGAGGGTGTGATTCAGGGAAGGATAAAAATTGGGCCCTTTTTTGCCTTCCAGCCTCCACGTGTCCCCATATACAGGGAAACTGCCTTAAAAGCCAAGTCATTACAATGATATTAGCCCAGAATATCGTTATTCTGATAATCAGAATTCGCCTGTTCTAGCTGAGGAAACTCCTGAGCTGCTCATAGGCATTTAGATATAAACAAAGCTGGAGCCAAATTTGGGTGGAGTTAACTGGATTCTGTCCCCAAGACTCCTTGTGGATGTAAGGTCAAAATTTAGGTAACAATGCAGTTTTGCAGGTCTGTCTGGCATTGTACCTGTAGTCCCTGAAGTGAGTATTTCTGAAGAGGAAGGAGAAATAAACCAAAGCAAATCAGAATAAGAAAACTCCAATTTCCCCTTTAGAGTGGTAAAATCTTTTTTTTTTTCTTTTTCAGACGGAGTCTCTGTCATGCAGTGGTGTGATCTCGGCTCACTGCAACCTCCACCTCCCGGATTCAAGCGATTCTCTTGCCTCAGCCTCCCGAGTAGCTGGGATTACAGCCACCTGCCACCATGCCTGGCTGGTTTTTGTATTTTCAGTAGAGACAAGGTTTCACCATTTTTGCCAGGCTGGTCTCGAACTCCTGATCTCAGGCGATCTGCCCTCCTCAGTCTCCCAAAGTGCTGGGATTACAGCCGTGAGCCACCATGCCGGGCCTAGAGTGGTAAAATCTTAATAAGATTTATAGACCAGTTAGCAGCTTTTTGCTGATGTGCTGTATTCTGTACTGTACAGTTAGCATTGCAGGAATCAGGATGGTGAAGGGTACACAGGACCCTCTCTGTATTATTTTTGCAACTTCCTATGAGTCTACAATTATTTCAGGATACTGAGTTAAAAATAACTGGAATATGTACATTGTTAGTTTGTACAATTATAATTAAGCACCTGCCACCGCCTGGCGTTTACAAATTGCTAACTGGCACGGTCACCACTTCTTCAGATCAGCATCTATCAGCTCACTCCCATGTTGTTACTTGGTCTCCCAGGGAAAAAAAACACTAAGAGAGGAGGAAAAGAAACAACAGGCACATTCTCTTTTGTTACGTTATTTCTCATAATAAACCTTTTCACTTTATCTATATCTATCTATCTATCTATCTATATTATATGTATGTATATATATATCTGTATTTAATTCTTTTAAATGAAGTTATAGATTACTGGATTGTTACTTGATAAGTTATGTATGGAAAATATCACCAACTACAATGAACATCATTTGTTTAATCATGTAAATGCTGTAAAAGTTTAAACTTATCTATTTATTTTTACTTGTTTTCCCATTGAATTTCATGATTCGGTTTCTTTTTTCTTCCTTATCTGAATCTGAAACCCAAAACCTTTGAGGTTAGTATTCCAGAATCAGCAGTCAGGGCTAACTATCCTTTGGGCTGACGTATGGCTAAGCGAGGATTGGCTGGGAGACCTGGGAGAGGGCTGGCTCCCCTCTCTGCTCTGCCGCCATAGCTGGTTTCTGTCTGATGCCCAGTTTGAGGACTAGGGGATGCCTGGGTCTTGCATGCATGCTTTTTTGTCTAACCCAGGACTCAGCACTTCATGGGGAATGCCTGCCAGCCTCAATCCTCATCCTTTGAGATAAGGCAGAATTTCCCAAACTAACATTTAGAAGAACCCTCTCTAGGAGGTTAATAGATATTATATAGCGTATCCGGGCATGGTGGCTCACGCCTGTAATCCCAGCACTGTGGGAGGCCGAGGTAGGCACTTGAGGCCAGGAGTTTGAGACCAGCCTGGCCAACATAGTGAAACCCTGTCTCTACTAAAATTACAAAAAATTACCCAGGTGTGGTGGCAGGCACCTGTAATCCTAGCTACTCAGGAGACTGAGGCAGGAGAATCACTTGAACCTGGGAGGCAGAGGTTGCAGTGAGCTGAGACTGTGCCACTGCAATCCAGCCTGGGAGATAGAGTGAGACTCCGTTTCAAAAAAGGAAAAAAAAATGATATAGGATAAGAAACGTTCCATTTTCAACTATGTTTGGAGAGATAATACATCACAATCATTGGACAAATTTGATAAATATGCTCTACATTTTGAAGTATTTAAGGGCACCACCCTAATTTTTTTTAAAATAATTTTTTGTAAATATGAGGTCTTGCCATATTGCCCAGGCTGCTCTCAAACTCCTGGCCTCAAGCAATTCTTGCACCTCGGCTTTCCAAAGTGCTGGGATTACAGGTGTGAGCCACTGTGCCTGGCCAACCACCCTAAATTCAAACTCAACTTTCATAAGAGGATCTGACCTCTATAATGTACATTAAGCCATCGTTACATTAGGGTTATTTTTTTCATTGCATTACCTTTCCCAGGAATATTTGCTTTTAAAGATGCTAATGGAAAAATTAAAGTTAAATTATTTAAGGATATATAGGCATAGGATGGAGGTATTTCAGGGAAGACATGGAGGGAAGACAGCTGGCTGCCGAATGCCCCCAAGCATGACCCTCTCTCCCAGGTCCAGCTCTCCATTCTCATGGCTGTGTCCCTGTGAGCTGATGGCTGCCCACTCTGTATTATGGCTCCTGACCTCTCTCACTACCTCTTCCACACCCATGTGTCCAGCTGCTGATGGCTTCCAATCTCTTGGATGTTCAAATTCAACATAGCCAATGCCACCAAAGCATGGTGGCACCCGCCTGCAGTCCCATCTACTTGGGAAGGTGAGGTGGGAGGATCACTTGAGCCTAGGAGGTCAAGGCTACAGTGAGCCGTGATCACACGCTGCACTCCAGCCTGAGCAACAGAGCAAGACCCTGTCTCTATTTTTAAATAAACAATCCAAATAGAAAGCCTCTTCTGCCTGTCTTTCTACAGCTAAAACCTGTTCCTCCCCTAGTATTTTCTTTATCAATGGGTGACATCATTTCCTACTCATTTGCCCAAGACAGAAATTTATTTAGGTCAGATTTATTGAGATATAATTGACATAGATTAACATTCGCCATTTTGGTGCACAGCTCTGTGAGTTTTAATAAAAGCTTATAGTCATGTAACCACTTCCATACTCAGGGTACAGAACGGTTCCACCACCCCTAAAGCTTCACTCATGCCCTTTGTACCCAAATTGTGTCCCAAGCCCCTGTGCATGGAAACAACTGATCTGTTTTTTGTCCCTGTAGTTTTGTCTTTTCCAGAATGTTATATAAATAGAATTGTACACTATGTAGCTTATTCATCTTTGTTACTGTGTTGGCGATTCATTATTATTTTTTGCTGAGTAATCCACCATCTAACTTTGAGTCATGTACAATTTTCTTTCTCTTTTATTCCTTACCACATCCAATGTCCTGACAATTCTACCTTCTAAATCTCTAGCAAAGACATAGAATCAACCTAGATGCCTATCAGTGCTGGACTTGATAAAGAAAATGTGGTACATATATGCCATGGAATACTACACAACCATAAAAAAGAATGAGATCACATTCTTCGCAGCAACATGGATGGAGCTGGAGGCCATTATCCTAAGTGAGCTAATACAGGAACAGAAACCAAATATCACACGTTCTCACTTATATGTGGGAGCTAAACAATGAGTACACATGAACATAAAGATAGGAACAACAGACACCATGGCATGCTTGAGGGTGGAGGGTGGGAGGAGGGTGAGGATCAAAAGCCTACTGATTAGGTACTAGGCTTATTACCTAGATGAAATAATCTGTACACCAAACCCCTTGCAAAAGGAAGCTCATGAGCTTGCATTCTCCTTCCATTTGGCTTTTGATGGGGATTGCAAATGTTCTTGGCCGGAGGTGGAAGAGGGAATGGACTGGCCCTTCCCCTCCCTTTTACCCACATCTCGGGATGTAGAGCATTTCTGGAAGCCTGACACTGGGCCTGTGTCCTGGGGATAGACACATCGTCAGCCAGTCTTAGAAGGAAAAGAGGCAGCAAAGGTGCCTGATTGCACAGGCCAGGTTGTCTTTCACTGCCTCCTCGTTGAGTTTCAACTGGTCTGCCCACTCCCCGCTTCCAGTTTTCAGAATTCTTTTTTAACTTTAAAAATGTTATTGACACAGGTTCTCGCTCTGTTGCCCAAGCTGGAGAGCAGTGGCACAACTGCAGCTCACTGCAGCCTCGACCTCCCCAGGCTCAAGTGATCCTCCCACCTCAGCCTCCTGAGTAGCTGGGACTGCAGGTGCACACTACCATGCCCTGCTAATTTTTGTATTTTTTGTAGAGACGAAGTTTTGCCATGTTGCCCAGGCTGGTCTCAAACTCCTGGGTTCAAGAGATTTGCCTGCCTTGGCCTCCCAAAGTGCTGGAATTACAAGCAGGAGCCACCACACACAAGCCCCAGTTTTTAGAATTCTTGAACTCTCCCCCTGGGGCTCTCTTCTCTGCAAGTCCTGGATGAACAACAATGTAGTAGCTTATGGTCACTGGCGGCCCCCGGAAGCTCTGTCCTGCTTCTAAAAGCACCTAAAAACTTTGGATAGAAAGGAGTGATGCAATTTGCTTTTTATGATTCCTGGTAGCTGATAACTTGTAGAGTTTGGAGTCGTTTGTTTGTGATTTTAGCAGTGGGATGCTTTATTATTAGTATTCCACTTCTAACAATTAGCTCTATTATTATTTGTTACCAAGAGCAGAGTGTTTGGAGTGAGTATAAGCAGAGGGCACGTTGCTGTCTTAAACTTCGTCAGCTCCAGCCAATGTCCGGAGGGGATAGGCAGCCAGGACTCACATCATGGGGCTGTAGTGGAGGTTTCAGATGGCATCTGTCTGATTGTTTGTGTCCATCATGTACACGTAGTTTAATATTTTGGATATCACCTCTGCTATGATCCAAATGGCATGGTTTGGGGGATCTCTCAGTATCCCCAATTCTTCCCTCTCACTGCTAAGAAGCATGCAGGAATTCATTGCCATTCTTCTATTCTTTTATCTTATGGTTTTTTTTCCTCTGGGATGCAAATTCCTTGTTGAATGAGGAGATGAGGGGACATATAAGCCTTACCAGTAATTTATAGCATCAATGGATTGCGCAAATGAAGGCTCAAAAAGCAAAACTGAATTGATGGTTTCTGGGAACTTTTCCATGCAACTTGGATTTCTTCTTCATGGCAACACGTACCTTTTGAGAAGTGGTAAGGTCCACTCTCAGGCCAAGCTACAGTTTATGTGCACAATGGCAAGCAGTGGAAAATTCAGTGGGAGATAAATGGATGCCATGCAGAAGCGTGAATTCCAGAGACCTCCTGCTCGGATGAATCCTGGGGGTAGGAAATGTAAGCTTCACTGTGGAGCTGAAACCTGGAGACTCTAAAATGGCATCAGCCAGAAGACGTACAATTCGAGAGGAAGGGTGGTGGTCCATCCTGCCAACTGCTGCTTCACGGTCAAGAAAGATGAAGATGTGAAATGTTCTGATTTATCTTCAGGCCTTTCTCCTGCACAGCTCAGTCTTTCTCATTAAATTTGGATAATATAGTTTTCCAGTTTGTAAAGAATGCAGGTTTATTAAAATTTACCCTTTTAAAATTTTTATTTTATTAATTTTATTTTTTATTTTTATTTTTTTTGAGACAGGGTCTCACTCTTTTGTCCAGGCTCTAGTGCAGGGGCACGCTGTCAGCCTTGACTTCCCGGGCTCAAGTGATCCTTGCACCTCACCCTCCAAAGTAGCTGAGACTACAGAAGTGCACCTAATTTTTTGTATTTTTGGTAGAGACAGGGTTTCACTATGTTGCCCAGACTTGTCTCAAACTCCTAGCCTTAAGCGATCCTCCCACCTCAGCCTCCCAAAGTGTTGGGATTATAGGTGTGAGCCACCGTGCCTGGGCAAATATACCCTTTTAGTGTGAAGGAGTTTGAAAAAACATGTGCAGGCACGAAAATACCGTCATTTGCAAATCCATGTGTCCAGTCATGTAAACATTTCTTTGATGGACATCAAGGTGGAAGATTTCTGTCACCCAAAAAAGGTCCTTGGGTCCCTGACAAGCACTGATCTGCTTTTTATCCCTATAGTTTTGCCTTTTCCAGAATGCCATGGAAATAGAATCATACAGCTTACAATCCTTTGAGTCTGGCTTCCTTCACTTAGCATAACACCTTTGAGATTCATTCAAGTTGCTGCACCTATAACTGCTTCATTCATTTCTAACACTGAATGGTATTCCAGTCTGTGGATGTTCCTCAATTTGTTTAGCCATTCACAAATTAACAGGTAGTTGGTTGTTTTCTGTTCTGAGCTATTGCAAATAGAGATGCTATAAATATTTGTGTACAGGTTTTGGGCAAACATATGCTTTCATTTCACTTGGTTAAATGCCTTGGAGTAGAATTGTTGGGTCATACGCTAAACAGAAAAAAAAATTGTTTTCTTTTTATAATGTTAAAATTCAGCTATTGCAGGATCTTTTGCTTTTAAAATACTATAGACAAAGAAGGTATACTACTTTTTCTTAACTTAATGCTATTTGCCTTAAATCCTGTTTCCGTGAATAATATTTCTTCATATTTGAAGCTATATTTTTTGAAATTATATTGTTAATATGTTTACATGGTTTTTGTCGAGGGCCAAAATTCTGTCTATGTCACCAGCACCTCGAGTAGGGCTGGGCACATAGGTATCCACACAGGAAATAGTTTTGAACAAATGAATGTATTAACATATGTTGCACTCCCACTTTCTTCTTAATCTTATTTGTTCGGTTTGTATTTGTCCATCCTTTTATTTTGAATCACTGTCTCTCTGATTTATAGTGGCTCTTGGAATTTCCCACCAATTACAGGGTCTTTGTCTTTTTAGTAGGGAAATTTTATTCATTCGGATATTGTTATGGGTGCCCTCACTCAGGTTACCTGTTTTGATTAATTCTTTCCTGCTTGTTTGTTCATCTCTCTCCCCTCTCTCTCTCTCTTTCTCTTCTCCTCTCTCCTCTCCTGCTGTCTCTCCTCTCTCTCTCTAGTCTCTCTCCCTTCTCTCTCTCCTCTCCTCTCTCTCCTCTCCTCTCTCTTCTCCTCTCTCCTCCCTCCCCTCTCCTCCTCTCACCTCCCCTCCCCTCTCCTCTCTCTCCTCTTCTCTCTCTTCTCCTCTCTCCTCCCTCCCCTCCTCTCCCCTCCCCTCCCCTCTCCTCTCCTTTTCTTCTCTCTCTCCAGTCTCTCTTCCCTCTCTCCCCTCTCTCTTCTCTCTCTCCTCTCTCTCCTTTCCTGTCTCCTCTCCTCTCCTCTCTCCTCTCTCTCACTCCTCTCTCCCCTCCCCTCCCCTCTGGTCTCTTCTCCTCTCCTCCTCTCTCTCCCCTCTCTCCTCCCTCTCTTCTCTCTCTTCTCTCTAGGAAGCTTTGGGCAGAGACTATGAGGTTTTCTAGGTATAGAATCCTATTTGGATGCCTTTTATTTTTTTTCCCTTGCCTGATTGCTTTGGCCAAAACGTCCAGTACTATGTTGAATAGGAGTGGTGACAGTGGCATACTTTGTGTGTGTGATACACATATACATATGTATATTAACAAGCATATACATGTAGCTATTTATATGCATATTTATTATATATAGAGAAAGAAAATAGGATAGAATGAGGGGTTATTTAATCTAGGTTTATTTAAAACTGCAACCAAGACTTATATTGCATCTTTGTCTTGTTCCAGTTCTCAAGGGGAATGCTTTTGGATTTTGCCCAGTCAGTATGATGTTGGCTGTGGATTTGTCATAGATGGTTCATATTATTTTAAGGTATGTACCTTCTATGCCTAGTTTGCTGAGTGTTTTTAACATGAAGAGATGTTGAATTTTATTAGAAGCCTTTTTTGCATCTATTGAGATGATCATGTGGTTTTTGTTTTGAGTTCTGTTTATGAGGTGAATCACATTTTTTGGTTTGTGTATGTTAAACCAACCTTTTGTCCCAAGAATAAAGCCTACTTGATCGTAATAGATTAGTTTTTTGATGTGCTGCTGGATTCAGTTTGCTAGTATTTTGGTGAGGATTTTTGTGTCTATTTTTGTCAAGGATATTGACCTGAAGTTTTCTTTTTGACTATTTTAGATACTTTCTGTGGGTGGAATCATGCAGTGTTTTTCTGTGACTGGCTTCTTTCACTTAGCACCATATCCTCAGGTTCAGCTGTGTTGTCACAAGTGGCGGGATTTCTTTCTTTTCAAAAAGCTGGATAATATTCTGTTGTGCATGTATGGGTGTGTATATATATGTAATACATGTGTGTATATGTTACACATCTATTACATGTATACACACACACACATATATATATATCACATTTTCTTTATGCAGTCATCTGTTGATGGACATTGAGGTTGTTTCTATGTCTTGGTTATTGTGAATAATGCTACAATGAACATGGGGGTGCAGATTTTTTTTGGAGATCATGATTTCTATTCTTCTGGAGATATACACCCAGAAATGGGATTTCTGGAACATATGGCCATTCTAATTTTAATGTTTTGGAAACCTAAATACTGTTTGCCATAGTGGCTGCACCATCCTACATTCCTACTTACAGGGTACAGGGTTTCAATTTACCCACGTCTTCCCCAACGCTTGCTTTCCTTTGTTTCTTGATGATAGCCATTCTGATAGATGTGAGGCCATCTGGTATTTTCAAGAGTAGTACTGAAAGGTCATCAAAACAGAAGGACCATGGCCCTGGAAGCACATTAGACAAAGAAGAGATGCTGTCAGTCAAGGAACATGATTCTCACCTCCAGTGAGCTTGTGAGTTTTCTCCTCACAGGATCTTAGAGATTCCATCTCAAGCAGCCGGGCAGATATAAAATTAGTCTTATTATTAATCCGTCTTTCAGAAGTATGCAATTTCAAAACCAATTTGAAATAGATCTTGAAATTTGCTGTTAATGAGAATAGCATTAAATAGGCAGATGCAACTATGAATATCATCTTCCACAGTGGCTCTCTGAAAAAGTGATGGATATGCAATTAGTTTGATGTAATTATTTACATTTTATTCATAAATCATAACATCACTTTGTACTCCTTTAATATATATAACTACAATTTGTCAATTTGCAATTAAAAGTAAAAATTAACAACAACAAAAGGAGAAATGGATATGCAGTGTTCGGAAGAACCATGGTATTTCTTCTTTGCTAAACGGGCTTTCATTTTTTTTAGTCTGTTTCTATCTGTGAGAATCAACATTTTAAAATCACTGATTTGCTTGCTTGTATGCAGCAGCCTTGCTTCCCCCTTCTGACATTTATATTTCCCCCTCCATCCCTATGCCCTGGTCCTGGCAGTCTCCTAGATCGTTTCTAATTCTTCCTCTCTATTTGTATTAGATTGTTTTCATACTGCAGATAAAGACATACCTGAGACTGTGTAGTTTAGAAGGAAAAAGAGGTTTAATTGACTCACAGTTCCATGTGGCTGGAGAGGCCTCACAACCATGGCAAAAGGTGAAAGGCACGTCTTACGTGGTGGCAGACCAGAGAGAAAATGAGAGCCAAGTGAAGGGGGAAACTCCTTATTAAACCATCAGATCTTGTGAGACTTATTCACTACCATGAGAACAGTGTTGGGGAAACCCCCCTCATGATTCAATTATCTCCCACCGGGTTTCTTCCACAACACATGGGAATTATGGGAGTACAATTCAAGATGAAATTTGGGTGGGGACCCAGCCAAACCATATCACAATTGAATTCCATTCACATAGTTACTGAACACTTCCCAGACTTTTCTTATCGGTGGGGATACAGAAGTACTGAGACCACAGTCCCTATTCTGGAATTGTGACAAGTATGGTGAGAAGAGGTGTATATTCAGGGACTGTGGGGGATGTGTTGGCTTGGAGCCTGGGGGAAGGGTACCTCTGGCAAAGGATGGAGCACGACCAAGCACGGCCAGTTAATAGTGTCAGTTCTGGAATTAGACACACCTGCGCTGAATTCCTGCCCCACCACTTCTTGTGTGAATTGGGCACAGGACATAACATTACCTATGGTGACTGTGAAATCATGATGGGAAAGGTGGCACGCAGCAAATGCTCAGTGCATGTCAGCGTTCACCATGATGATGATGATGATGATGATGACAATGAGGAGGAAGAACTGCTCCACTCCAGCATGCCTCTAAACCTGCATGGGAGCAATGCCTGGCAGAGCGCTCCCACAGACACGAACTTTTCCATTTCCTGTGATTCACATGCTTATTTTGGTTTCTCGTTATATAAGACCCAGCTCTTCATTTTGCCATTTCAAAATCACCCAGTGCTCCTACCACTCATCCTCGATTTCCTTCTTCCATGAGCCTCTTCCAAGATCCCTTCTATACCTATAGAAGCACAGAAATAAATCCCATTTTGTTCATTCTTCTCCTCCCCTAGAAGCTCAGGCGAGGAGCTAAGGAATCTTCAACTCTGTGCCTTCTACTTCACTCTAGGAAATTCCTGAGAGGAATGAGAGGAAGGCATCGGAGAAGCCAGTAGACATCCAACATGTGGTGAGGGCACTTCCGTCACTGTCCTTGGAATCACAATCTCAGGACTGGAGGCAATTTTCAGTGTTGGCCATTGGCTAGTCTAACCCGTTCCTGTGCTGAAACCCCTTTACAGCCACCCCTTAGGAGAAGCTCTTCTCTTCACCCAGACACCCAGTGCTCCACTCTGACCCTGCTGGGACTGTGGGTGAAATATTATGGCTGAGGCTATGTTGCCTGGAAATGAAACTTCTATAATGTCAGAGCCCAACCATTTGTATGTTGAAATTCTGTTGTTTGAAATTACCACCTGAAGGAAACATCCTATTTTCTGCTACCTTCTTGAACATGTGGGAAGCTACAAATAATTCAATGTGTTAATATCAGATACTTTTGATGTATAAGTGGCAGGAGAGACTGGAAGTCAGTTGGATATGAATTTAAAGAAAAATAATCAGTAACACAGAACTTGGAAACTTATGTTCTTATAACTATGGAATTGTTATAACATTAGAAACATTAGAAATGTTTATAATAACATTAGATAAACAATTTCTAATTGTCATCACCCTAAAATTTGTATTATATGTACCAGGGATGACATATATTAAATATTCTGGTATATTTTTTGTTATATATTGAAACTGACCTGTAATAATTTTAATGTTGTAAATGAACACAGAAATGAAAAGTTTGTACCTAATGGGAAGAGCAGCATCACTTTAGACATCATGAGCCTTTGGGTTTTTCTTCTTTTCTGTGAAGAAAGGAGCAATCTGATTATTTTCTGGATTTGTATTTGTTTAAGAAATCAATTCTTGTCTTATATGTATCCTATTGGGGTGAGCAAAATATTGCAGATTTGCTCAACAAACAGGTTCAGACATTGGACATCAAGAAAAAAATTAAAATTCAGGTGTAAATTAATCTTTTTCATCTTCTTGGCTTTGTACTGGAAGGAATTTCAAGTAAACATCATCTCAGCCTTTTCCCATTTGTTGTTGTTAAAAAGCAGAATATATCTGCTGGGAGGATAGGTAAAGACTGATAGACAGCTCTGGTACCGATGAGGTCATGGTTAAGGAGTTGTCTTTTGTTTGTTTGTTTCCAAAAATATTTCACCACCACCATATAATGTCATTCTTTCTAAACACACAATTTCTGATTGTCAGCAAGTTTTCTTTAATGTCCAAAGGAATGTACCCACGTCCCCAGAGAATTATGTGCATGAAAGCATTGTGTAAACAGTGGAACACTTGACAAATGTAAAGGAATATTATTTACTAAAATCAATCTCATTGTTTTCAAACAAATCAGAAAGGTAGAAAATGGCTGGAGAAGAGGGAGATGGTACAGCAAGCATGAGAGCAAGTCCAGGGAGGAGCTGGCTGTGATGGTGCAGCCTGGTCTGCTTAGACTGTAAGGCACGTTTTGCCTGGTTCAGGGGCATTCAGATACAGCACAGGATGGGAGGCGGATAGCCAGTGAGAGGATTCTGGAGGAATCTGTGAGGACTGTTAGAAAATATCACCGCCTCATTCTCCTGTGTGCTCACTGTTTCTGTCAAACAGACTCCAGGATTGTAAATCTATTTATTTGCTATCTTAGTTTTGCTTGATCAGATACTTTGGGAGACTGTTGGGAGTGTGAAGTGAGCGTGTCTGATGACCCCAAACCTGCAAGATGAAGAATGACTTATTAACCCTGATCCATTTAAATGGTTGATTTTTATGACAGCAACCTTCTGTCTTTGTCTTGTTTGGGTTTGCAGGGCTGCTGCTCTGCGAGTTGCCTTACAGTCACTGAGATCATTGTTCAGGTAACCATCATGAGAAAGTGCCTAGGTTATGGGCTCATGATCTTAGTGACCTGGCTTTCTCCCCACCTGTGATTTTTAAAATAAGCTATTCTTATTAAAATTATAAAATTTGCAAATCTCATATAAAAGGGAATATCTTTATCCCATGCAAAAGGATAAGGGTTTGGGGGACTCCCAAGAGCTGGGTTTGAATCCTCGTTCTAGGGCTTGCTGGCTGTGTAATCTTAAGCAAATCACAAAATATCCTTGAGCTTGTTCTCTTGTTCATCAAATTCCAATGCTAATCTGTACCTCACAGACTTGTTGAAGATGCAATTAAATAAATATTTAAAGAGCTTTTTACATTTCCAATGCCTTATGCACAAGTTAGTTGTAATGATACTCTGGTGGAAAATTTTATTATGTGTAAGAGCCTAAATTATTTTGCACGAGCTCCCTCTATTACTGGCCTGAAACCATAACTCTTTAGATTTATAAGGTCAGACAGTTGTGTTCTATTCAATTATAACTCTTGAAACTTTTGAAGAAGGAGAAAAGTCTCTCCTTGTTCAAGGATGAGAACAACGAGGGAAAAGAACAACACGGAGTTTGTGAAAAGGTAGTCAGGACAAGGAAGGGAAGGAGCATCTTGAAAACTCTGACAAATAATGAGTCTCTTAAAATGATTGACTACAAGAACCAAAAGAAACTCATGGAAACTATTTGGCATCTTTAATGGAACATAAAAATGTATGGACATTGTGGCCATAATAAAAAAATAAAAAAATAATAGTTTTTGGCATGGATGTGATGAATAGGGAACACTTCTACACTGCTGGGGGGAATGTAAACTAGTACAACCACTATGAAAAACAGTGTGGAGATTCCCTAAAGAACTAAAAGTAGATCTACCATTTGATCCAGCAATCCCACTACTGGGTATCTACCCAGAGGAAAATAAGTCATTATACGAAAAAGATACTTGCACACATGTTTATAGCAGTACAATTCACAGTTGCAAAAACGTGGAACCAACCCAAATGCCCATCAATCAATGAGTGGATGAAGAAATTGTGGCATATATATATATATATATATATATATATATATGATGGAATACTACTCAGCCATAAAAAGGAATGAATTAGTGGCATTCACAGTGACATAAATGAGATTAGAGATTATTATTTTAAGTGAAGTAACTCAGGAATGGAAAACCAAACATCATATGATCTCACTCATACGTGGAGCTAAGCTATGAAGATGCAAAGGCATAAGAATGACACAATGGACTTTTGGGACTCAGGGGAAAGGGTGGGAAGGGGCTGAAGGATGAAAGACTACAAATACGGTGCACCATATACTGCTCAGGTGATGGGTGCACCAAAATCTCACAAATCATCAACTGAAGAAGTTACTCATGTAACCAAACACAACGTGTTCCTCAAGAGCCTATGGAAATTTAAAAATAAAAACTAAAAAATATATTTTTTAATTTTTATATATTTTATATATAGCCATTGTGAAACAGATATCAGGCTAAGACAAAAAACAATAAGATGAGACAAAATATAAGATTAGTAAGATTTTTTCTAGGGTTGTAAAGAAATATAAAAAGGTGTAGCAGAATTAAAGCCCTCAATGGAGGCAAGAATACAAACTTAACACTGGAGAACCTTTGAGTCGATGTTAAGCGCATACCTGGAGACCAGAACACAGAACAAAAAGACACAAAAATTGAAATCATCAGAGAAATGATGATAAGTAAAGAGCATAGATAACAGAGGATCAGCCAAAGAACTATGAGTATTTAGGATGAAAAGGCCAAACTAAACGGAAAGCAGGAATAATTAGGGCTTTGTTGAAGAAAATGTTCCGGATTTGAATAAAGTAATTTGGTATATAGATCAGAAGTGTGTTCACTATGTTCTAGGCAAAAATCAACCAAAAATGACTCATGTAGAGTCACAGTGTGGTGGACTTTTTCAATGATAATGTCAAATAGAAAACCCTGTAAACATCCAGAAAAAAAAAAAAACTTAGAGTAAATGAAAAAAACATCACACTAACTTCGGACAACTTTGCAACAGTTAGCATGTTAAAAATAGGGCTATCTATAGAGTTTGGGGAGAAACAATAGTGATCCAATAATATTATCATTTAGTCATGTGATGTGTCAAGGCGATTGAAAGACATCCTCAAAGGTGAAAGGCATTAAGAAAATAGAATTCAGAAAAAAAAAATACTTGGAGACATACACCACTTTAGTAATGACTCAATATTAACTCAAGAAGGGGAAAAAAAAAACACATAAAAAACTTACTGTTTTTTCTTCCTGAGTTCAAATTCAAATTCAGAGGATCATGTTTTCAGGATAAATTTCTCCTGTGGTGCTTCTTTCACCGTTTCGTTTATTTGCTTGCTTTATCTTTGTCCTTTCTATGTTCTTAATATAACTAAATTTATATCTTGATATATATTTTTTACTCCCAGATTTATTTGGAATTTTTTTCTTAGATTTGATTATTACTTAAAATACTGAACACTAAGCTATAGCACTAATGCATTTTTTTGACATTTGGTTAAAGCCGAACCTACTAGCTTGGGATCATTTGCCAGAGGCATCACTAATCAATGAGAGCAGTGATTTGATTCTTCAGAGCATCAGAGTTTGCTAGAACAATCTAATTTAACCTTTGGCTGGGGAAAGATTTCTTAAGCAAGAGCCAAAAAATGTTTAACATAAAGGAAAAGATCAACATGTTGGACAGTATTTAAAATCAAGAAACTTTCTTCTTCAAAGGACAGCATGAAAAGAATAAAAAGGCAAGCTGCAGAGTGAAAGAAAATTTTTGCAGCAGGTGGAATTGGTAATGTGCTCATATTCAAAATATATAAAGATTCCCTGCAAACCAATAAGTAAGAGACAGCCTAATGAAAAAATGGGCAAGAGATGTGAACAGAAACTTCACAAAGGAGAATAACATAATGGCCATTAAATTTATTAAAAATGCTTTACTTTATTAGAAATACATAAAATGATAATTAAAACCACTATAAATACCACTAGAGAATTCACAGTGTAGCAAATATTAAGAAGGCTGACATGCCCGGGTATTGATGAGGTTATGGAACGGAGGTTATGGAAAGCTCTTATATCCTGGTGGGAGTTTAGGTGTTACAACCACCCTGAAAAACTGTTAGTGTGTACTGAAGGTGAAAGATACCCTATGACCAGCAATTTTACTTCTAGTTTATATTTAGAGAAATGAATGTAGTTGTGCTCCAACAGACTTGCAGAGGAACAGATAGCATTATTCCTAATAGCCACAGATTGGCAACAACTCAAATGTTCATCAGTAGTAGAATGGAGGAATAAATTATGCTATATTCATACTTCTAATGGAATAGTATGGCAAGAAAAATAAACTACAAGTACACACAAAGCCATTGATAATTTTATGTCAATAATACTGGGTAAAAGAAGACAAAAATTTAATGATAATATTCTGAACCCATTTATATAAAAAACACACAAATGTTACAAGTCCAAGTAGTGGTTACTTTTGAAGTAGAAGAGGTGTGTTGATTGGTAGGGTGCTTAGGGAGAGGGGGTAGAGGGACTTCTGAAATGCTGTTAATATTCTATTTCTTAATCTAAGTGGTAATTACACAGTTGTATTCATTTCATAACAATTCATTGAGCTGTACACTTAGGATTTGTTCACTTTTCTGTATATCTATTATACGTCAATAAAAAGTTAAAAAAATTAAAAAGAAATGTGCATAGAAAAAAACTAAGAAAATACAATATGGTGATTATCTCTGGATAATAGCATTGCAGGTGATTTGTTCTTTCTTTTTTAAAATATACTTCCCTATATTTTCTAATTTTTAAAAAAATGAGTAAATATTATTATGATAATGAAAATTGGAACAATGTAAACATTCATTCAAACCACAGAATCACCCATGACTCCTTGGTGATTCTTTCTTATCCATATCCAATCATTCACTCATTTTATAGCTGCAATGCCTCTTGCAGTCATTCACAAGGATTTTTTTTCCCAGTCCTCTACCCTAGTTTAACTCTTTTTCATCTCTCACCCAAACATTGCAATAGCCTCACAATTAGTATTCCTGCAAGTGTAACAATTCCAATCTCATGGCTTCACTGCTCGCCTGTCTTCATGGCTCCCTGTTGCTTACAGAGTCCATGACATGACATTCTAGTTTCTCCTGTTGGGGAGCAAAGAGTGATACCACAAAGTATGGTGCTTTGGCATGCTGAGCACTTCGAATTAAAAGAAATAAGAAAGGCTTAGAAACTGCCTCAGAACCAAAAATTTACTAATCTTCTCTTGTTTGTCCCCCAACCTCCAAAGGGCAGGCAGGGACTTTTTCCGAAATTCCCTTATCTGACTAAGAAAACTTCTTTCTAAAAGAAATACAATTGTCTGTCTTAAGATCTGCCTGCACCCTTTCCAAGATTCTTATCAAGTAATCTGGAAAGATTAAGCACTCAGAAGAGAAGAGGCAAAAAATCTTGTACCATGCCAAGACTTTTCATCTTTTCTTCTGAAGGCAGCTTTTGAGAAATCACCTGGGAGACTTCATCTCCACAATAAGACAACCTTTGCTCACAGTGAACTTCCACCCCTCACCTTTCCACTACCTCCCTTAGAGCTCAGAGGAACTTTGTCCCAGGCCATTTTTCTTTGGGCTTCTTCATTTCCTCTAAAAATTATTTACTACCCCTCAAAATGGCCACATTTCCCCCATCTCCCCTTCCCTATGAAGAAGGGTAAATCAGTACCTGAACCGCATTGCATTACTGGGTAATTGTCTTCCTGTTATTCCCCTATGTTTATGCATGTTAAATAAATTTGTAGGCCTTTTTCTCCTATTAGTCTGCCCATTGTCAGTTTATTTTCAGTGAACCATTGGAGGTTGGAGGGGAAGATTTTTCTTGGCCCCTACACTCCTTAAATTGACCCCACAACAGCATACTTGGCAGTCTCAGCTTCCTCACTCTCCTTGATTTATACACCACACATTTCAAGGCCTATCTGAATTATCATCATGCACAGGAAAATCTGGTAAACTGGACAGATGCAAGCAATGTCTTTTGAGTTGTTTTTGTGGTTTCATAACACTTGTATCTTTTTCATGGCTTTCATTATGTTCTACAGTTATATTTTAAACCCTCTATAGATTAAATGCATTTTATGGTCAGTCAGACACTGTGTCCTCTTCTTTTTTTCTTAAGCCCTGAAAAAGTTTGAGTTGAATTTATAGAATTATGTTTTCTTCCTTTTAAACCTGGACAAATTAACTCATATTTTCTGTACCCATCTACCCACTCCCACAGTCTTTTCAAAAATGAAAAAAAATGAATCATTAAAGCCCTTCATAAAAATGTAACATAGAAGTGTAATTTCATCCACAGAACTCCTTAGAAGGAAAAAAAAGCATTATATTTCAATGACTGCTTGAGTGGATATTACATATTTCTACTGTTTAATCCTCACAGCTAATGTTACCCTCTGTGTGATTTATTTTCCAAAGTTGATGTAACCATTTCACTTTCCTTGTTCTTAAGTTTTAAAGTTTGCAGACTTGATGAGGTGTTGAATTGTTCTCCAGTTGCAGTAGCTGTATTTCATTTTGAGAACTATTCATTACATGACTTAATTGCACGTAAGCAGAAACACTACAGAGGCATTTATTTCCACGGACATTTGTTTTTTAACCTAATGACCATTCTAAACCTTTTATGCTGTCCTTTTTGGCTCCAAACTGGCCATTATTCCACTTGTTCTTAACAGTTGACCTTGTATTTTCTTTTTTATTGAAGAGATCAATGCCATCTGTCTTAAGCTCTCTTTGTTTCTAAGTGTCTCACACTGTATTCATTCCCACTGACCCAGGAAATGACGTGTTTGTGTAAGGAGTGCTCTTTCCTTGGCTGCACATCAGTACATCTCTGCCTGGGTCCCACCCCACAGAGAATCTTATTACATTGTCTGGAATGAGGCATGGACATTGTTTTTATTCGTTTTTTACAACCTCCCAGGTGATTCTAAGTGCAGACAGGTTTGAGAATACCAGACTGAGGAGAACCGTTTAACTGTTTCCCTGGACCTCACCTCATAGATGAACTTGTTCCATCCATTATCCTAGCTCTTCCTTCCTTCCTCTTCCTTCAGATTATAAACTTGTACAAATATTTCTGTCAAGCAAAAACACATTTTCTTCTCATACTTCTCTTTGAGCCACTTTTCCATCTCTGTCATTTCCTTTTTTGCCAAAAGAAAAGAGAAATATACACTTGCTACCACACATCAGATTTTTTATTTCTGCTAAAGGCTCCGTAGTACTCTAGTGAAAACATTTCCTCAAAGTTGCCAAACAGCCTCTTAATCATCATTGATAAAGCGGTTTGTTTTTGTTTTTGTTTTTGTTTTTGTTTTTTTGAGTCAGAGTCTCACTGTGTCATCCAGGCTGGAGTGCAGTGGCACAATCTCGACGCACTACAACCTCGCCTCCTGGGCTCAAGCAATTCTCATGCCTCAGCCTCCCAAGTAGCTAGGATTACAGACCTGCACTACCATGCCCAGCTAATTTTTGTAGTTTTAGTAGAAATGGGGTTTTGCCATGTTGGCCAGGCTGGTCATGAGCTCCTTCCTGGCTTCATGTGATCCACCTGCCTTAGCTTCCCAAAGTGCTGGGATTACAGGCATGAGCCACCCTGCCTGGCCAAGATAAGGTGATTTTTTTTTTACAGTTCTTATTTATTCTGTAGGAAGCACTTTACACTGTTAAACATCCCCTTTTCCTTTGACTTCCTGTTTTTCACATCTTCTACTTCTTTGACTTCATTTTCCAACTCTGTTAACTCATAGACTGGATTCCAAACAAGAGCTAGTACTTGGTACCAATAGCTGTGGTGATAAACTCTTAGAATCAAGATCAACTAAGCCTGGACCAGCCACTTAGATTCTACCCTAAGTGGACAAAAAGGCAGCTCAGACTCCAAGGAGCAAATAAAAATGGTGAGAAGTGGATGTTGCCAGTAGGACAATCTCCTTGTCCCCTTACATTGCTCTTTTTGTTTGTAGAATGTCATCTCCGCTGCAAAGGACAGAAACCTAAATTAAATTAGCTCAAGCAAAGTAGTAATGGAGAGACTGACTTACATAACTTAGGCTAACTTCACACACAGGTGGAACCAGGTACTCAGATGATGTAATTGAAAATATTCCTCTTTCCACCTCCATAGCTATTTTTTGGCTTCCTCACACCAGCTGGTGGCAGAGATGGTGGCCAGCAGGTCCAGTCTGTTATTCTTTCTACCAGCTCAGCCACCCCAGAACGCTGAGAGCCTTTTTCTCTGTGATACCGAAGTTCCATTCCTGAGTCAGACTGCCCTGGGTTGTAGTACATGCTGATTTTGCCAGAACATTTCCATTTCTAAACCCATCACTGTAACTCTGGTTGGAAGACTTTGGATTTGAGTCTTCCTTACTTGAACTACATGGGTTGAGAATAGGGAAGGGTGATTTTCAAGGAAAAGATCAGGGAGCTGATAACTGAAGATAAAATGGAAACGACAGGCGAAGACAACAGATGTCCTCTGCATTACCTGCCCCAATTTCTTTTAAAAGATACTCCTCTCCATTGCCTCCTCTCTCTCCTAAACATAATCATCTTGAATGACCCGCACTCATTCTCCCTCCTATCAATCCTGAAGTTTTCTTATAGGGCATGGCTCTGAATATTAGGATTAATATCTAGGTTTATGCCAGAGCAAAAGAGAAGACATGTGCTGTAGGTTGCTTTAAAAATGGCTCCCAATGCACTATGCACTTTTTTTTATGTTTCAGAGACAGAGTCTCACTCTGTCACCTAGGCTAGAGTGCAGTTGTGCAGTATCTCAGCTCACTGCAACCTCCGCATCTGCCTCCTAGGTTCAAGCGATCCTCCTGCCTCAGCCTCCCGAGTAACTGGGATTACAGGCACAGCGCCACCATGCCCAACTAATTTTTGTAGTTTTAGTAGAAATGAAGTTCGCCATGTTGGCCAGGCTGGTCTTGAACTCCTGACTTCGAGTGATTCGCCTGCCTTGGCCTCCCAAAGTGCTGGGATTATAGCCGTGAGCCATTGTGCCGGGCCACACTATGCACTTCTATAATATGAGTTAGTGCGATATAATAAAATACTCTGATTCTTAGTGCCAAAAGTTCAATTCAGTGTATGTAACTGAGCACACTCACCTACTTGTGATCATTTTTTGAAAAGTGGTGCTTAAAGAGCTCATCCTTTGCAAGCCATCCATGTTGTCCCTTAGGCATTTTATCTTTGCTTGCATTGTTGAAGAAGGGTTGCTTCTTTCATGATTTTCGTTTGGTCTAATGCACGTTTTAATGTGATAAACACAATGCATTTTTGTAGCTAGTTTTCTGGAAAACTTGATCTTTCAGGAATTGTTTTACAGATTCTCAACGATTTTTTTCTTTAAATTAAAAAAAAAAAAAGGCCCCTAATGATCCTTCCTCTTGGTATTCATGCCTTTGTATAATCCCCTCTCCGTGAGTGTGGATGTGACTTCTGACTCACCTCAAATCAACAGAATATAGTAAAACTGATAAGGTACATGGGATTCTGTAATTATATTACATCAGCTTAAAGCACCTATCTTGCTGGAGTCTCTCTCCCCACTCCCAGTGGCTTTGAGGAAGAAAGTGGCCATGTTAGGGAACCCCCAAGTGACAAAGAACTACAGGTGGCCTCTAGGAGCTGAGGGCAGCCTCAAGCCTGCAGTGGTCTCCAGCTGACTGCCAGCAAGAAAATGAGGTCTCCAGTTCTTCAGCTGTAAGGAGCTGATTTCTACCCACAAGCACCTGAGTTTGGAAGCAGAGGCTTCCCTCTTTGAGCCTCAGATGATGCTTCAGCCCAAAGGAACACCTTTATTTCAGCCTTGGAGAAGACCCAGATTCCTGACCCACGGAAACTGTGAGGTAATAAATGTTTTAAGCTACTACGTTTGTCTTGTTATGCAATAACGGATAACGGATAACTAATATTCCATCTGTTGCTCCTTACCTTTCCTCTGTATCTTTGCCCTTTGACCCATCCCCATCCCCAGGGCTATATGAGGCTTATAGGCTCTAATAGAAAATAACAACCGACCCCAGATTAGTCTTTACTGAGATGTCATGTTTTGAGGGTAGATTTAATGCCTTCCTACTACATCTCTCAGAGCCCTCTAAAAAGTTCTGAGTGTGCTTTTGTATCCCCTCATACACTTACAGGGACTAGTTTGAGTGATGATAGTGGTCATATGTTTCTTGGCTTATAATTGTAGGTAATGTTTTAAAATTAATATTTAGTTACATATGTAATAAATCATTTTTGTTTGTAGACTATTAAGACATTTAGATCAAGCTAAATTGACCTTTAACTATCTTCCTTAGTTGTTAATCCTTCCTTCTCAGATAAAACCGTCATGATAAATTTGGCATAGTGTCTTCCACAGTTTTTTCTTTGCATTTAAATGCATTTAGTATGGGCACTTATAGAAGTATATAGTATCTTGACTCTTTTCTATAAAAGGTATCATATTGTACATTTTACTCAACAATACATTTTGGCATGTTTCCATGTGAGTCTATGAAGATCTCCATTAAAAAATGCTGCTTATTGTTGCATGGTGTAGGTAGATTATAATTTACCTTTATTGGTAAGTATTTGTACACTTTCTAAACTTTTGCTAAATTTTTGTCATAAACATCTTTAGCCATTGTTAAACGAGAACACTTTACACAGATTAAATTTAACAGAATTTATATGAGTAAAGGACAATTTAGTTAATGAACAGAGGGCAGCTCAGAACCAGAAGAGATTCACAAAGCTCTGCCTAGCAGCGTGAGCTTTTGGAGGCCAGACATGGAAGCAAAGTACAGATATCACCTGATTGGCTACAACTGGGCATCCGCCTTATTTGGGCACAGTGTGATCAGCTGGCTACCTGTAATTGGCGGAATGAAGCGTGGCTATTTGAGATTGACTGAAATACCGCTATCTGTTACAAAAAATATATACTCCTATGTTAGGTTTCAGGTTTTTTTGTTTTGTTTTGTTTTGTTTTGTTTTGTTTTGTTTTGTTTACATACTAAGTTACATTACAGTTTATTATGTAGGAACTCAAAATACAGAGACAGCCTCAGGCTTATGGCCTCTTGCTTTTTTAGAAATTTTACTCTGAATCCTTCAATGCATGAGTGCGACCAAGAAGCACCTACATAGATGAATTAGGAAACAGAAATAGAATTTGGGATCATAAGCAATGTCAGTATAATGAAATGTGTACCAGTTTGCATGTTCACCAGCACTGAATCTTCCCAATACTATTGTATCAAACTTGTAATTTTGCCAGTTTGATGATCTGTTGGGTGAGAATGTCTTACTGTTTTAATTTCATTCAATCGTTTAATTCATTTAATTAGCATTTTCCCAATTACTAGCAATATTGCATGTCTTTTCACATGTTAGTAGCCATCTGTAGTTACTTATTCTGGAAATTTCCTTTCTTTTGTTCTTTTATCAGAACTTTTGTCTTCTTTTCTGATGGAAGCCTTTTACATGATCTGGGTAAAACTTTGGCTCTGCTGTATACACTGCAAATATTTTCTCCCACTCTCCATTCATCATCTAGTTAGTCTTCAGCTTCACGACTTGTTCGATGTCTGTGAGCTATATGAGAAATCCTTTCTACTTAAAGGTGATAAATATAACTACACATTTAAACATCATTTTATACTTTGGGTTTGCATATGTCTTTAATATGTCTTTAATCAGCTACACTAACGATATTCTGAAGTGTGTTTTCTTTTTTTTTGTTTGTTTGCTTTATTATACTTTAAGTTCTAGGGTACATATGCACAACGTGCAGGTTTGTTACATATGTACATATGTGCCATGTTGGCATGCTGCACCCATTAACTCGTCATTTACATTAGGTATCTCTCTTAATGCTATCCCTCCCCACTCCCCCCACCCCACAACAGGCCCCAGTGTGTGATGTTCCCTTTCCTGTGTCCAAGTGTTCTCATTGTTCAATTCCCACCTATAAGTGAGAACATGCGGTGTTTGGTTTTTTGTCCTTGCGATAGTTTGCTGAGAATGATGGTTTCCAGCTTCATCCATGTCCCTACAAAGGACATGAACTCATCCTTTTTTATGGCTGCATAGTATTCCATGGTGTATATGTGCCACATTTTCTTAATTCAGTCTATCACTGATAGACATTTGGGTTGGTTCCGAGTCTTTGCTATTGTGAGTAGTGCCACAATAAACATACATGTGCATCTGTCTTTATAGCAGCATGATTTATAACCCTTTGGGTATATACCCAGTAATGGGATGGCTGGGTCAAATGGTATTTCTAGTTCTAGATCCTTGAGGAATTGCCACACTGTCTTCCACAAAGGTTGAACCAGTTTACAGTCCCACCAACAGTGTAAAAATGTTCCTATTTCTTCACATCCTCTCCAGCATCTGTTTTTTCCTGACTTTTTAATGATCGCCATTCTAACTGGTGTGACATGGTATCTCATTGTGGTTTTGATTTGCATTTCTCTGATGGCTAGTGATGATGAGCATTTTTTCATGTGTCTGTTGGCTGCATAAATGCCTTCTTTTGACAAGCATCTGTTCATATCCTTCGCCCAATTTTGATAGGGTTGTTTGTCTTTTTTCTTGTAAGTTTAAGTTTTTGTAGATTCTGGATATTAGCCCTTTGTCAGATGGGTAGATTACAAAAATTTTCTCCCATTCTGTAGGTTGCCTGTTTGCTCTGGTGGTAGTTTCTTTTGCTGTGCAGAAGCTCTTTAGTTTAATTAGATCCCATTTGTCTATTTTGGCTTTTATTGCCATTGCTTTTGGTGTTTTAGTCATGAAGTCCTTGCCCATGCCTATGTCCTGAATGGTATTGCCTAGGTTTTTTTCTAGGGTTTTTATGGTTTTAGGTCTAACATTTAAGTCTTTAATCCATCTTGAATTAATTTTTGTATAAGGTGTAAGGAAGGGATCCAGTTTCAGCTTTCTACATGTGGCTAGCCAGTTTTCCTAGCACCATTTATTAAATAGGGAATCCTTTCCCCATTGCTTGTCTTTGTCAAGTTTGTGAAAGATCAGATGGTTGTAGATATGTGGTATTATTTCTGAGGCCTCTGTTCTGTTCCATTGGTCTATATCTCTGTTTTGGTACCAGTACCATGCTGTTTTGGCTGTTGTAGCCTTGTAGTATAGTTTGAAGTCAGGTAGCATGATGCTTCCAGCTTTGTTCTTTTTGCTTAGGATTGTCTCAGTAATGCAGGCTCTTTTTTGGTTCCATATGAATTTTAAAGTAGTTTTTTCCAATTCTGTGAAGAAAGTCATTGGTAGCTTGATGGGGATGGCACTGAATCTGTAAATTACCTTGGGTTGTGTGGCCATTTTCAAGATAGTAATTCTTCCTATCCATGAGCATGGAATATTCTTCCATTTGTTTGTGTCCTGTTGTATTTCATTGAACAGTGGTTTGTAGTTCCCCTTGAAGAGGTCCTTCACATCCCTTGTAAGTTGGATTCCTAGGTATTTTATTCTCTTTGCAGCAAATGTGAATGGGAGTTTACTCATGATTTGGCTTTCTGTTTGTCTGTTATTGGTGCATAGGAATGCTTGTTTGCACATTGATTTTGTATCCTGAGACTTTGCTGAAGTTGCTTATCAGTTAGGTAGATTTGGGCTGAGGCGATGGGTTTTCTAAATATACAATCATGTCACCTGCGAACAGTGACAATTTGACTTCCTCTTTTCCTAATTGAATACCCTTTATTTCTTTCTCTTGGCTGATTGCCCTGGCCAGAACTTCCAACACTATGTTGAATAGGAGTGGTGAGAGAGGGCATCCCTGTCTTGTGCCAGTTTTCAAAGGGAATGCTTCCAGTTTTTGCCTATTCAGTATGATATTGGCTGTGGATTTGTCATAAACAGCTATTATTATTTTGAGATATGTTCCATCAATACCTAGTTTATTGAGCGTTTTTAGCATGAAGGGCTGTTGAATTTTGTCGAAGGCCTTTTCTGCATCTATTGAGACAATCATGTGGTTTTTCTTGTTGGTTCTGTTTATATGATGGATTATGTTTATTGATTTGCATATGTTCAACCAGCCTTGCATCCCAGGGATTAAGCCAAGTTGATTGTGGTGCATAGGCTTTTTGATGTGCTGCTGGATTTGGTTTGCCCGTATTTTATTGAGGATTTTTGCATCAATGTTCATCAGGGATATTGGTCTAAAATTCTCTTTTTTGGTTGTGTCTCTGCCAGGCTTTGGTATCAGGATGATGCTGCTGGCCTCATAAAATGAATTAGGGAGGATTCCCTCTTTTTCTATTGATTGAAATGTTTTCAGAAGGAATGGTACCAGCTCCTCCTTGTATCTCTGGTAGAATTCGGCTGTGAATCCATCTAGTCCCAGACTTTTTGGTTGGTAGGCTATTAATTATTGCCTCAATTTCAGAGCCTGTTATTGGTCTATTCAGCGATTCAACTTCTTCCTGGTTTAGTCTTGGGAGGGTGTGTATGTCCAGGAACTTATCCATTTCTTCTACATTTTCTAGTTTATTTGCATAGAGGTGTTTATAATATTCTCTGATGGTAGTTTGTATTTCTGTGGGATCGGTGGTGATATCCCTTTTATCAATTTTTATTGCGTCTATTTGATTCTTCTGTCTTTTCTTCTTTATTAGTCTTGCTAGCGGTCTTTCAATTTTGTTGATCTTCTCAAAAAACCAGATCCTGGATTCTTTGTTTTTTTTGAAGGGTTTTTTGTGTCTCTGTCTCTTTCAGTTCTGCTCTGATCTTAGTTATTTCTTGCCTTCTGCTAGCTTTTGAATGTGTTTGCTGTTGCTTCTCTAGTTCTTTTAATTGTGATGTTAAGGTGTCGATTTTAGATCTTTCCTGCTTTCTCTTGTAGGCATTTAGTCCTGTAAATTTCCCTCTACACACTGCTTTAAATGTGTCCCAGAGATTCTGGTATGTTGTGTCTTTGTTCTCATTGGTTTGAAAGAACATCTTTATTTCTGCCTTCATTTCGTGATGTACCCAGTAGTCATTCAGGAGCAGGTTGTTCAGTTTCCATGTAGTTGTGCAGTTTTGAGTGAGTATCTTAATCCTGAGTTCTAATTTGATTGCACTGTGGTCTGAGAGACAGTTTGTTGTGATTTCTGTTCTTTTACATTTGCCGAGGAGTGCTTTACTTCCAACTATGTGGTCAATTTTGGAATAAGTGCAATGTGGTGCTGAGAAGAATATATATTCTGTTGATTTGGGGTGGAGAGTTCTGTAGAAGTCTATTAGGTCCACTTGGTGCAGAGCTCAGTTCAAGTCCTGGATATCCTTGTTAACCTTCTGTCTCGTTGATCTGTCTAATATTGACAGTGAGGTGTTAAAGTCTCCCGTTATTATTGTGCAGGAGTCTAAGTCTCTTTGTATGTCTCTAAGTACTTGCTTTATGAATCTGGCTGCTCCTGTATTGGGTGCATATATGTTTAAGATAGTTTAAGATAGTTAGCTCTTCTTGTTGAATTGATCTCTTTACCATTATGTAATGGCCTTCTTTGTCTCTTTTGATATTTGTTGGTTTACAGTCTATTTTATCAGAGACTAGGATTGCAACTCCTGCTTTTTTTTTTTTTTTTTTTGCTTTCCATTTGCTTGGTAGATCTTCCTGCATCCCCTTATTTTGAGCCTATATGTGTTTCTGCATGTGAGATGGGTCTCCTGAATACAGCACACTGCTGGGTCTTGACTTCTTATCCAATTTGCCAGTCTGTGTCTTTTAATTGGAGCATTTAGCCCATTTACATTCAAGGTTAATATTGTTATGTGTGAATCTGGTCCTGTCATTATGATGTTAGCTGGTTATTTTGCCCATTAGTTGATGCAGTTTCTTCCTAGCAGCGATGGCCTTTACAATTTGGCGTGTTTTTGCAGTGGCTGGTACCGGTTGTTCCTTTCTATGTTTAGTGCTTCCTTCAGGAACTCTTGTAAAGCAGGCCTGGTTGTGACAAAATCTCTCAGCATTGGCTTGTCTCTAAAGGATTTTATTTCTCCTTCACCTATGAAGCTTAGTTTGGCTGGATATGAAATTCTGGGTTGAAAATTCTTTTCTTTAAGAATGTTGTATATTGGCCCCCACTCTCTTCTGGCTTGTGGGGTTTCTGCTGAAAGATCCACTGTTAGTCTGATGGGCTTCCATTGGTGGGTAACCCGACTTTTCTCTCTGGCTCCCCTTAACATTTTTTCCTTCATTTCAACCTTGGTGTACCTGACAATTATGTGTCTTGGGGTTGCTCTTCTCGAGGAGTATCTTTGTGGTGTTGTCTGTATTTCATGAATTTGAATGTTGGCCTGCCTTGCTAGGTTGGGGAAGTTCTCTTAGATAATATCCTGAAGAGTGTTTTCCAACTTGGTTCCATTCTCCCCGTCAATTTCAGGTACACCAATCAGACGTAGATTTGGTCTTTTCACATAGTCCCATATTTCTTGGAGGCTTTGTTTGTTTCTTTTTACTCTTTTTTCTCTAAACTTCTCTTCTCACTTTATATTGTTCATTTGATCTTCAATCACTGATACCCTTTCTTCCACTTGATCGAATCGGCTACTGAAGTTTGTGCATGCGTCACATAGTTCTCATGCCATGGTTTTCAGCTCCATCTGGTCATTTAAGGTCTTTTCTATGCTGTTTATTCTAGTTAGCCATTCGTCTAATCTTTTTGCAAGGTTTTTAGCTTCCTTGCAATGGATTCGAACATCCTCCTTTAGCTTGGAGAAGTTTGTTATTAGCAACCTTCTGAAGCCTACTTCTGTCAGCTCATCAAAGTCATTCTCTGTCCAGTTTTGTTCCATTGCTGGTGATGAGCTGTGATCCTTTGGAGGAGAAGAGGTGCTCTGGTTTTTAGAATTTTCACCTTTTCTGCTCTGGTTTCTCCCCATCTTTCTGGTTTTATCTACCTTTGGTCTTTCATGTTGGTGACCTACAGATGGGGTTTTGGTGTAGATGTCCTGTTTGTTGATGTTGACGCTATTCCTTTGTGTTTGTTAGTTTTCCTTCTAACAGTCAGGTCCCTCAGCTGCAGGTCTGTTGGAGTTTGCTGGAGGTCCACTCCAGACCCTGTTTGCCTGGGTATCACCAGTGGAGGCTGTAGAACAGCAAATATTGCACAACAGCAAATATTGCTGCCTGATCTTTCCTCTGGAAGCTTCGTCCCAGAGGGGCACCCACCTATATGAGGTGTCAGTCAGCCCCTACTGGGAGGTGTCTCCCTTTTAGGCTGCACAGGGGTCAGGGACCTACTTGAGGGGGCAGTCTGTCCATTCTCTGAGCTCAAACACTGTGCTGGGAGAACCACTGCTCTCTTCAGAGCTGTCAGACATGGATGTTTAAGTCTGCAGAAGTTTCTGCTGCCTTTTGTTCAGCTATACCCTGCCTCCAGATGTGGAGTCTATAGAGGCAGAGGCCTTGCTGAGGTGCAGTGGGCTCCACCTAGTTCGAGCTTCTCTGGCTGCTTTGTTTATCTACTTAAGCCTCAGCAATGGCAGATGCCCCTCACCCTGCCAGGCTTCTGCCTCGCCGGTCAATCTCAGACTGCTGCGCTAGCAGTGAGCAAGGCTCCATGGGTGTGGGACCTGCCGAGCCAGGCGCAGGATATAATCTCCTGGGGTGCCATTTGCTAAGACCACTGGAAAAGTGCCGTATTTGGGCGGAAGTGTCCTGTTTTTCCAGGTACCATATGTCATGGCTTCCCTTGGCTAGGAAAGGGAAATCCCCCGACCCATTGCACTTCCCAGGTGAGGCAATGCCCAAACCTGCTTCGCCTCACCCTCTGTGGGCTGCACCCACTGTCCAACCAGTCCCAGTGAGATGATCCGGGTACCTCAGTTGGAAATGCAGAAATCACATGTCTTCTGCATCGATCACACTGGGAGCTGCAGACTGGAGCTGTTCCTATTTGGCCATCTTGGAATGGACCCCTGTTTCTAGATACTTTATACTTTTTATTGCAATTGACATCAACATTTTTAATCTGTTTTATTTTCAAATTGACTTATGGCTCCATTTAAACTCCTGCCTCTCTTCCTGGCTGGCTTAACTACTCTGGCTCAATAACTCCAAATCTTAAGAAGTAAATCTGATTGCTTAGAATAGTGGACACTTTTACTCTGCTGTATTTTCAAACACATTTAAGTTTTATTGGCTAAATGTAAAAGTATGCAAAACAAGACATAAAATAGAATCACATTAGTGAAATCTAATAATGAACCTTGATAATGTGTGAGTTGGTATATACACAGAAAATAATCGGAAAGAAGGAATATACACAAAACTGACCATTAGGTCATTATCTCTGGGGTTATGATAAACTTCCATCACAACTAAAAGAACTAGAGAACCAAGAACAAACCAACCACAAACCTAGCAGAAGACAAAGATAATCAGAATCAGAGCTGCATTAAAGGAGATTGAGACACACAAAAAAATTCAAAAGATGAATGAATCCAGAAGTTGGTTTCTTGAAAAAATTAATAAAATAGATAGACTGCTAGCTAGACTAATAAAGAAGAGAAGGGAGAAGATACAAATAAACACAATTAGAAATGACAAAAGGGATATTACTACTGACCCCACAAAAATACAAGTAACTATCAGACAACAACATGAACACCTCTATACACACAAACCAGAAAATCCAGAAGAAATTGATAAATTTCTGGATACATACACCCTCTCAAGACTGAAGCAGAAAGAAATTGAATCCCTGAACAGACCAATAATGAGCTCTGAAATTGAATCAAAAATAAATAGCCTACAAAACAAAAAAAAGCCCAGGACCAGACAGATTGACTGCTGAATTCTACTAGATGTACAAAGAAGAGCTGGTACCATTCCTACTGAAACTATTCAAAAAAATTGAGGGAGAGGGACTCCTCCCTAACTCATTCTATGAAGCCAGCATCATTCTGATACCAAAACCTCACAGAGACACAACAACAACGACAAAAATTTCAAGCCAATATTCTTGATAAACATCGATGCAAAAATCCTCAACAAAATATGGGCAAACTGGATCCAGGAGCACATCGAAAAGCTAATCCACCAGATCAAGTAGGCTTTGTTCGTGGAATGAAACGTTGGCTCAACATACACATATCAGTAAATGTGATTAATTATATAAACAGAACTAAAGACAGAAACCACATGATAATCTAAACAGATGCAGAAATGGCTTTCAATACAATTTAACACTTCTTCAGGTTAAAAAGTCTCAATAAACTAGATATTGAAGGAACACACCTCAAAATAATAAGAGCCAATCTATGACAAACCCACAGCCAACATCATACTGAATGACAAAAGCTGGAAGCATTCCCCCTGAGAACCAGGACATGACAAGGTTGCCCACTCTCACCACTCCTATTCAACATAGTATTGGAAGTTCTAGCCAGAGCTATCAGGCAAGGGAAAGAAATAAAGGGCATCCAAATAGGAAGAGAGGAAGTCAAACTATCCCTATTTGTAGACAACATGATTCTATATCTAGAAAACCCCACAGTCTTAGCCCAAAAGCTCTTTAAGCAGATAAAAAGCTTCAGCAACATCTCAGGATATAAAATCAACATACAAAACTCACTAGCATTTCTATATACCAACAACAGTCAAGCTGGGAGCCAAATCAGGAATGCAATCCCATTCACAATCACCACACAAAAAAATAAAATACCTAGGAATACAGCTAACTAGGGAGGTGAAAGACCTGTAGAAGGAGAACTACAAAACACCACTCAAAGACATCAAAGATAACACAAACAAATGGAAAGACATTCCATGCTCATGAATAGGAAGGATCAATATTCTTAAAATAAAATGGCCATACTCCCCAAAACAACATATACATTCAATGCTATTCCTACCAAACTACTAACGGCATTCTTCACAGAATTAGAAAAAACTATTTTAAAACCATATGAAACCAAAAAAAAGAGCCCAAATACCTAAGGCAATCGTAAGCAAAAAGAGCAAAGCTGGAGGCATCACACTACCAGACTTCAAACTATACTAAAGGGCTACAGTAACCAAAACAGCATGGTACTGGCATAGCCCTGTACTACAGGGCTATAGTAACCAAAACAGCATGGTACTGGCAGAAAAACAGACACATAGTCCAATGGAACAGAATAGAGAGCCCAGAAATAAGGCTGTACGTCTATAACTATCTGATGTTTGACAAAACTGACAAAAACAAGCAATGGGGAAAGGACTCCCTATTCAATAAATGGTGCTAGGGTAACTGGCTAGCCATATGCAGAAGATTGAAACTAGATCCCTTCCTTATACCATATACAAAAATCAACTCAAAATGGAATAAAAACTTAAATATAAAGCCCAAAACTATAAAAACCCTAGAAGACAACCTAGGCAGTACCACTCTGGACATAGGAACAGGCAAAAATTTCGTGGTGAAGACACCAAAAGCAACTGCAACAAAAGCAAAAATTGGCAAATGGTATCTAATTAAAGTAAAGAGCTTCTACACAGCAAGAGAAACTATCGACAGAGTAAATAGACAATCTACAGAATGGGAGAAAATCTCCACAAACTATTTATCTGACAAAGGTCTAATATCCAGCATCTATAAGGAACTTAATCTACAAGTAAAAAACAGACAACCCCATTAAAAAGTAAAAAAAGGAGAAGAACAGACACATTTCAAAAGAAGACATACATGCAACCAACAAGCATAGAAAAAAGCTCAATCTCACTGATCATTAGAGAAATCCAATCAAAACCACAATGTGATACCATCTCACACCAGTCAGAATTGAATGATTATTATTAAAAAGTCAAAAAATAACAGATGCTGGAGAGCTTGCAGAGAAAAAGAAATGCTTATTAGTTTCTGTAAATTAATTCAACCATTGTAGAAAATAGTGTGGCAATTCCTCAAAGACCTAAAAACAGAACTACCATTCAACCCAGCAGTCCCATTACTGGGTATATACCCAGAGGAATAGTAACTATTCTGTTACAGAGAGATACGAACACCATGTTCATTGCAGCACTATTCACAATAGCAAAGACATGGAATCATACTAAATGCCCACCAATGGTAGACTGGATAAAGAAAATGTGGTACATGTACACCATGGAATACTATGCAGCCATAAAAAAGTGAGATCATGTCCTTTGCAGGAACATGGATGGAGCTGGAGGCCATTATCCTTAGCAAACTAATGAGGGACAGAAAACCGAATACCACATGTTCTCACTTATAAGTGGGAGCTGAATGATGAGAACACATGGACACATAGAGGGGAACAACACACACTGGGGTCTACCAGAAGTTAGAGGGTGGGAGGAGAAATAGGATAAGGAAAAATAATTAATGGGTACTAGGCTTAATACCTGGGTGATGAAATAATCTGTACAACAAACTCCTGTGACACAGGTTTACCCGTAAAACAAACCTGCACATGTGCCCCTGAACTTAAAAGTTTTTGAAAAAAGAAACTAAAGAGAATGACAACTAAATGCAGTAAAGTATTCTAGACATGAATGTGTGCTGGGATAAAAAATTACTTTAAAGGACATTATTATTATTACTATGAAGTGACATATATAACTCAAACTATAACTGTCAATGATTAGATTCTGTCATTGAATCAAATATACATTTCCTGAATTTTAAAATTGTACTCTAGTCATAAAAGAAAATACCATTATTCTATGAAAATACACAGTGAAACCTAAGGGCTAATGATTCATGATACATGTATTCTATACTAAAAATTTTCATAAAAATAACATGGAGGGAAGAGAAAAAGAATGATTAAGAAAATCTAGCAAAAATGTGAACAACTTGAAGAAGATGGTATATGGAAATGTTATACTTTCTTCCCCCACCCACACCCAGTTATTGTCTTCTCTTTTCTCTGTACTTTCATCTTTACTTTTGCATGAACTTTAGAATTGCCTTGGCTCATTTCAGATGTTTCTCTTCCTGGTTACATCTGAATATAATTTTAAGACTTTTTTTCTCTTGTAGAGAAAAGCACACTGTAAACATATTTGGGGTAGTTTAACTTGTGCTTTTTTGCTGATTTGTATAGTTTTTATATGATGTAGGAATGTAGGAAAGATTCCAGTCTAGACTGCTGCTATTATTCCATGAGAATCAGGAAGTTTCTGTACCTCAGAGCTTTTATTTATTTATGTATTTATTTATTTTTGAGATGGAGTTTCACTCTTGTTGCCCAGGCTGGAGTGCAATGGCACGATCTCAGCTCAATGCAACCTCCGCCTCCCAGGTTCAAGCAATTCTCCTGCCTCAGCCTCCCAAGTAGCTGGGATTACAGGCGCTTGTCTACAGTTTCTACAGTATTACAGTATTATAATGTTCTTTTGCCCCCAAAGAATGTCTTCTGTAATTAAAAAATTAATTATTTTACATTTTTACAGGTTTATTGGAATATAATTTGCGGCAAATAAACTGTACTTATTTAAAGTATACAGTTTGAAAAACACATTCATGGTAATGAACATTTCGAACATTTTCATCACATCCAATAGTTTTTATACTCCTTTGTAATTTTTTCCTGTCAGTCCCCCAACCCGCCTTGATCCATAGTCAACCATTGATCTGTTTTCTGTACGAAAAGAAAGGAACAGTCTTATTTCTGAAGACAAAGGGTCACAGAGAAGATTCTGAACAAACAGGCCTTGTTCAGTTTCCTCCAGTTTACTACCATTAAGCCAGGTGTGCGGGCTTTCACCTGTAATCCCAGCACTTTGGGAGGCCAAGGTGGACAGATCACCTGAGATCAGGAGTTGGAGACCAGTCTAGCAAACGTGGCAAAACCCTGTCACTTATACTAAAACTACAAAAATTAGCCGAGTGTGGTGGTGCACGCCCGTAATCTCAGCCACTCAAGAGGCTGAGGCAGGAGAATTGCTTGAATCCTGGGTTGCAGTGAGCCAAGATTGAGCCACTACACTCTGGCCTGGGTGACAGAGCAAAACTCCGTCTCATAAAAAAACAAAAAACAAAAAAACCGCGTTATCCAGTTTATTACCATTAGATCATACCCTTTTTGCTCTATTATATGTCTCCACAATTGTCCACTCTTCATCAAACCTATTAAAAAACAGTAAAGTTTAACTGTTTCTTTAGGCTTTCATTTCCTTATGTAAACATATTAAAGAAAATTGTATGCTTTATTCCTGTTAATCTGTCTTTGTCAGTTTGATTTTCAGATCCATCATTGACCCAAAGAAGGTTGAGAAAAACCTTTCTTTTCCCTTATAATCAATTGATTCATTGGCCAAGTGACTCAGTTCAATCTCCAACTCTCATACGCTGGAGGTTGGGAGGTCAGGTTGATATCATGTGGTTCAAAGCCCCAACCTTCTAATTACATAGTTGGTCTTTCTGATGACTAGCTCCCTCTTGAATCATCTTGTTAGCATAAATATAGGCACGTTTCATTAGGTTCGTGAATAACAAAGACACTCCTATCACTCAGGGTATGCCAAGGGTTTTATTTATTTACTTTTTAATTCTTGTTTTAATTTTTATTTTTAAAGAGGCAAGGTCTCACTCTGTTGCTCAGGCTGAAATGCAGTGGCATGATTATTCCTTAGCGCAGCCTTGAAGTCCTGGGCTCAAATAGTCCTCTTGTCTCAGCCTCCTGAGTAGCTAGAATTACAGGCATGCACCACCATACCTGGCTAATTTTTAAATTTCTTTTGTAGACACAAAGTCTTGCTGTGTTGCCCAGGCTGGTCGTGAACTCCTGGCTTCAAGTGATCCTCCTACCTCAGCCTCTCCAAGGGGTTTTAGAAACTCCATTCCAGGAAACTGAGACAAAGACCAGACAAATTACTTACTATAAAACACCAGCCCAGATGCTAACTCTGTTTTTTTTGTTTTTGTTTTTTTTTGTTTTTTTTTTGAGACAGAGTCTCACTCCGTCACCCAGGCTGGAGTGCAGTGGCACGATCTCCGCTCGCTGCAACCTCCGCCTCCCAGGTTCAAGCAATTCTCCTGCCTCAGCCTCCCAAGTAGCTGGGACTACAGGCGTGTGCCACCATGCCCAGCTAATTTTTTGTATTTTTAGTAGAGACGGGGTTTCACCGTGTTAACCGGGATGGCCTCGATCGCCTGACCTCGTGATCCACCTGCTTGGGCCTCCCAAAGTGCTGGGATTACAGGCATGAGTCACTGTGCCCAGCCGATGCCACCTCTTTCTCCTCAGGGTCTCCTGGGACTCCCATTCAGATTTCATCTCTCCCTTGCATGCTCCAACAGTGCAATCATAGAACTTACTATGTTTTACTATTTATCATAGTTATTCACAGGCACGCCCTTCTTCCCGACAGCCTGCAAGCTGTGAGGGCAGAGAATATCACTTATTAATATTAATCTTTTGAGGTCCCTCAGTGCCAACACTGTGGCACTGTGTTTTTTGTTTGTTTGTTTTTTCTTTGAGACAGAGTCACTTTCTGTCACCCAGACTGGAGTACAGTGGCATGATCTTGGCCCATTGCAAACTCTGCCTCCCGGGTTCAAGTGATTCTCTTGCGTTAGCCTCCCGAGTAGCTGGGATTACAGGTCCGCGCCACCACCCCCAGCTAATTTTTTTTTTTTTTGTATATTTAGTAGAGGCAGGGTTTCACCATGTTGGCCAGGCTGGTCTCGAACTCCTGACCTCAGGTGATCAACTGCCTCCCAAAGTACTGGGATTACAGGTGTGAGCCACCCCGCCCAGCCCGTGTTTTTTTGTTTTTGTTTTTGTTTTTGTTTTTTTCTGAGACAGAGTCTTGCTCTGTCACCCAGGCCGGAGTGTAGTGGTGTGATCTCAGGTCACTGCAACCTCCACCTCCCGGGTTCAAGTGCTTCTCCTGCCTCAGTCTCCTGAGTAGCTAGGATTACAGGCATGCGCCACCACGCCCGGCTGATTTTTGTATTTTTAGTAGAGAAGGGGTTTCACCATGTTGGCCAGGCTGGTCTCGAACTGCTGACCTCGTGATCCACCCGCCTTGGCCTCCCATGGTGCTGGGATTACAGGTGTGAACCACCACGCTCGGCCTCTGAATTTAATTAGGATGCTTCATTATTCTCAGAAGACTTCTTCCCCTTTCCCTTGCAATGCAGTCTTTCTTTTCTAGTGATGTGATGATAATATAAACCATTATATTCTTGAGGATTCATTCACTGTGGAGGAAACTTATAAAATCATAGTTTATCAATTAGTAATTAGATATGCGTTCAAATGCTTTAAATCAATGTAGCTGAAGCAGTTCTTTTTTTTTAAGGGAACAGTATCACAATAGTATCATTTCATTTCAGAGCTTTTTGAGCTTTTCTCAATTCTCCAATTTTAGGTAGCCCATCACTGAAGCCTTTTGGACGAATTCCTAGATTTCTTGCAAAGAATCACTAGTTAAAAAAAAGACATTCTATATAGGGTACATGCATTCTGCCATCCTTTCTTTACTTTCTTTCATTGAAAATCTAATAAGATACTGCTTTTTGAATGTTAACAAATTTGAGCTCTCAGGAATCTCCAGAGAAACCAATTCCCATACCTCTCCTAATTATGTGTGAGGTGATTTTTGAGGTGTAGGGTTGCAGTGCGGTTTAGTGAGGAGAGTGCTGAAATGGAGTGGAAATTTTGGGGTTCTAGTCCCTATTTCTCCTATTTGGTAGCTTTATGATTTGGGAGGGGACATCCGTCAACAAATATTTATTGAGCACCTATAGTGTGGGAAGCCCTATGGTAATATAATTGTAACCTAGGACAGACCTAGAAGCTTACGGTCTAGTGAGGATGGCAGACATTAGAGATAACTACAGGTAGAAGTGCTGAATTCAAGAGTGTTTTTGGAGCCTAGAAGAGAGACCTAAGCTAACCTTCTGGACTGTGGAAGGTTTGTGAATTTCGCCTTAGAGCATCGCTGCACAGGGATTGAAAGTTGGGGTTAGGTTGCTTTTACTTTAGTTTACACCGAACTCATAAACAAGCAGTGGAAGAACACTGTAAGATCAAGAACACAGGTGAATCGATGTGGCTCTCCACTGCCTCCTTGTTCCTCAGGAGCCAACCCGAGTTTGGATTTCACCACAGCTAGCATGAAGTGAAGAACCCATCCAACCAGAAGAGCCAGTCAAGGTGGTACCTAGCTTTCTACAGAAGAAAGAAATAATTGAGACTTTCTTAAAAGTTCTATAAATGAGAGCAATGATTAGGGAATAGTCTTACCAAATACACAAACAATAAACTCTTGACTCCTGGGCAGAACGCGGTGGCTCATGCCTGTAATCTCAGCACTTTGGGAGGCTGAGTTGGGTGGATCACTTGAGGTCAGGAGTTCAAGACCAGCCTGGCCAACATGGTGAAACCCCGTCTCTACTAAAAATACAAAAAAATTAGCCGGGCATGGTGGCACGTGCCTGTAATCCCAGCTACTCGGGAGGCTGAGGCAGGAGAATCACTTAAACCCGGCAGGCAGAGGTTGCAGTGAGCTGAGATCATGCCACTACACTCCAGCCTGGGCAACAAGAGCAAAAATGCTGTCTCAAAAAAACAAAAACAAAAACAAAAAAACCTCTTGAGTTTTGATCATGGAAACCACAAATTAACAGTGCACGAATACGTAGTCAGGACAGACTGCTGGAGCAAGATAATTTCAAAAGTTTGTTCATGTGTTTGGGTGAGGCAGTGGGGAAACAGACACTCTTAAACACTAGTGGTAAGAGGATAAGTTGTTGTCAGCCTTATGAAGGGCCATTTGGCAGTGCTATGAAAATCACAAATGCATGTATCTTTTTTCAGCTTTTAGGTTCAGGGGTACGTGTGCTGGTTTGTTATATAAGTACATTGCATGTCACTGGGGTTTGGTGCTCCGATTATTTCATTATCCAAGTAATAGGTTTAGTAGTTTTCCGATCCTCACCCTCCTCCCACCTTCCATCCTCAAGTAGGTCCTGGTGTCTGTTGTGCCCTTCTTTGTGTCCATGTGTAGTCAATTTTTAGCTCCCACTTATAAGTGAGAACATGTAGGATTTGGTTTTCTGTTGCTGCGTTAGTTTGCTTAGGATAATGGCCCCAGCTCCACCCATATTGCCGCAAAGGACATGATCTTGTTCTTTTTTACGGCTGCGTAGTATTCTATGGTGTATATGTAGCACAGCAAATGAATGTATCTTGTTCCCTGACAATTTCATTCTAGAATTTTATTCTATAGTAATGCCAGTGTGTGTGTATATGTCTGTGTATTTATATACACAATTATATATATATAATATAATGGCACATATTGATGTTTTATTTATTTATTTGTTGTTGAAATGGAGTTTTGCTGGTTGCCCAGGCTGGAGTGCAATGGTGCGATCTCGGCTCACCGTAACTTCTGCCTCCTGGGTTCAAGCGATTCTCCTGCCTCAGCCTCCCGAATAACTGGGATTACAGGCATGTGCCACCACGCCTGGCTAATGTTTTGTATTTTTAGTAGAGACAGGGTTTCTGCATGTTTGTCAGTCTGGTCTCGAATATTCGACCTCAGGTAGTCAGCCCACCTTGGCCTCCCATAGTGCTGGGATTACAGGCATGAGCCACCATGCCAGGCATATTAAAGTTTTTTATTGCCACATTATTTGTAGTAGCAGAAGATTGATTGGAAACAATCCAAATGTCCATCAAAAGGAAATAACTAAATAAATTATGATACATTTATACAATGGCTACTTTATAAGTGTAAAAAGGAATAAGTAGATTGTTTGTGTGTTAACAGGGAACAATTTCCAAGACATATTGCTAGGGGAAAAGAAGCGAGGTACAGCAAAGTACAGATTATGGTTTCAATTATTTTTAAAAGGAGGGGAAAGAAAAAAATATGTATCTCTATTTGCTCCTATATGCATATAGTTTCTCTGAAACAAACAAAAAAACCAACAAGAACTATGTGTGTTTAGTGGGAGAAAGGGGATTGGGGGATTTGGTTTTTTTTTTTTTTTTTTTTTTGCTGTTTGAATCACATAACTGTATTACCTATCCAAAAAATCAAGTAAAATATCTATGCCCAATTGTGCTAAAGCTATTAAAAATATGGAAATGTAATTTACCCTTCCTCTAGCATTTGCATTCTGGACCTGTTTCATTTTAAGCCATATATTTTCAAACACATGAGCGTCTATCTTTCCAGAATTATTTTCGCTTCTACTTAGGAATTGTAGCCACTCAGAGATCCATTTTGTAGCCCCTGTAGCACATGTCCTCATAATTTTCCAGAAGGAGAAACTGATATCAGTGCTTCATCATGAATGTGGCCCATCCAGTTGGAGACAACTAAAGGAATGAGGCCAGGCACGGTGGCTCACGCCTGTAATCCCACCACTTTGGGAGGCTGAGGCAGGCAGATCACCTGAGGTCAGGAGTTCGAGGCCAGCCTGGTCAATGTGGTGAAACCCCATCGCTACTAAAAATAAAAAAATTAGGTGCAATGATGCGTGGCAGTTGTCCCAGCTACTTGGGAGGCTGAGGCAAGAGAATCACTTGAACCCAGGAGGCAGAGGTTGCAGTGAGCCAAGATTGCACCACTGCCCTCCAGCCTAGGCAACAGAGTGAGACTCTGTCTCAAAAATCAAATAAAATGAAATGAAAATAAAGGAATGGGAATCATTTCCGCAAGTGCTGTCACTCCAGGCAGCACTAACTTGCGTTGCCTGTTTTCTTTGCACTTGCATTGAGGCTGGTGAGGGCTGCTGGAGAAGGTTCCTTCACTTAAGGCTCTTGTGCCTCTCAACCATCGTAGGCCTGACCACAATTGGGTCCTCACTGCAGCTTTTCCATTGTTTCTCTAATCAGTTCTTGCTTATTTTCCTCAGAGACTCTTTCAGGCCTTCCCTGCGCTATTCAAACTCCCACTGCAGTCTTCATAAGCATCTCTGCAATGCATGGCTCAGAGATGCTCATGTTAGGGTAGTAGTTAAGCTACCTCCCCTGAATGCAGTCAGTCCTCAACACTTGGCCATACTGAGGCTGTTCTGCCATTTCCCTTCCTCCTCATGCCACCTGGGAGGTCTTTTGTAGTTTGTCCCTGGCCGTTTGGCATTTCTCAGCTTAAAAGAGCTAGCCACAAGTGATGATAGGGGAGAAATTCCTGTGTTCTCATCTATGGATCACGTTCATAAAAGTCGAATGTTTATTTCTTGTTTGTATGTTCAAAGCATGGAGAGAAAACCTGAATATCTCCAGGAGCAGAAAGTTATGTGAATAAAAGAAATAAATGGGGTGGTACAGTTGGGAGTGCTGGGAATGCAGAATGTGGCATTGGTCTGTCTGCTTCTAATAACAAGAACACCCACTACCCAGGCTGCTGATTGGCATAAGTAGGAAAAACATCCCCAGGGTGGCCTGATTTTTCCATTTTTCAAGAGCAGCCCAAATGTACTTTTTTTTTGGTGAAATTTTTGAATTCTTAAGATTCTATGTGGGCCAAACTAAAATAACCTCAGGTGGCTCTGACCTGCAGTTTCCAACCTCTGATTTTAGCCATCTCTTCATCCTTGACAAACTTGAAAACCTTCTCATAATTCAAATGTTTAAATAGCCGTTGCTGTGAAATCCTGTGAGATATTTTTCAAGCTAAGTATATGATATATATTCTGTTGCTATTGTCTTCAAGATAACTTTTTCAATTCTAAAGAGATGAAATTTATTTTATAGAAACAATATTGCCTTTGCTTTAATAGGACATGATGCCTTATTTTTTAAGTATTTAAGCATTTTCAAAAGCATTTCAAAAAAAATGCCCTAGGTAGCAAACAAACCTTGGGAAGATTTGGAAACTTTCATTATAAAAAGGCTTGTAAAGGAAAAATATGCTTAGATTTTGGCTTCAGAAATGCCTGTTTTGCTCATATTCACTAATGCAAACAAACACAAAGTAAGAATCAAATGACTGTGCAGAGGTATCTGATTGATAGCTACTTTTTCTATGAAAAATCCAGCTAAATGTTTTACAGACCTTTAAATTGTCCTGAATCTAATGTCTTTTGACACATAGGCAAAATCATGCAATAGTGGCCTATGAGAGATAAACCATTCAAATAATTTAGTGCAACTCATCTATTTTACAACCCAGAAAAGTAAAGTCCTGATGGAGAAAATATTTTTATCAAAATGGCACAGTACAGTGCTAGGGCCAGGGCTGGAATTGCATTAGAACACAGGTCTCCTGCCTCTATGTCAATAGCCACCTCTTTACGCATCTATGTTTAGCATATTTTTATTGATTTTTGTTTTTATTTTGAGGCAGAATCTCACTCTGTCACCCAAGCTGGAGGGCAGTGGTGCAATCTCAGCTCATTACAACCTCCACCTCCCAGGTTCAAGTGATTCTCATGCCTCAGCCTCCCAAATAGCTGGGATTACAGGTGCCCACCGCCACACCCAGCTAATTTTTGTATTTTTAGTAGAGACAGGGTTTCGCCATGTTGGCCAGGCTGGTCTCGAACTCCTGACCTCAGGTGAGCTGCCCACCTCTGCCTTCCAAAGTGCTGGGATTACAGGTGTGAGCCATCTCACATGGCCCACATCTATGTTTATATAACACATAAGCTTATGTCATTAATAATTTTTGGAAAGCTGTTGATTGAGATATAAACATCACTGTCCCTGATTGTTCTGTCTAAATTTCTGGATACAAACCAAAGAGGTTGGGGTCTCCTAATTCGTGTTGTCTAAGAGTAAGAACAACAGAAAGAAGCGGTGGTTCTGGCAATTGTCCAGTCCTCTCTGCTCTGTAAACCATTGAACAGAAAGCAGATACCTTTATAAGAATGACAATGACGTCAGAGTTCCTCAATCAAAATAATTTTCATTTCTAGCCCTTCTTGTGCCCAGGATGAGTTTCTTGGAATGCTCTGGGTTTGTGCTCTGCTGTCATATGCTCTCGGTAAAGGATTACACAGAGCTGGACTGCATGACTTTAAGGGTGCTGTGACATGGAAGGGAAGCTGAAATTGGTGCAGAGCCACTGCGTGGTAATGCCAGTCAAGTACTTTCTTTGTCCCAGAAAATTACTAGTTTCATGAGAGAAAGTCAAAAGGGCATAACCGTCCAATGGGTTCACCTCGCCTGCTGCCTAGACAGAGCTGATTTATCAAGACAGGGGAATTGCAATGAAAGAGTAATGAAGGCAGAGCTGGCTGTGCGGGAGACTGGAGTTTTATTATTACTCAATCAGTCTCCCCGAGCATTCGGGGATCAGAGTTCTTAAAGATAATTTGGCAGGTAGGGGCTTGGGAAGTGGGGAGTGCTGATTGGTCAGGTTGGAGATGGAATCATAGGGGGTGGAAGTGAGTTTTTCTTGGTTCTTCTGTTCCTGGGTATGATGGCAGGACTGGTTGGGCCACATTACCAGTCTGGGTGGTGTCAGCTGATCCATCCAGTGCAGAGTGTGCAAAATATCTCAAGCACTGATGCTCAAGCACTGTAGGTTTTACAATAGTGATGTTACCCCAAGGAGCAATCTGGGAAGGTTCAGGCTTTTGGAGCCAGAGGCTGCGTGACCCCTAAACTATAATTTCTAAGCTAATTTGTTAGTCCTGCAAAAGCAGTCTCGACCCCAGAGAAGAAGGAGGTCTTTTCCAGAAAGGTCTGCCATCAGTTTTGTTTCAGATTCAAACCGTAAACTGAATTCCTTCCCAAAGCTAGTTTGGTCTACAGCCAGGAATGAACAAGGACAGCTTAAGGGTTAGAAGCAAGATGGAGTCGGTTAGGTCTGATTTCTTTCACGGTCATAATTTCCTCAGTTATAATTTTGCAAAGGCGGTTTCAAAAGGATGAAATGTTAGAAGTATAATAATGTTTTGTTGTTGTTGTTGTTAAAGTTAACAAATCCTTAGGCACATGTGAGATAATAACTAGCCAAGGTGCAGATAAACCATGACCGTTTAGAGGCACTGAGAGGAAAAGTTTGGAGTGTAGTTTTCGTTACTGGGTGTAGGTGACTATTTTCCTGTCATGTCTCATTCTCTTCATCTCTCAAGCTCACTCTTCCACCCGCAAAAGGATGTATCTTAATTTCCTTTAGGTAGCTGAAAAAAAGAAAAATTTCAGCCAAATTAAATTTAAAGGAGTTTAATTGAGCAATGACCCATTCGCAAATCGGGCAGCCGCTAGAATCACAGTAGATTCAGAGAGACTGCAGCACGCCACGTGGTGGAAGAAGATCTATAGACAAAAAAAGGGAAATGACACACAGAAATCGGAAGCAAGGTACAGTACGGCTCAACTGGTTACTGCTCTGCGTTTGCCTTATTTGAACACCGTTTGAACAGTCCCCAGTGTATGGCCGCTGGGATTGGCCAAGACTCAGCTATTGTTACAGACACACACTCCTAAGTTAAGTTTTCAGCCTTGCCTACCTATTAAGCTAGGTTGCAGTTCATACACAAGGTCTCAAGAAGTACGAAGTCATTCTCAGGCCATGTTGAGTTGGCTTTAACACAGGTCAAAATGAGTTCATAGGATTCAAGCTTTCTAGTCATCTCCCTTCTTGGAATCTGCATGCTAGCCTGATGACCTGTCCCTTGTCCCCACCCAGGGACTTCAGAGGGTGACAGGTTGCCATCAGTAGCTGTTTCCTATTGGGCTTAGTGTTTCCAGACATCTTCTAGTGCCGGGGAGAACTGGCAGGTCTTACACAGACCATGGAATGTGGAAGGCTGAATAATGACCCCCAGAGACACCCAGGCCCTAATCTCTGGAACCTGTGACTCTTATATCATAAAAGAGACTTTGCACATGTGATCCAATTAAGTCTTGAGTTGGGGAAATTGCCCTGGAGTTTTGAGGTGGGCCCTAAATACAATCACGAAAGGAAGGCAGAGGGAGATTTGATTAGACAGAAGAAGGCAACGGGACCACTCCAGCAACATGCTACACTGCTGGCTTTGGAGAATGAGGAAGGGGTCATGCACTGAGGAATGCAGTGGATGGGACTCTAAGAAGCTAGAAAAGGCAAGGAAACAAGATTCTTCCCTACTGACCCTGGAGTGAGTGTGGCCGTGCTGACACCCGTGAAACTGCTGCCGGGTTTCTGACCTAGGTAACTGTGACAGTATCAGTTTGTGTTGTTTTAAGCCACCACGTTTGGGGTGATTTGTTACAAAAGCCATAGGGAAATGATGCACAGGATATCCCAGCTTTTCAGAAATGTTGTCAAAGGAAATTAGAAAAAAAAACAAAACTATTGCAAAAGACAGCATTATAAATTCATAAAGAGTTACCACAAAGGGTTAATGCTAATTAAGTTTTTAAATCTCACTGAAGTGGATGATTGAGTTTTTAGAAAACTACAAATGATCACACTGAGCAAAGAGTAGGAAATCTAAAGACGGCACTAACATGCTTTGCCTGTTTTCTTTGCTCTTGCACGGAGGCTGGTGAGGGCTGCTGGAGGAAATTCCTCGACTTAAAGCTCCCTGTGCCTCTCAACAACTGTGGGCCTGACCGCAATTGGGTCCTCAGTGCAGCCCTTCCGTTGTTTCTCTAATCAGTTCTTGCTTATTTTCCTCAGGGATTATTTCAGGCCTTCCCTGCACTCCTAAAACTCCCCTACACTCCTCAAACCCCCTCTACCATTACACGTAGTAGATGGGCTGGCCTCCATTTTCACAAAGAAAATAGGAGTCCTCAGATATCTTCAATCTCTTATCCTCCAAACTGCGGACATCTTCCTTCCCCCCTCGTTGCCTTTTCCCCCTCTTATCACAAAGGGCATGTCCCACCTCCTGTTGCAGGTTAATCTTTCTATCTCTGCTCTGGACCCCATCTAGCTCTGTCTTCTCAGGGATCTTATCAATTGATTGCCTTCTTTTTCTCTTATAAATCCAACCTTTCCCTATTAACTGGCTTCTTCCTGTTAACTTTTAAATATGTCCAACACGTATTTTAAATATGTCCCCTTCAAACTCAAGTCTTCCTAGCTACCTCTTCCTTTGTTTCACAAGAAATTTCTTAAAAGAAAAATGTTAACTTATTTCCACTTTTTTACTTCTATTCACTCTTCACATGAATGTAATGTGGATCCCACTCACCTCACTTTAGTGAAATTGTCCTTGCTGACATCAACAATGAAATTCTTATGGCTAAATTAATTTCCAAGGCTCAATCCTAAATGTATGTTTTTCAGTGGGATTTGACACCGTTGCCCATCTCCTTCACTGATACCCTTTCTTCCCACCTCTATCCCTGCTTGTTCAGTCTCTTTAATGAGCTCCTCTTTATCTGACCATTTTGCAAGCATTTTTTGATTGCCTTTGGCTTTTTTCTCTTTTTATTCAGTAATAATTTTACAAATGACATCCTGTTCCTTCACTGCTAAAGTTACTATCTGCTTATGAGCCTCATATCTTTATTCCCGTGCAAGACACCCTCAACCTCAGAGTCATGTGCTCATCTTCTTACTAGAATTTCCTCCAGGTACTCTCAATGTCCAGTGGATCAGAGACAGAAGTCATTAACATGTTCATCTTTCTTTATTCCTTACCTTAGTGAATGGTGCCAAGCCAATCTAGGTATCCTTATTCTCTTTCTTCCTTAAGAGTATATCAAACCATTTCAGTGTTCTGTCAAGTTTACTTCCTAAATATGTCTCAAATCTGGGCATCCGTAATCTGTCATCTCATCCCCAGTGGCCTGATACTTTTCATTGATTCCATTGGAATCTCTTACCTGGTGTTAAGGGCTGACTGTTTGTATCTTTCACAAATTCATATACTGAGTCTTTCACCTCTAATGTGATGGTATTTGGAGATGGGGCCTTAGAGTTAGATGAGGTCATGACGGTGGGGCCTTTATGGTGGGATTAGTCCCCTTTTAAGAAGAGACACCAGGGTACACTCTCTCTCTCTCTCTGCCATATGAAGACACAGGAAGAAGGTGGCCACCTGCAATTCAGGCAAAGAGCCCTTACCGGCAACTGAATCTACTGGTACCTTTGTTTTGGACTTCCCAGCCCCCAGAACTATGAGAAAATAAATTAAGCCATCCAGTCCATGGTATTTTGCTATGGCAGCCTAAGGTACCTGGATTATCAGAATTGCCTCCCAATAGAACACCCCCATTTCCTTTCACACTAGCCAGAGTCATCTTAAACATATATCTGATCATGCTGCTCCCCTTTTATGAAGCCTTTGGAGGACATCTCACTCTTAGGATAATGTCCACAGTTCCTTAATCTTACTTACAAAGCTATGCATCATTTGCCTTCTCCTCTCACTACCTTCCTGTGCCACCTACCAACTCTAGGTCCAGTTTTGTTGCCCTTCTTTTGACTTCTTGACCATGTCATTCCCTTTTTCTTACCAGGATGACATGTATACTATTCCTTTTTTTCCTTTCATCTACTGATTATTAAATACTTCTCATCCTCCTCTGAAGGGCAACATGGGGAATTGATTAAAAGCATGAGCTCTGGAGTTCACCCTCCCTTGGCTTGTACTATGACTTGGCCACTTACTGGCTGTGTAATCTGGGGAAAGCCGCTTAATTTTTCCATGCCTCAGTTTCCTCATCTGTAAAATGAGGATAATAGTATCTACGTCATAGGATTTGTGAACTACAAAAGTCTGAGACAGGTCTCAGTTAATTTAGAAATTTAGAAAGTTTATTTTGCCACAGTTGAGGACACATGCCCATGACATAGCCTCGGGTGGTCCTAACAACCTGTGCCCAAGGTGGTCAAAGCACAGTTTGGTTTTATACATTCTAGGGAGACATGAGACATTGATCAACATACGCAAGATGAACATTGGTTCACTCTGGAAAGGTGGGACAACTCGAAGAAAAGGCGGGAAGACTTGAAATGGGGAGGGGGCTTCCAGGTCATAGGTAGATAAAAGAAAAATGGTTGCATTCTTTTGGGTTTCTGGTTAGCTTCTCCAAAGGAGGCAATAAGATATGCATTTATCTCAGTGAGCAGAGGGTGGCTTTGGATAGACTCAGAGGCAGGTTGGCCCTAAGAAGTTCCCAGCTTGACTTTTCCCTTTAGGTTAGTGAATTGGGAGCCCCAAGATTTATTTTCCTTTCACATGTTGTTGTGAGGATTTGAGTGAGTTTATATTTGTAATGTGCTTAGAGTAGTACTGACTACATCAGTGATTATTAAAGGAGTAAAATGCACCTTCAAAGTCTGAGTTTAGACATTATCTTCTCTGAGAAGTTTTTGTTCAACCTCTCTCTCACCCTCACTCCTTAGTCTGGGTGGATGTCCCACTTCTATGCTACCATGAGCACCTAGGGCTCTCCCAGCATGACATTCATCCTGTATTGTTATTGGCTGGTTGCTTTTCCATAATACCCACAAGATATACACCCCAGAAAAATAAGGAAAATATCTTTATTGTTTACACATCAATTCCCAGTGCCTAGCAGAGCATGTGGCATATATCAGTCACTCAATCAATATTTTCTGAATGAATGATTTAATGTATTATGAAATGAGTAATGAGTCATACGTACCTGTACCCTATGTTGACAGTGACGTATTTGAGAGGCCATGTCCAAACATTACTGGGAAAAATCGTGACCACATAAATTAAGAGTTTTGAAAATGACTAATATGGGTGGACACTTGAGGAACTGTATTAGTCAAGGCCATTTCCATTGCCAGTAGCAGAAAGCGTAATAACCTAATTCAACTGAGCTACAGAAAAGTGGAAACGTATTGGCTCATGTAACTGAAAAGTCCATGGATGGCTGGCTTTAAGGCCTAAACAAACTCATCAGGACCCTCTGGTGTCATACTTTCAGCTGCATCGCTCTGTGTGCTGTGCCCAGCAGCAAAAGACTGACATTATTCCTTGTTCAACCAGCAAATGACTCAGTCTATGGATTCAGAATAAGCTTTGATACAAAGACAGACAGACAGGCAGACAGATAGATAGATAGAGAGACAGGTAGATATCTCTGCCTGGGTCCCATATCATCTTCACACCAATCACCATGGCTAAGGAGATGTGATAATCTGGTTGGAGTATATTGACTAAAAAAGTAGATAGGGCCAGGTGTAGTAGCTCATGCCTGTAATCCCAGCATTTTGGGAGGCTGAGGCAGGAGGATCACCTGAGGTCAGGAGTTCGAGACCAGCCTGACCAACAGGGTGAAACCCTGCCTCTACTAAAAATACAAAAATTAGTCAGGTGTGGTGGTGCACACCTATAATTTCAGCTACTCCAGAGGCTGAGGCACGAGTATCGCTTGAACCTGGGAGTTGGAGGTTGCAGTGAGCGACGATTGAGTCACTGCACTGCAGCCTGGGTGACAGGGCAAGACTTCATTTCAACAAAAAAGAGAGCAAAAAAGTAGATATGAAAAATTGGGGTACAATTATCAGAAGAAGAATAAATGGTTGGTGGTTATGTAAGTTATCAATTTATTGTGTGTTGTCTTTTAGGTCCACGTCTGCCGTTCTTTTCCCTGCTTTGTGTTACTAGAGCTGAACCCTGCCAACATTTCTCATTATCCAGCTGGCACAATGCTGAGCTTTTGCCTGTAGGGGCCACTGGAGGCACATTCTGGGAGGAAGGGGCTTCTCATCCGGGTTTCAGTGGGCTTTCTCATTTCTTGCTTTTTTTGGTTCGGCTGCCTGCCTGCAGGGCACATGAGGGTGCTCAGCCACCAGCGAGTGTTGCTTCTCATTGCTGGCCAGTGGTTTCCTGCTCGTCATCCTTGACCTGCCTGCTGTGGCCCAGTGCCACTCAGGCTTTCTCACCTTCCGCTGAACCACAGCTGTCCTCTTAAGGATGTCTGAAACAAACCTAGTCTTGGAGAAGGGGCCCCTTCCATGTTCCTTCTTGGGCTGTTCTCATTCCTTAGCATTCTCTTGTATCTCTTTTTAGTAGTTAATTCCTTTGTTGCTTGTTAATGATTTTTTATATTAATTTTTTTCTATTCAAATTACTGGTGTGGTTTCTGTCTCCTAGCTGGACCCTGACTGACACACTAATATACATTAATATTAAAAACGTCTGGCTGGGCACGGTGGCTCATGCCTGTAATCCCAGCACTTTGGAAGGCTGAGGTGGGAGGATCACAATGAGGTCAGGAGATCGAGACCATCCTGGCCAACATGGTGAAACCCCATCTCTAGTAAAAAATACAGAAAATAGTGGGTGTGGTGGCGTGTGCCTGTGATACCAGCTACTTGGGAGGCTGAAGCACGAGAATCGCTTGAACTCAGGAGGCAAAGTTTGCAGTGAGCCGAGATTGTGCCACTGCACTCCAGCCTGGTGACAGAGTGAGACTCCATCACAAAATAAAATAAAATAAAATAAAATAAAATAAAATAAAATAAAATAAAATAAAATAAAATAAAATAAAATAAGTAAAAATCTGCTGTTGAAATATAAATACTTTTATTGTAATGATATCTACTATAGAGGGAAAGAAGAACCAAGCTTAGCATCATCAAACAAATGATAGGTCACCCAATTAACTGAACAGTTTGCAGAGTATTTTTTCAAAAAATAATAGAAACGTAGAAATGTATGAAATAATGTTAAATTTTAAAACAGATTGTAAAAATGATTATATAATATGACCTTAGCTATATTTACTAGAATGTAAGCATTATAGAGTCTAGGGTAATTTACTTATTTCTATTTTTAAAAAATAGGAATAAGTGCCCATTGCTTTTATTTTTACTATGGGAAAAATAAATTTCGAAGTGGCCAATATTGATGAAAATTAGCCCATGCTAGGGACTGTATAAATTAGGTCAGATTTGGCTGCAAGTAACAGAAAACTCCAAAATATGGTGGTCAGAACCAGATAACAGTTTCTCTTTTACATTTAAGAAGTGCCAATCACTTTTAGGTTCATAGCATATTTAAGCAGAAGGTATAGAGATTTGACATATATCCCTGCCACCACATATACACAGCCTCTCCCATGTTCAAAATTCCCTACCCCAGTGGTACATTTGTTACAATTGATAAAGCTACATTCACAGGTTATTATCACCCAAAGTCCATAGTTACAAGAGGGTTCACCCTTGGTGTTGCACATTCTTTGGGTTTAGATAAATTTATAATAACATGTAACCACCACATACCATCATACAGAATAGTTTTACCTCCCTAAAATCCTCTGTGATACATCCTATTGATCGCTCCCTCTCCCTAATCTCTGGCAACCACTGATCTTTTTACTGTGTCCAATTCTGCCTTTTCCAGAATGTCATATAGTTAGAATCTTACAGTATGTAGCCTTTTCAAATTAGCTTCTTCCACTTAGCAGTAGGTATTTAAGTTTTCTCCATGTCTTTTCATAGATTGCTAACTCATTTATTTTTAGTGCTGAATAATATTTCGTGTTGTTATTTACTGTCTTGAATAACCACAGTTTACTTACCCATTTGCCTACTAAAGGAAATCTTGGTTGCTTCCAAGTTTTGGTAATTATAAATAAAGATGCTATAAATATCTCTATGCAGGTTTGTGTGGACGTAAGTTTTTAACTTCTTTGAGTAAACACCAAGGAGCAAAATTGCTGGATCTTACAGTAACAGTATGTTCCGTTTTGTAAAAAATTGCCAAGCTGTCTTCCAAGGTATCTGTACCATTTTGCATTGCCCCCAGCAATGAATGAGAATTTCTGTTGTCCCACATTCTTGCTAGCATTTAGTGTTGTCTGTGTTCTAAATTTTGGCCATTCCAATGGGTGCATGGTGGTGTCTGATTGCTGTTTTAATTTTCATTTTTCTAATGGTACATGACATGGAACATGTTTTCATGTGCTTATTTTTTATCTGTATGTCTTCTTTGGTGAGGTATCTGCTCAGGTCTTTTACCTAATTTTTAATTGAGTTGTTTGTTTTCAGATTGTTGAGTTCTAAAAGGTCTTTGTATATTTTGGATAACAATCCTTTATTAGATATGCCTTTTATAAATATTTCCTCCCAGTCTGTGGCTTGTCTTTTCATTCTCTTGACGGTATCTTTTTTTTTTTTTTTTTTTGAGACAGAGTGTTGCTCTGTTACCCAGGTTGGAGTGCAATGGCATGATCTTGGCTCACTGCAACCTCTGCCTCCCGGTTCAAGTGATTCTCCTGCCTCAGCCTCCTGAGTAGCTGGGATTACAGGTGTCTGGCACCACACCCGGCTAATTTTTGTATTTTTAGCACAGAGAAAGTTTCACCATGTTGGTCAGGCTGGTCTCAAACTCTTGACCTCAGGTGATCCACCTGCCTTGGCCTCCCAAAGTGCTGGCATTACAGGCATGAGCCACAGAGCCCAGCCAACAGTATCTTTTGCAAAGCAGAAACTTTTAATTTTAATTAAGTCCAGCTTGTCAACTCTTTATTTCATGACTTGTACCTCTGGTGTTGTAACTAAAATGTCATTGCCAAACCCAAGGTCATCTCAATTTTCTTCTATTGTCTATGAGTTTTATAGTTGTGCACTTTACATTTAGGTCTGTGACTTATTTTGAGTTAATTTTTCTGAGGCATGTAAAGTATCTGTCTAGATTCTCTTCTTTTTGCATGTAGATGTCCAATTGTTCAGCACTATTTGTTGAAAATCTTTTTTCTGTTGTATTGCCTTGCTCCTTTGTCAACAATTAGTAGACTATACAGTCATGCATCACTTAATGAGGGGGACACATTCTGAAAAATGCATCATTTTTCAGAATTGCTTCATTAGGCAATTTCGTCATTGTGTGAACATCACAGAGAGACCTCACACAAACCTAGATGGTACAGCCTGCTACACACCTAGGCTATGTGATCTAGCCTATTGCTCCTAAGCTACCAGCCTGTGCAGCATGTTACTCTACTGAATACTGTAGACAATTGTAACACAATGGAAAGTATTGGTGTATCTAAACAGAGAAAAGGTACAGTAAAAATATGGCATTAAGAGATTAAAAATGGCATTTCTGCATAGGGCACCTATCATGAATAGAGCTTGCAAGACTGGAAGTCACTCTCGGTTAGTCAGTGAATGAGTGGTGAATTAATGTAAAGGCATAGGACATTACTGTACACTCCTGTAGACTTTATAAACATTGCACACTTGGGCTACATTAAATTTATTTAAAATTTTTTCTTTCTTTAATAGTAAATTCATGTTAGCTTACTCTAATTTTTTACTTAATAAAATTTTTAATTGGTACAACTGTCCAAATTCTTTTCTTTATATTCTTATTCTACATGCTTTCTTATTTTTTAATTTTATAACTTTTTTGTTAAAAATGAAGCCACAAACACACACATGAGCCTAGGCCTACACAGGGTCATATCATCAATATCACTGTCTTCCATCTCCCAGATCTTGCACCACTGGAAAGACTTCAGGGGCAATAACATGCATGGAGCTATCATCTCCTATGATAGCAATGCCTTTTTCTGGAATATTCTTGAAGGACCTGCCTAAGGCTGTTTTACAGTTAACTTTTTTTTTTAAGAAGTAGAAGCAGTACACTCTAAAATAATGATGAAAAACACAGCATGGTAAATACATAAACCACTACTGTAGTCACTTATGATCATTATCAAGTACAATGTACTATACAAAACTGTATGTGTTATACTTTTATACAACTGGTGAGACAGTAGGTTTGTTTACATCAGCACCACCATAAACACAGAAAATGCATTGTGCTATGACACTGTGGCGGCTGTGATGTCACTAGGTGATAGGAATTTTTCAGCTCCATTATAATCTTATGGGACCACTGTTGTTTATCCAATCCATTATTGACCAAAGTGTTATTATGTGCTGCGTGACTACTTAATGTGGGTTATTTCTGGGTCCTTTATTGTGTTCCACCGATTTATTTGTCTCTTCTTTTGCCAGTATATCGTGTCTTGATTACTGTACTTTTATAGTAAATTTTGAAGTTGGATAATGCCAGTCTTCTGACTTTGTTCTTCAATATTGTATTTGGCATTGTGGATCTTTTGCCTCTCTATGTGAACTTTAGAATTGGTTTACTTCTATGTACAACTTGCTGGGATTTTTATTGGAGTTGCATTGAATCTATAGATCAAGGTGGAAAAGATAAATGTCTTGAAAATATTGAGTCTTCCTATCTATGAAAAATACATATATGCCCTTATATTTAAGTGAAATGAATGACAGCAATGATACAAGGGATAGGAGAAGAAATTAGGATGATTTTATTATTATGACATACTCATATTTAGGGTGACATATCATTTGAAGTGAAATAGTGTTACTTGAAAATGTACTTGGATTCCTTGTAAATGTATATTGCAAATTCTGGGTAACCACTTAAAAAGGTCAAAAATGAAGTATAATGGATATGATGTTTGGCAAAAGACATTGCTTATACATTGCACAAGTTTACTGTCAAATTTTACTTAACACGCAATAACTTAATAACAACAATAAGAAGAATGATAATGACAGCAACATAGTGCCCAGAACACAGGAAGGACTGGATAAATGTTAGCTCAAGCTTGCCTAACCTGTGGCCTGTAGGCTGCATGCAGCCGAGGACAGCTTTGAATGCAGCCCAACACAAATTTGTGAACTTTCTTAAAGCATTATGAGATTTTCTTTTGTGATTTTTTTAAAGCTCATCAGCTATCATTAGTGTTAGGGTATTTTATATGTGGCCCAAGATAATTCTTTTTCTTCCTCTGTGGCCCAGGGAAGCCAAAAGATTGGACATCCCTGTGTTAGCTGATGATTCTATTCCCCTTTTCTTGTTCGCATTTCAGTGACTCAAGGTTATATTTAGAATCATCTTGTTGGATCTATGCCAATTGCCTATTGCAGTGATTTATACTTCCATCACCCTCTCAACTATTCTTTTAGTCTTTGGTTGAAAATTTTAAGTGACAGAATGCTCACAATGTCGGAGGTACATCTTGTCTATCATCAAGTGGTACACCTGGGCAGTAATCTTTGTTAGAACGTATTTCCTCTACTAACTCAAAATCTAGCTGTCTCTAATTTGTACTTAATTCTTCCCTCTGGAACAATACAAAGTGAGCTTCATGACAGCTTTAGCACTCCTAAGCCTTCTTTAAAAGGGAATAAATGTGTTCAGTCCCTAAATTCTTTGACATCTGGTGCCCTCATCAGCTTCATCTTTTGGAAACTGGAAGAAAGTTAAATTGGGCTGCAGACGAAAGTTGAAGAGATCAGGCAGAACGGGTGGGAGGACGGAGGCAAAGATGGGATTACTCACCAGGAAGGGAGAGGCGGGAGCTGAGAGAGAGCAGGCCAAGCTTTGGGTGGAAGGTGAAAAGACAGGAGACCTGGGCATTTTAAGAATGAGAAAAGAGAATTAGGAAGAGATGTCTAGTGTGGATTCTTGGAATGAACACTGTGCATCATCCTTCATACTTCTCCCTAATTTTTCATTCAGATATATTTGTTGCTAGCCAATGTTCTGGGACAAGTGATCTCTTTATGTTAAATGCAAGAGTGAAAACAGAAACTGCATGTGGAGGCCAACATCCAGGTTATGACTGCTTAGGAAAGTGCCTGATATGCTGCTTTGGGTACCAGCCAGGATTTGAAAATAAGGGAGGAGAAAGGACGAGGGAAAGGCTGAGCTGAAGTCTGTAGAGAAAGACAGCTAATGAGTACTTCTTGGTGTCGAGATTGTTCAAGTATTCTTTTTTTTTTTATTATGATTTTGAAATAATTGAAGATTCACATGCAGTTGTAAGAAACAATACAGGGAGAGGCTGGGCACAGTGGCTTATGCCTATAATCCCAGCACTTTGGGAAGTCGAGCCAGGAGGATCACTTGAGGCCAGGAATTCAAGACCAGCTTGGGCAACATAGTGAAGCCTCCAGTATCTAATAAAAAAGAAAGAAAGAAAGAATACAGAGAGATCATGTGTACCCTTTACCAGTTTGCCCAGTGGTAACACCTTGCAAAACCCCAGTACAATTTCACAGTCAGGATATGGACACCACCAATCTTATTCAGACTCCCCAGTTCTCCTTGTGTTCTTGTGTGTGTGTGTTGCTCGTGTGTGTGTGTGTGTGTATTTAATTCTATGCAATTTTATCACACAGGTGGGCTTCTAGATCCACCATCACAGTCAAGATACAGAACAGTTCCAAGACCATAAGGATTCCTCACCTTTCTTTTTATAACCACACACAGCTCTCTCACACTCCACACCTCACTGTCCCTAACTTCCAGCAACCGTAAATCTATTCTCCATTTCTATACTTTTCCTAGTTCAATAATTTTATATAAATGGAATCATGCAGTGTGTAACCACTGGGGACTAGCCTTTTTTCACTCAACCTAATTACTTGGAGATTCAACCAAGTTGTCACATGCATCAGTGGTTTGTTCCTTTGTATTTCTGAATAGTACTCCATGCCATAAATGTCCCACAATTTTTCAAATCATTCACCCGTTAAGCCTTCACCATTTCACTCACCTTTCTGCTATGCCCCATTTTCATATTTTGATCTAGGACACCTGGTTATTTCCAGTTTGGCCTATTATGAATGCAGCTGTTATGAACATTATGTACAAGTTTTTGTGTGTTTCATTTCTCTGGGATAAATGGCAAGAGTAAAATTACTGGGCTTTATGGTATTTGCACATTTAGTTTTATTTAAAAAGCTGCCAAACTCTGTTTTTCAGAGTAGCTATATCATTTCACATTCTTACAAGAAATGTACGAAAGTACTTTTAAGTACAAGAATGTTAATATTTTATTTTAAATTAATTGTCTTACTCTAAGGCAAATATCTTCGATTCCTCCACACTTTGAGTAAAGCCTTTTACATGCATGACTTCCTTAGGAAGTCAAAGAATGGGAACCAACTTCCGTGTCATTGTTGGTGGTAATAGAAAGAAGAGTAAAGTGGCAGGAAATGAAATGTGAGTGACGTTCATGGGGTGAAGGATCTGAAAGCCATGAGGGTGTAATCCCCTGAAAATTCATAGAAATCTTGGACAATCGATTGGATTTCCCAAAAGCTGAGAGGTTTCAGTGATAATGTATAAATCTCAAAGTACAGGGTATTTTCAACTTATATCTGGTTACAGCTAAAATCCAGCATACATATAAGTCTGTTTTTAAACTTTATGATAAAGTGATCGCTTTTCTTCAAATTTTTTCTGTATTTCTAACCTTATTGGTCCAAATTAAACTTAGATAATGCTCTGAAACAAGAAAAATAAAGAAGAGGTATATGGATTGTAAGGCTTGAAAGAGGAGAAGAAGTTTGCAATATTTGTACTCGATATAATCATTTGGATAGAAAAATTAACTGAATCAGCAGAAAAACGTTCAGGACAAGTGAGAGAGGTTTTCAAGTTTGTTGATAGAAGATAAACTTACAAAATTAGTATTTCTCAACAACAACAATAAAAAATAGAGATTACAACATATGATGTCATTCACAAAAGTAATGAAAGCTATAAATACACATAATTCATTCTAAACAAAGAATACATAAGAAAAAAGTAAAGCCTATTAGCTAATATAAAATATTTGAATAAGTGGAAAGTCTGTGTTCATAGTTGAGTTGACAACATTGTAAGACTGTCATTTCTTCCCAATGTAATCTATAAATTCAATGCAATCTCAATCAAAACTCCAGTTTCATGTTAGCAACTTGTAAAATTCTAAACTACATATCCAGGTATGAATAAGTTAACTTAAATAACAAAAACAAGGAGGAGGATTTATCCTACCATAGATTCAGACATATTATAAAGCAACAGAAATGAAAATAAATTTGGTACTGATATAGAAACAGTAAAAAGTATCAATGCAGTAAAGTAGAACATGGAAGGACTTGCATATAAATGCAACTTGTTATATGGTAGAAGAAGGTGCCACACGTGTGCCTGCATTCCAAGCAACTCAGGAGGCTGAGGCATGAGAATTGCTTGAACCTGGGAGGCGGAGGCTGGAGTGAGCCAAGATCATGCCACTGCACTCCAGCCTAGGTGACAGAGTAAGACTGTCTCAAATAAATAAACAAGATGCTACAAACCAATGAGGAAAGGGTAGATTATTAGTTGGTAGAATTGGGCAAAACAGACTCAGTATACAGACAAAATTAAAATTGGATCCTTACCCGTAGACGTGAACAGAAAAATTACAAAGGTAATGAGAGCAACCACAGAAGAAATGATTTTACAATTTAAGCATATACACAGATTTTTAAAAAACAGAACCAAAAACCAAACAGAAGTTCTGTGAAAAATTTATGGATTTGATTACACCACAATTAAGGATTTGTATTCAATGATTGATGCTATAGACAAAGTTAGCAAACAGTAGATAGAGGAAAGATAATTTCTTTGTTTTTAAATTTGTACTTCATGAAAAGTTGCGGCGAAAGGCAGAAGAGTTCTAGTCACATTATACTTAAACTCTAATGGGAATGACAAATATTTTATTCCTATCAATTTGTGATTTTGTTTGTTTATGGTCTGTGTGCCCAAAGGTATGCAAGGAAAACATCTTATTTATTTATTTTTTTTAATTTGAAGGTCAGGTATACATGTGCAGGATGTGCAGGTTTGTTCCATAGGTAAATGTGTGTCATGAGGGTTTGTTGTACAGATTATTTCATTACCCAGGTATTAAGCCTAGTATCCATTTGTTACTTTTCCTGATCTTCTCTCTTTTCCCACCCTTCACCCTCCGATAGGCCCCAGTGTGTGTTGTTCCCTTCTACGTGTCCATGTGTTCTCATCATTTAGCTCCCACTTATAAGTGAGAACATGTGGTATTTGGTTTTCTGTTCCTGTGTTAGTTTGCTAAGGACAATGGCCTCTACGTTCCTGCAAAGGACATGATCTCATTCTTTTTTATAGCTGCATATTATTCCAGGATGTATATGTACCACATTTTCTTTATCCAGTCTATCATTGATGGGGATTTAGGTTGAGTTCATGTCTTTGCTATTGTGAATAGTGCTGCAGTGAACATATGCATGCATGTGTCTTTATAAGAGAACAATTTCTATTCCTTTGGGTATATACTCAGTAATGGGTTTGCTGGGTTGAATGGTATTTCTGTCTTTAGGTCGTTGAGGAATTTGAGGAAAGATAATTTCTGTATCTAAAACTAAAAATAATATAATATACCAGTAACTCCTATAAATCAAAGATTGAAAATCCATAGCTAAATTGGCAAGAGATCTAAAGAGGCAATTAATAAAAGAAGAAACTTTAATTACCATCACTTCTGTTAGAAGATGTTCAAACCCAAAACCATTACCCACAGTAATCAGAGAAATGCAAAATAAAACAAGAAACCATCACTTTACACCCATCAGAATGCCCCCTCAACGAGAAGTTATTCTGTGGACATGAGAAGAAACAGGAATTTCCATGTACTGCCGGTGGATGCACAGCCTGGTGGGTGTGTAGCCTGGAGCAACCTTCCGAAGAACAATCTGGTGACGTTGGTCAAATCAAGTATGTGCATGCCCTGTGCCTTGGGAGTTTTACTAATGGGTCTATACCCCAAAGAAACTTTCAAACTGAAAGCAAATATATGAGGATGCTCATTGCAGCATTTAGTGGGCATTGGAAGCAAGCAACATAGTTGTCTATCACTGTGAGTTAATAGAGATAAAAAAGTTCCATGTCATGGGATGCACACTCTGTATGTCTCTATATAGCAAAATAGAACTTATGCGAATATGATGTACATACACATAACACTATGCATATTAAAATACTAACTAAAGATTCAGTTATGCATATTGGAAGCATTAGGGTGGTGGTCTGCAAAGGAAGGAAAGGGGAATGGAATTATAGACCAAGTGCAAAAAAGAATAAACCAATATCCGAGTGTGAGGCCTGGCATGAATCAAAGATGTGGTAAGCCATGAAACAAGTACAGTTAATTTAACACGAGATTTTTCTGTGATCCCTTTATCTTCATTTTCTCTATTCAACTCAATGCTGCTTTTTTTTTTTTTAGTTAAAATTAAGTTAAAAGCAACATTTCCCCTGATTACGTTTTTTTACTCTTTAAAACTGGTCCTTTGGCAAAGTTGTAGCTGAAAAATTCAGTGTAGAATTGATTTTTTTACACTGGATGAAAACAAATCTAAAATATTGCCTATAAAATATTAGTTGAATCGAAACATGTGTTTGTTTAAGCTCCCTAGGGCATGCCTCTCCTATGAAGAATGTCTCATGACAGTTCTCTTAAATCCTTGGTCTTTGTTTTAAGATTCTCCCCATATTTGTATAACAAGAAGAATGTGAGTTCTCCTGGAGACAATAAAATTTCTAATCTCATGGGAAAAGCATTAAAAACTGACATTTGTAATTGAATGTTAGAAGTTTTTTACCTTTTTAAATCCATAGATCAAAACACATTGAAGGTTTATGATGATGACAGCTTTTATCTTCATTTTGTTGGGTAATAAGCTTTATTTCTTTGTGTCACACCAGTCATTTTAGGATCTTAGGAGACAAACCTGTTTAGAGGATGCCTGGATACCAGCTGTGTGAAGACTGTGATGGACTATGTTTCCTACGGTTTCTTCCTCCCAATATTTCTCATGTCCTGGCATAGTGACTGTTTCTGCCTGATTACATCTGTGACAGTCAAAATGCTCCGGTTTAGATAGCAGAAGACAGTCTTTTAGATCTCTATTAGTTAACCCCTAATCTGCCTGGTACAAAGAAGCGTTTAGATTCCTTTAAAGTTTCCAAGATTCACATACATCCATGTGAACTTAGGGTTTCTTTTAAATAATAAATAGGTTTTCCAAATTCAAGATTTGAAAATTTCAAAAATTTTTTTTCACTAACTTTTAAAAAATGGGAAATCTGGAGTCCTTAATGACGACAACATCAGTGACATGAAGGGGATGTTCTGACCACACCCATGAGTCCCTCACCACAGTTTTTCATTTTCAGGTACCTACATCTTAGATCTCTGTATTTATTTCTCTGAAGGGAACCTCCTCCACCTGTTATGAGTGCTCTCCTGGATTTTGTTCACCAAATGTGTATATTTGAGTTTGTTACCAACAACAGGTTCTTGGGATGTCAATGCAGTAAAAATTAAAAATTGACATGAGGCCAAGAGAGTTTTCCCAGATAAGGCTTTACTGGAGCCCATAAGGGAGACAGCATGAGAGAGAGAATTCCCTGGCTGCCCCCACCACACTGAAAAGAATTGGAAGGGATTTTTTTATTACACATAGTGCAGGAATTGACACCAGGGGTAAGGTAAGCAGGCTGGGCTGGAGGTTTCTGGGAGGATATTTTAGATGAGATTAACATTTACACTGGTGGACTTTTAATCCTTTTAGTACAGCAGATTGCCCTCCATAATGTGGGTGGGCTCATCTAATCAGGCCTGAATAGGGCAAGGAGTCGGGCCTCTTTCCTGCAAGAGAGAATTTTTCAAACACTGCTTTCAGACTTCATCTGAAACATGGACTCTTCCTGGCTCTATAGCAGCTGCTTTTGGACTTAAACTCTGTTCTCTGAATCTCCACCCTGCAAATTTCAGACTTGCCAACCTCTATAGTCATGTGAGCCAATTCCTTATCACAATTCTCTTTATATATATATAGGGAAGCTGGGGCTCACAGAAGACACACAGCCAGCATGTGGGAGAGAGAGGATCCAAGTTCAAGTCCAGATATGCCTGGCTTCAGAGCCTAAGCATTCACTCACTTTTCTCTTTGGCCTCATGAGAAGCTGAAGCATGAGAGAGTGATAGCTGTAGAATTATACGGCTAATATGTACAGACTTTGTGTTCTAGCTTCCAGCTCTGGCTTAGACTCCATCTCACAATCTCTATGATGTCTTGCTAGCATGTTCCTTTTTTCTGGCATTTTGTTTGGAGATAGAGCAAGTGCCAATTTAGTAAGGAGGTTCCCAGTGCACAGCAGTAGGGATGATTCAGTCCTCCCCTGATTGATAAGAACTATGAGTGGTGATGGACTGTATTACCTGGGAGGCAGCACCCCCCCACCCCCGTGTCCTCTGCCACCTGTATAAACAAACAGTGGAAGCTGCTCTTAGGCATTTCAGCAAGATATGTGGCCTCTGTGAGGTTATCAGCAAAATAATATATTTGGTTTTCAAATCAAGGCATCTGTAAAAGCCAATTTGTCAGACTAATAAATTCAATTTTGAGTCACAAAGCCCTGCAAGAGGATTGGAGCTTTGAATTCTTATTTTTAAATGTTTCATCTCCAGCCCTGAAAGGAAAAGCCCTTTCCTCCTGCTCAAGGGTAAGATTGTCTCATTCTTCTGATTCATATTCATCTTTCAAGATACAAGGTTTTTCATAGTTCTTTTCCTTTTGAAAGTGGGCGTCTTTTTATCTCAGATTTAAACAATAACTCCACATCCCAGCGCTTGACTGTTTCTGGAAATCTATTTAATTTCACAAAACAAGTTACCAAAGCATGCAGACTTAACCAATTTCCATTTTAATAGTATCATCTCTACTTAAGTTTGGATTTGGATGAATATAGACCACTGTCTGGAACATTCGGAATTTCTAACAGTGCTGCTTTGTGGAAAGGATACCTATTTGACCAAAATGCTTTTAATTTCAGGTCCATTTTTGGAATATGAAGGCAAAAATATAAAATTTGAAAATCACCTCTTTCCCCATTGCTTTGGGTTTGTTAGAAAAACGGATGAACAGGATCACAAATACCAGAAATTGCCTACACTAAGGAAACAGCAAGAAACTCATTTTGGGTAAAGATTTATGAGGTTTGTGAGACCTCAAGGAAGTTGCTGAGGCCCATCCATTACCTGTAGGCTCAGTGGCTTTTTTTCCTGCCTCCTCTGCTTTGCCTAAAATTTTGGTGAAATATGTCTTACCCCAGATCACATGTGCTCAGCTATTAAATTCTCCCTCGCTCCTTTAAGAAAAAGGATACCATGGATTGTTTATAAGCTCTTTTCTTTTCTGTCAGGGAGCAATTCAGTACTCAAAAGAAGACGTTTCCATGATTTTTAAAAAGCTTTTCCTTTTTACCTTGCTGGGGCTTCCTGAACAATGGGTAGGTGAGGGAACTTGCGGTCAGTTCAAATCCTTGTTCTACAGTTTACTAGCTGGTTTAAGATCAAGCTTTCAGGTTCTCTAGCCCTCAATCTTCTCACCTTTGCAGTAGGTGTACTGATACCTCCCAGGATGGTTTTGAAGGATGAATAAGTTTGCACTTACAAAATTCTTGGCACAGTGTCTGTCATAGCAGGTCTCGAGGAAAGGTACTGGTATCCCACAAAGCACATTCATGTACATTATCTCACTTTACCTTTACAGTATTCCTATAGGTAGGTGCATCACCTTCCACTATTCCGTTTGTAGAGATAAGAAACTTAGCCAGGTAGTGTTAAATACAGTGCTCAAGGTCACAAAATCAGTAGCAGATATAATATGACATCTCAGATGTCTTGGTTTATTAATGTGATGTCTCTCTTTCTGAATCCTTTAACTGGGATAAGAGCGTGGGCCTCTGGAGGAAAACCCATCAGCTCTGACGCACTAAACATAATTTTCTCTACCCAAAAAGGTAAATGCCAATGAACACAGATTTGCAAAAGTGAAACTAAGTCTAAGTGTCTAGTATGTTCATCTTGTGGTTTTTCAAGGTTTCACTTGTAACCAATTAAATTCTGCTTCTCATTTTCTTCCCTTGGATTGTGTCTCCCTATGACTATGTGTGTCTCTGTGTACACCTTTTCCTCTGTGCTTTTCTTTTTGTGTATGGTGTCTTAGTCCATTTTGGGTTGCTATAAAAGAATACCTGAGACTTGGTCATTTATAAAGAAAAGAGGTTTATTTGGCTCATTGTTCTGCAGGCTCTCCAAGCAGCATGATACCAGCATCTGCTTCTGGTGAGGCCTCAGGAAGCTTCCAATCATAGCAGGAAGCAAAGGGGGAGCAGAAGTGTAACTTGGCAATAGAGACAGCAGAGAGAGGGGAGGAATGCTAGCCCCTTTTAAACACCTCACTCTTGGAGGAACTATTAGAGTGAGAACTCATTCACCTCCAAAGGAGGGTGTTAATCCATTCATGAGGGAGCTGTCCTTGCAATCCAAATCCCTCCCACCAGGCCCCACCTCTAACATTGAAGATCAAATTTCTTTTTAAAAAAATTTTTTTTGTTTTTGTTTTATTTCTTTTTTTAAAAAAAAGAACGGGATACATGTGCAAAATGTGCAGGCTTGTGACATAGGTATACATGTGCCATGATGGTTTGCTGCACCTATTGACCCATCCTATAAATTCCCTCCCCTCACTCCCCACCCCACAACAAGCCCTGCTGTGTGTTGTTCCCCTCTCTGTGTCCGTGTATGTTCAATGTTCAACTCCCACTTATAAGTGAGAACATGCGGTGTTTGGTTTTCTGTTCCTGTGTTAGTTTGCTGAGGATGATGGCTTCCAGCTTTATCCATGTCCCTGCAGAAGGCATGATCTCATCCTTTTTTATGGCTGCGTAGTGTTTATGGCTGCATGGTGTATATGTACCACATTTTCTTTAGAGGATCAAACTTCAGCCTGAGATTTGGAAAGGACAAATATCCAAACTATACTGTATGAGTTTTCCTGATATTGACCCCACATTCTATCTTCCTGTCTCACTCCCTCGATGAAAAGAAAATTTGTATGTGTATCTTTGATTCACAAAATAGGCACAAAATATCTATGAACTAAAGCGATGAATAGATTCATAATTTTTAGAAATCCCTCCCTCCTTTAAGAAAAAGGATACCATGGATTGTTTATAAGCTCATTTCTTTTCTGTCAGGGAGCAATTCAGTACTCAAGGAAGATGTTGTCATGATTTTTAAAAAGCTTTTGCTTTTTACCTTGGGAGTAGACTTGGGAGAGGAAAATTAAGAGACAGATACAGAAAGAGAGAGAGAGAGAGAATGAATGTGCCGGGTAAGACATGGATAAGATGAATAAGACCTAGTTCTCACCCTCAGTCAATTTATAGTTAAGTAGTGGGAATAACTCAGAAATATCTGAAATCCTGAAACTCTTTTGTGTGTTCAGCTCTTTATCAAATGCTCCTAGATTAGACAGAGGAAATACAAGGCATATTTGTTGTCCTCAAGGGGCTTATAATTTAATTGGGGCCATATCTTAAAATGACAGCGAGTATGGTTCTGGCTTTCAAGGAGCTTGGGGATTTTGTTTATTGATGAATGAGTGAGTTCATTTAATGAGCATTCACTGAAAGCCGATTGCCGGAGAGATTCTGTGCTGTATTCTGGGGATGCTGGGTGCTCCTCAGAATTCTAATAATCTTTTTTTGCACGGGGCTCATATTCAAGAAGAGTAATCTGGTGGGAAAAACACATTGAATAAGGCAGAGATTAAATTTTTTAGAAGAGTTAAGCTGTAAGCTGCTTCAGATCTAATAATGAGGAAATGTTCCCTAACACTGGTCTGTTCTCAGAAGAATTGTTTGTGTGACCCTCCTTAGATATGCAAGTGTCAGGCAAGTAGGCCTTAGAGAAAAAATATAATGGTATGTAACTGTGACTTGACAAACACTGCTATACACACATACACGGACGGACACACACACAGAGTCTTTTGGGAGGCACATGGGTCTGGGAGTTCCAGTGGAAATTTGACCTCACATTTGAGGGACTTCTCAAAGATTAGGGGTGTAGAACACAGATCCCACCCCTGCAATTTAAAGTCAGTGATGGGAGCCTTTGATGGGAGTCTTGTCAACAACTGCTGGTAGAAAAGAACCCCAAAGAACTTGAAGGAAACAATGAGGAGTTCGAGTTGGTGATTCAAACACACACTCATGGCCTGAGGGTCCCTGCAAAAGGAATGGTTCGGGTACATATGTGGCTGCTGTTGAAAGTACCTGTGGGTGCACCCATTCTAATGCAGTGATTGTTCTTTGGGGAACTATGGCTGAGGAAGGGAATGTGAACCAAAAAAATAGTTAGACCTCAGTGCTCATTGTGGAGCACAACTATAGCCTGAAAAAGTTGTAGAGCACCATACACCCAGCATTAGGTAAACATTCTTCAGGGCAGGACATATATATATATATATCAGACAGAGTTTTGCTCTTGTCACCCAGGCTGGAGTGCAATGGTGTGATCTCAGCTCACTGCAACCTCTGCCTCCAGGGTTCAAGTGGTTCTCCTGCCTCAGCCTCCTGTGTAGTTGGGATTACAGGCACCCATCACCATGCCTGGCTAATTTTTTTGTTTTTTTTTTTTTTTGTATTTTTAGTAGAGATGGGGTTTCACCATGTTGGCCAGGCTGTTCTTGAAATCCTGACCTCAGGTGATCCTCCCACCTCAGCCTCCTGAAGTGTTGGGATTACAGGTGTGAGCCACTGCACCTGGACGGCAGAGCCAGTCTTGAACTAGGATATGCATATGAGGGAGGGTAAATATCTCCAAAATTAGTAAATTAGACTCTAGATTTTTCTTCATGGTATGTTCAGAAGCAGAGTTGCATTCAAGTTAAAATTAAGGCATAAATCACTAGTTTTAAAACTAGGGTATGATGTATAATTTCTCATTTCTTCAGGTTAGCGAAAATGTAAAAGCTCAACCCACACTTTGTTGGCAAGGCTATGGGGCTACAGGTACTCCCATAAGAAGCTGTTGAGAGTGCAGAGTGATATAGCCCTTATGGAGGGGAATTCGGTTCTGTCTAATAAACTACGCATGCATTTTCCCTTTGCTATAAGAAAACAAAATGGTCATTTCCATCACTTTCTCTGATAATTCCATCATCTCTGTCATCTTGGAGTCATTCTCCTGCTCCTTGGCATGTCTAGTAATTTTCAGTTGGGCATTGTGAAACTTACATGGTTGAATGGTTGATCATCTAATTTTGTTGTCTTCCTTTAAAGAGTGCTAGTTTTTGTTGCTAGGTAGTTAAATTTCCAGTTTGAGCCTTTTTTTTTTTTTTTTTTTCTTTTGAGATGGAATCTCGCTCTGTCGCCCAGGCTGGAGTGCTGTGGCGCGATCTCGGCTCACTGCAAGCTCCGCCTCCCGGGTTCACGCCATTCTCCCGCCTCAGCCTCCCGAGTAGCTGGGACTACAGGCGCCCACCACCACGCTGCAAATTTTGTTTTTGTATTTTTAGTAGAGACGGGGTTTCACTGTGTTAGCCAGGATGGTCTCGATCTCCTGACCTCGTGATCCACCTGCCTCAGCCTCCCAATTTGCTGGGATTACAGGTGTGAGCCACCACGCCCAGCCCAGTATGAGCACTTTTGAGGCTTGTTTTTATGCTTTGGTAGATCATATCTAAAATAGCCTTTACTCTAGGGATAGTTTAGCCCTATTACTTAGGCATGGTCCTCTGGTTATTCTGCTGAATGATCAGAGAGATCATGAGGACTCTCCATTATTGCCAGTGGGAATTCAAATGATTCCCAGCCCTGTGTAATCTCTGAGAGCTATGGAACTCCCAGCAACACAGCTGGGGTTACTCTTTGCCTTGTGGGCTTTTACCCTATGTATATACATCATGGTATTAGCAAAAGATTAGAGAGGATTCCAATGAAGATCATTGGATCTCTTTTCCTGGCTGTTTCTTTCTTCTCTGAAAATCTGCCCTGTAACTCCCAGTCATCTCCCTGAATTCTGAAATCTCTCTCTGCTTGGCAAGTCCATGGTGCTCTGTTTGGGATTCCCCTTCACTGTTTCGTGGTCTACAACATGCCCCTGGCAGAGAGCCGAGGTAATCATGGGACTCACCTTATTTGTTTCACTTCCCTCAGGGATCTCAGTCCTGTGTTGCTTGTGGTTCAATACCTGAAAACAGTGGTTTCATATTGTATTAGTCTGTTCTCATGCTGCTGATAAAGCTATATCTGAGACTGGGTCATTTATTTAAAAACAGAGGTTTAATGGACTCATAGTTCCACATGGCTGGGGAGGCCTCACAATCATGGTGGAATGCCAAAGGCACATCTTTTAATTTTTTTTTTTCCCAAGGCAGAGTCTTGCTCTGTCACCCAGGCTGGAGCGCATTGGCATGATCTCGGCTGATTTCCACCTCTGCTTCCCAGGTTCAAGCGAGTCTCCTGTCTCAGCCTCCCGAGTAGCTGGGATTACAGGCACGCACTACCACGCCTGGCTAATTTTTGTATTTTCAGTAGAGATGGGGTTTTGCCATGTTGGCCAGGCTGTTCTCAAACTCCTGACCTCGTGATTCATCCACCTTGGACTCCCAAAGTGCTGAGATTACAGGCATGAGTCACTGTGCCCAGCTAAAAGTCACATCTTACATGGTGGCAGACAAGAGAGAATATGAGAGCCAAGTGAAAGGGGAAAACCCTTATAAAAGCATCAGATCTAGCAAGACTTTTCACTACCATGAGTATAGTATGTGGGGAACCTCCCCCATGATTCAGTTATCTCCCACTGGGTCCCTCCTACAACACGTGGAAATTACAGGAGCTGCAATTCAAAATGCAATTTCAGTGGGGACACAGTGAAACCATATTGTATATATTTGTATGTTTTTTCCAGTTTTCTAGTCATTTAAAGTGTGACGGTAACTCCAGTGCCTAATATACTCCCTCATATCTAAAAGCCAAATATGTATATAACATGTAATATTTCCTAGCTCTGTCCATTTTAAGGGTCTAAAAGCAATGACATCCCAGTAGCAATGAACATGGTTATTGCCCAGATTCTCTTTTCTAAATATCACTCTCAGTAAAAAACAACAACAATGGCAGAAAAGAAAAGAAACAAAACAGAGTTCCTTGGACAAATGTCTGATTCCAGATCTGAGGCAGAGAAACTACGAAGTGATCATGGTACACTTGGTGTCTTCCCCAAAGTAAGAAGCACTAAAGAATGAATGGAATGTATCAAAAGGACACAGAGCCAGTTTCAAAGAGCTATCACTGGGTTGTCCCAAATTTGAGAATCTGGACATCACAAACAATAATGATGATAATTGGTTTTAACATATCGAATAAAAGAAGAATCCGTGAATTCATGGCAATACTAAAAGAAAAGGGTGGGGTAGGGAGTGAGGGTAAGCATTTATTGACAGAAGAATGATGGTTGATGAATGTGAAATAAATGATAGAATTTGAAAATTATCATTTTCAGCCACTAATGTAATAATTGACTCTGGCAACTTCATTAATAAATGTTAAAACCATTGGGTTAATGGCCAGGTGCAGTGGCTCATGCCTGTGATCCTAGCCCTTTGGGAGGCCGAGGTGGGTGAATCACCTGAGGCCAGGAGTTTGAGACCAGCCTGGCCAACATGGCGAAACCCCGTCTCTACTAAAAAGACAAAAATGAGCCGGGCATGGTGGCAGGCACCTATAATCCCAGCTACTCGGGAGGCTGAGGCAGGAGAATTGCTTGAACCTGAGGGACGGAGATTGCAATGAGGTGAAATCATGCCACTTCACTAAGGCCTGGGCAAAAGATCGAAACATTGTCTCAAAAAAACAAAACAAAACAAAACAAAAAAACATTGGGTTAAAACTTGATGGGTAACAGGGTATTCACATATTTTTCAAAGTACTATACCACAGAATATTAGTTAATGAACAAAGGGAAAATATCACCTTTGTGATGGAGAGAGCTGGTAGATGCTAAATTAACCAAGTAATTAAACAGCATCACCAGTAAGAAAACCAGTGCCTTCTATTAGTGCCTTCTAATGTGAAGCATTGAGAAAGACACTATATCAACCTAAGTAGTTGCAGGAAATCATTTAGTTTGAATCTAATCACAAGAAAACAGACAAATCTAGAATATGAGATCTTCTATAAGAAAACTTGGCTGTATCCTTCAAAAATATAAATGTCAAAGGGAAGAAAATAAAAGAAAAAAATCTGCACTCTGGGAGGCCAAGGCAGGTGGATCATGAGATCAGGAAATCGAGACCATCCTGACTAACATGTTGAAACCCTGTCTCTACTAAAAATACAAAAAATTAGCTGGGTGTGGTGGCATGTGCCTGTAGTCCCACTTACTTAGAAGGCTGAGGCAGAAGAATCGCTTGAACCCGGGAGGTGGAGGTTGCAGTCAGCTGAGATAGCGCCACTGCACTCCAGCCTGGGCAACAAGAGCAAGACTCCGTCTCAAAAAAAAATAAATAAATAAAAAACAACAACAACAAAAAACACCTCAGCAGTAATAGACATTAGTGGGACAGTTAGGGAAAATTAAACATAGACTACAATATTACTGTATTACTGTAAATTTTCTTAAGTTTGATCCATAGGAGAATGTCTTTCTTCTGTTCTTGATACACGCTGAAGTATTTAAGGGCAAAGTGTCACAATGATTACTTTCAAATGACTCACCAATCACAGTGTTAGGTGGATAAATAAGTGAGTGTGATTTTCCAGGCCTGGATCAGGTGCTTACATACCTGGGGCTAGAGTCAGCCCCACAGAGCCAAATATCCTGAGGGCGAAAGCTACCAGGAAGAAAACTGGACAACCAAATAGATGTTCACTACTTAGAGAATGAATATTCAGTTTGATATTTCACCAAGATCCCTCTGGAGCGGTACAAAGGATGGAAAGGAGAGTTAAAATTAAACGGAGGAACCCTGGTAAGGAGGTTGTTAAAGTCATCTAGGTGGAATAAAGTGGACATGAACCACGGTAGTGGTAATGGGTATGGAAGAGAGACAACAGATTTGAGCCGTAATTAAAGGCTACTGAAGGTGTTGGTGATTAATTGGTGGTCTCTCAGGATTTTGTGCATATATCACCATGAGGTCGGAACCAGGAGTGTCTTTTCATTGTTTTATTCCCAACACTTGGAACAAGGGTTGGTGTCCAGTATGTATCTAATGAATAGAAGTGCTAGGGCCAGTCAGAAGGAGTAGAGGCTAGGTTAATTTCAAGTGGAGAAATCTAGGAAGACTTCTTAAAAGAAGTGTCACTTGAAATATGAGTGGGATATTGACATACCACTAGCTAGTAAATAGGTACTTCTGAGAGGTGGCATGGAATGATGGGTAAGAATAGGGTTGGGCAGAGAAATGTATACTAGAGCTGACCACAACCTGCCACAGGACCTCAAATAAGTCATATCCCCACATCAAGCGTCTGTTTCTTCATTGTTAAAATAAGGAAGTTGATTCATGTGTCTTAAGGTTGCTCCTAGCTCTAATATTACATCTGTGTTTAAATGATCTGGGATGTCATCTCTGTCTGTAGAAGGTAGACTCAGCTGAATCAGTGACATTGTTTGGTTCACAGTCATTTGTTGAACTTAACGAGAAGGAGATTAAAGCTGAATGAGGCTAGTCTCTGATCATGAGAAAACTGAAATCCAGGAAAGTTGGACAAGCTCTGGGCCATTTCCTTAAATCATGGTCTCCCCACTCTCAGTCTGTTTCTTATTCCACTACGTCACTTTAAGGTCAGATTTTAGGAGACTTTGACAGAAAAAAGAGTTAATCCTCATTCTGTAGTTAAGAGGCAAGGAGTGAGGATTTAATTTCTGGAGGAAGAGCACACCGTGATTCAAGTTACTGTGTTAATGTGATCATATATCCCATACATGTGTTTCTGAGTTTTTGAAGTTAAAACAATGTTGATTTCTTTCTAATGTATTCCTTTCTTTCCTTTATCTTACCCTTTTTTTTTAGTTCTAGAATAATTGCTTTCTGAAGGGAAAATGCCGAGGAGTATTAAAGGATAAAATATTGGTCACTGAATGATTTAGGTGATGTATTACATGTAAGAAATGTTACTATATTAAAAGTCCCTGGGGAGCCCTCTCACCTTCTCTGGCCTTTATTCAAAACAAGGAATAGAAAGGTCTTACATGATCGAATGGAATCTCTCAGGGTGAATCACATCTATAAAAATATTTTCTGGTATTGGAGGAATAGGATATCATAGGCAGAAAAAAATGATATAAGCAGAAACAGTGGGATACAGAAATCAGATGAAAAGAATGCAAAATGTTCTAATCTATTTCATGCCATAAACTCCTTTCCCATGATCAGAGAAGGTCAATCTGGCCCAGAGAATAAATCTGATCTTGACAGTGGAATTGTACCAAGTACCTTACTAGCTCAAAAGATGGTGCATATATCACCATGAGGTCGGAACTAGGAGTGTCTTTCCATTGTTTTATTCCCAACACTCGGAACAAGGGTTGGCGTCCAGTACGTATCTAATGCATGGAAGTGCTAGGGCCAGTCAGAAAGAGGAGAGGCTAGGTGCAAATTTAATGAGACAAATATTGGTTTCTCATCATCACATTAACTTTGCTTAGCTGTATGACTGCAGAATTTGCCCTGACCTTGCACCCACTGTTTGAAAATGTTATAGATCCTAGTAGTCCAGACAAGATTATGGATTGAAAACAACCCAAGGATGTTTCCCAACAACGGGTTTTTAACCAACGTCTTCACATTTGTTTGGTTTCCTGTTTCCTTAGGTACGAGACATATTTACTGACCATTTCCTCCTTTTGTTGGCAGAAACCTTTACTCCCCCACCTCATTTTCCTGTCCCATGTATATTCCAGACTGGAATCCCAAACACTGACTATGACAAAACTTTTTAACCAGCAGAGTTCTCTGAGATCAGAAGTCAGAAAAAAGACCTTTAGAAACCGAACAGACATTTAGGAAATATTAGTTGGTTTCCTACTTAGTTTCACCAGTAAGAGGTGCTGGTGGGGAAATAGTAGACAGAAGATGGAGAGAAGCTGTAGTTCTCTCTCTTGCTCTTGGTCTCTTCCTTCTACTGCTGTCTTATTTACTTCTTTTTCTGGAAGCATCTCCTCCAATCTCCTGGCTCCTGAGGCCCTCTTAGTTTCCTCTAGCCCTAAGGGTGGTGCCTAATCTCTGAGTTATGTCATCTTCTCCTTTTTAATGCTTCCACTTCTCCAGCTGGATGGGAAGGGGCTAGAAATGGAGACGAGTGGGCACACAGGTTTATTTAATTATTTAACATTATTAATAGTCCAATCCCCTATTGAGGGGAGGGACTACACATGCTCATTGTAATAGCATGCGTAAGTCGAAATACTGACCATAATTGTTTAGTGAAGCTGTGTGTAATTTATCAATAATATGATTGCATTCCTCTAAATTCCCAGTTTGAAGGTCCATTTAGACAATACGGTCTGGAATAGCAAACTTAGCAGGCTCCAAACTACCCAGACAACATGCTAACTAAAGTCTGAGACGGCTCAGTGAGTGACATCCTAACAAGAACCCATGCTACAAAATTACTTTCCAAAAAGACTGATTGAAAAAAAAATTTTTTGAGTAATATACAATTAACGTCAGAAAACGAACACCAAGATTTCACTTGTAACCATCTGCATCCTAGTCATGATTACAGATTTTACATCTCTCACCCTCTTCCTCCTTTTCTACACATTTTCCCCAGCGGCTGCTGGTTGATCCTCTATCCCCAAGGCCCAGGGCTTCCACAGTGCCCTTGGGTTACTCACAGTTTCTCAAGGAAGTGATTCACCTGAGGCCTGTTTCTGCAAAGGTTTATCTGGATTTTTATTAAAAATATAAACAATGTTGTCTGTAAATTATACTTAAATAGGGTTCTTTAATTTTCAAAGGACGTTTTCCTATCTTTATTTATTTATTTATCTTTTTTAGAGACAGGGTCTTGCTCTGTGGCTCAGGCTGGAGTGCAGTGGTGCAATCATAGCTCACTGCAGCCTCGACTTCCTGTGCTCAAGTGATCCTCCCACTCCGGCCTCCCAAGTAGCTGGGACGACAGGTGTGTGCAACCAAGTTCAGCTAACTTTTAAAATTTTTTGTAGAGATGGGTTCTCTCTCTGTTGCCCAAGCTAGTCTTAAACTCGTGGCTTCAAGCAATCCTCCTGCCTCAGGTTCCCAAAAATGTTGAGATTACAGGCATGAGACACTGTGCCCAGCCACATTTTCATACTTTATTTTACCCATCCCTGGGAAGCAAGGTAGAGCACATTACCCCCAGCCCCAAAGCCTTTAGGGATGGATGCCCTATTATGGCACCCCTGAAGGCTTTGGGGCTGAAGGTAATGTGAGGAGATCCGGAAAGAGGCAGCTGGCTGCAGGAAGATACTGGAGTGGGGAAGTCAGTGGGGACTGTCCTATGACAGTCCAGGAAGTTGAAAACTGCCTCAAGTAGGGTGGTAGCAACAGGAATCTGAAGGAAGAAAGTAATGCCAGGAGCACTGTGGTGGTTGAATTGTCAGGACCTGGTGATGGATTTGATATTGAGGTAAAGAAAAAAGGTAGAACTTAAAGGCAACTGCAAAATTTCTGACTGTGGGTGACTAGGAGACGATGATGCTATGGGTAAAAAAGGTTCCATTAGAACAAACAGCTGGCTTGGGGAGCAGGTGCATGAACAGTTGGGTTTTGGACAAGATCTGGCAAGACACTCAGGTGTGGAGGTCTACAGGACAGTTACAAATGAGGCATCAGAAATTGGGGAAAACTTTGAAGCTCGAGATATAAATTTGGGGTTTATCTGCCTCAAAGCAATTACTTAAGTTCTGGGTAAGAATGAGAGGGTCAGATAAAATGTCTGTTATAGGGCACAGAACAGTTATTTCTAGGAGGAGTACACTGGTGGAAGTACTCATGAAAACTTTTCTGTACAGCATAGAATTAAGATCATACGGCCTGCTGGATTTACTGTTGACATTAAAATGAACAAGTGTATCTGTTCTCCTTAGCCTTCAATGATTTTAAAAATAGTCATAACGCCTGGATAATTCCTTGAACTCTACACACTTAACTTTGTACAAAATAACTATGCAAAGTTGGATAATATTTTTGCATGATGACATTAAAAGTAGTAATTATATGGTTCGGTGATATTTTTAGAAATCATAAACATTCCTCCTTTTTGCATATACAAGGAAAACCAAACCAATGCCAGGAATTTGGAGTCTATACAAAGTTAAATAGATCCTATCCAAAAACTACTTATTCAGAAGGAAAACAAATGAAGATATGGATTAAGACAGCATTTCTTATTGCTTTATTCAGGCAGAGAGCCAAGCACATAGCTGTGGTCATCTGCAAAACATCATTTAGGCAGAAATAGAAAGTTGAGGGTCTAAGAGACCCTCCTGCTACCTTGCTTCTCCTTACCTGATGCCCGAAACGCTCCTGTGTGCTTAATACATGCCCTCTTTTTCAGCAGAGTTTCTCAACTGTGGCCATTTTGACATTTCAGGTCAGAGAATTCTTTGTAGGAGGCCGACTTGTGCACTGTGAGATGTTCTGCAGCATCCCTGGCCTCTACCCTCTGAATGTCGGTAGCACTTCCCCACCCCCAAGTCGTGTTAACCAAAAACATCTCCAGACATAGCCAAATGTCCCCTTGGAGGCAAAATCAGCCTGGTTGAGAACTACTGCCTTAAAGATAAACGCCACTGTGAGCTGTCATTTGGTCTCTTTCTGATGAAAGGAACAGGGAGAGCTGGTCTGGCTAAAGAGAAGGGAAGACTGAACAGCAAGACTCAGGGAGAGTTTACAGAGGCACCTACAGAGAAGGTGATAAAGAGAAAGTGCAGAATGGTTGTAGATAACAAGAGAACGAGCATACACTTTGCCAAGGATGTTTGCTATATGGGGAGCTTGCCACCCTACAGTGATATGGCTCAGTGCTGGCTGGGGCTGCCGGTGGCATATTTATAGGCAATGCTGCTTTGTGTGTGGCAGATGTTATGAGCTACCTTTACATAACCTTAGCTTGCTTTGGGTGGACTGGTGGGAATTTTGTGGCTCATTTGGGTGGCATTCACTGAAGTATGAAGTTAGAATTGCAATCACTGGAACTGGACTGCCTGGGTTTCAAATCTCAGCCATGCCACTTAATAATTATGCCTCTCTGACTATCTGTAAAATAGAAGAACCCTTATATGTGCTAAGTCAACTCAAGGTGCCACAACAAAGCACCACAGGCTGGGTGGCTTAAACAACAGACATTTATTTTCTCACAGTTCTGGAGACTGAAAGTCCTAGATCAAGGTCTGGCAGCGTTGTTTCTGGTGAAGGCACTCTCTTAGTCCATTTGTTTTGCTATAAAGGAATACTTGAAGTTGAGTAATTTACAAAGAAAAGAGGTTTATTTGGGTCATGGTTCTGCAGGCTGTACAAGAAGTATGGCACCAACATCTGCTTCTGATGGGGACCTCAGGCTGCTTCCACACATGGTGGAAGGCAAAGGGGAGCTGGTGTGTGCAGATCACCTAAGGGAAGAGAGAGGGTGGAGGAGGTGCTGGACTCCTTAACAATCAGCTCTCTTTGGAACTAATAGAAGGAGAACTCACTCACTTCCCCCAACTCCAGGGAGGTGATTAATCTATTCATGAGGGTTCCATCCCCATGACCTAAACTCCTCCCAGTAGGACCCACCTCCAACTTTGGGGATCAAATTTCAATGTGAGATTTGGAGGGGACAAACATCCAAATTATGGCAGGCTCTTTCCAGGCTTGTAGGTGGCTGCCTTCTTGCTATTGCTTCACATGGCCTTTCTTTGGTATGTGCATGTACAGAGAGCAAACAGAAGTCTCTTTTTATATGGACATGATATGGCAGGGATTTGTGTCCCCACCCAAATCTCATGTTCAGTTGTAATCCCCAATGTTGGAGATGGGGCCTTATGGGAGGTGATTGGATCATGAGAGTGGATCCTTCATGAATAATGTATTAGTCCATTTTTACACTGCTAATAAAGACATACCTGAGACTGGGTAATTTATACAGGAAAGAGGTTTAATGGACTCACAGTTCCACATGGTTGGGGAGGCCTCACAATCATGGCAGAAGGCAAGGAGGGCAAGTCACATCTTACACGGATGGCAGCAGGCAAAGAGCTTCTGCAGGGAAACTCCCTCTTATAAAACCATCAGATCTCATGTGACTTATTCACTGTCATGAAAACAGCACAGGAAAGACTCGCCCCCATGATTCAATTACCTTTCACAGGGTCCCTTCCACAACATGTGGGAATTGTGGGAGCTACAATTCAAGATGAGATTTGGGTGGGGACACAGCTAAACCCTATCACCAACATGAGGTAATGATAACTAGAGGCTTGGGTTATTGGCACCACGTGTGACTCTGCCCACCTCTCTACCCACCCCGTGGCGATCTCCACCAGCTTCCTTTGTATTCTGAGAATCCTGCTATGGTAGAAGATTCCCACAGCTCTGTACTGTTATCTCAGTCTCCTGTGTATACGCCAACTTCGGAATGTTTTCAACTGTTGCCTCTCTTTCCAAGTTAAGGAATTTGTGTCAGTAAGAATATATGCTTATTGGAATTAATCTGAATATATATTTTATGAAATTATTTCCTATTTACATGATTTTACACATAATGCTCACAGAATATTTCTGTAAATTCCTGAATCAGAGGTGTAAGACATTACACTTTAATAACTCATGGGTGGTAAGAAAAAAAAATCCTCTAAATCCATCTCATCCTTCTTATAATTCTTTTTTGTTTTGTTGTTGTTGTTGTTGTTGTTGTTTTCTGTTTGTTTTTTGGAGACAGAGTCTCTCTCTGTCCTCCAGGCTGGAGTGCAGTGGTGCAATCTCAGCTCACTGCAACCTCCGCCTCCCAGGTTCAAGTGATTCTCTTGACTCAGCCTCCGGAGTAGCTGGGATTACAGGCACCTGCCAAGACACCCGGCTAATTTTTGTATTTTTAGTAGAGATGGGGTTTCACCTTGTTGGCCAGGCTGGTCTCGAACACCTGACCTCAGATGATCCGCCCACCTCAGCCTCCTAAAGTGCTGGGATTATAGGCGCAAGCCAGCGCACCCGGCCCTTCTTATAATTCTTCACAAACTCCGCACTATTTTCATTTTTCCAACTGGGAAAGAATCTACACCGGCACTAATGTGAAAAGGCAAAAATGGAAATAAGAGGTAGGAAAGAGTATGTTGTGTATACAGCAGAGTGACTCCGTTACAATCCCGGTTCTACCCTTAGTCACTGTGAGCTTGGGCAAGGCAATTAACCTCTCAGTGCCTCAGTTTCCTCACCTGTAGCAGGTAAAGATAATAGTGGTATTTACCTCACAGGTTTTTTTTGTTTTGTTTTGTGTTTTGAGATTGGGTCTCACTATGTCTCCCAGGCTGGAGTACAGTGGAGCAGTCATGGCTCACTGCAGCCCCAACCTCCTAGGCTCAAGCAGTTCCCCCACTTCAGCCTCCCAAGAAGCTGGGACTACAGGCACATGCCACCATGGCCAGCTAATTTTATTTTTGTACAGATGAGGTCTCACTTTGTTGCCCCGGCTGGTCTGGAACTCTATGTCTCAAGCAATCCTCCTGCCTTGAACTCCCAAAGTTCTGGGTTTACAGGTATGAGTCACCATGCCTGGCCTCATAGATTTTTTTTAATTTAATTTTTTTCAGATAAGGGATCCTGTACCTTGTCTCATAGGGTTTTTTGTGAGGGTTAAATGGGTTAATATATATAAAGCAGTTAGACTAGTACTCAGATTATTACTGAAACAGAGGAACAAAAGTATGAATATACACTGCAGATATAGTCATACATCTAGAGTACCAATAATTCACTGAAAGACCATTAGAAGTGATACATGAGTTTAGTAAAATAACTAAATTCAGATTAATCTCAAAACAATCAAGATTTTAAAATAATTCAGCAATAACCATCCTTATGAGCTGAATTATGTCACCTCTCAATTCATATGTTGATGTCCTAACTCCCAGTATCTAAAAATATAGAAGTGGTTGGTTTTGGAATTGAGTCCTGGGTAAAGGTTGGCAGATTGTTGACATGCACATTAGAAAAAGCCTACATTACCTTGAAGAGACTGTTGCTAGCAGTATGGACATTAGGTTGGGCGCAGTGGTTCATGCCTGTAATCCCAGCACTTTGGGAGGCATGCGGATCACTTGAGCTCAGGAGTTTGAGACCAGCCTGGCTAACACGGTGAAATCCTGTCTCTACTAAAAATACAAAAATTATCCAGGTGTGGTGGCGGGCACCTGTAACCCCAGCTACTCGGGAGTCTGCGACAGGAGAATCATTTGAACCCGGGAGGTGGAAATTGCCATGAGCTGAGATCACACCACTGCACTCCAGCCTGGGCAAACAGAGCGAGACTCTGTCTCCAAAAAAAAAGAACATTAAAGGTGCTTCTGGCAAGGCCTCAAACACCGGAGGGAAGGCGAGCCTTGCTATCATGTGGCAAAAGACTTGGCTGAACTGTATTCTAGTATTTTGTGGAAGGAAGAACTTGTAAGTGACGAACCTGGATATTTAGCTGAGGAGATTTCAAACAGTGCTGAAGGGGAAAGGGGAGGCCTAGTTTCTCCTTGCTGCTTACAGTAAAATGTGAAAGGAGAGAGATAAATTGAGAAAAAGAAATGGTCAGGCAAAAAGGAACCAAAGCTTGAAAATTTAGAGTTCTCAGCCTGTGCATATTGTTTTTCATATTTAAAAATATTTATTGGCCAGGCGCAGTGGCTCAAGCCTGTGATCCCAACACTTTGGGAGGCTGAGGCGGGCGGATCACCTGAGGTCAGGAGTTCAAGACCAGCCTAGCCAACATGGCAAAACCCCGTCTCTACTATAAATACAAAAATCAGCTGGGCATGGTGGTGTTGTGCACCTGTCATCCCAGCTACTCAGGAAGCTGAGGCAGGAGAATCGCTTGAACCTGGGAGGTGGAGGGCACAGTGAGCTGAGATCACACCACTGCACTGTAGCCTGGGCAACACAGTGAGACCCTGTCTCAAAAAATAAATTATTGTATTTTTTTAAATTTTAGTTTTGGGGATACTTGTGAAGATTTGCTGCATAGGTTACATTGCAGATGCTGAGGTTTAGACTTCTCTGGGTCCTGTTACCCAAATAGTAAACATAGTACCTGATAGGTAGTTTTTCAACCTTTTTCCTCTCCTCTCCCTCCCCGATTTTGGAATCCCCAGTATCTGTTGTTTCCATGTTTGTGCCGATGTGTGCTCAGGGTTTAGCCCCCACTCGTAAGTGAGAACATATGGTATTTGATTTTTGGTTTCTGCATTAACTCACTTAGGATCATGGCCTCTTGCTGCATCCATGTTGCTGCAAAGGTCATGATTTCATTCTTTTTTATGTCAGTTTATCCATATTGAAAAAGATGAGAAAGAGTGTTCTGGAGAGAACACCGAGTGTGTGGCTGGACCACACTTTGATATAGAAATTATGAGTGTGACTCATGGATCCAGTCAGTAATCTCAGCAGAAATGCTATCAGCTTGAACTGAAGAGGACAAAGACAGAATGAAATGAAATAATTCTGTCTAACTTCTGGGATTTCTACAGGACAGGCCAATAGAGCTACTTGGCTGCAAACATGCATTATTTTTCAAGAAAGGGAAGATTAACCCTGAAGGTGGTCTAGAGATTAGTAGGACTGCCACTGCCACCATGAGCCCAGAGGGCAGAGGCTAGGGGGACAGAGTTGTCTCCTCCTTGGTTCCATAGGGCAGGTTACCTCCTCGGTTTCATTGGGTTAGGTTGCTGCCTCCAGGCTGAGAGGGTGGGGCCATCACTCCGGTGGGCCCAGAGGCTGGGGATGCCAGCCTTGTGGGTCTAGAGGATTGAGATTGGGGCCAAGGAGGATTCTCCTTGAGTTTTAACATCTGATAAAATTTGCCTTGGTTTTAGACCTGGTTGGGGCCTCTTTCTTCTTTCTGATTTTTCGCTTTTGGAATGGAAATGTTTATTCTATGCCTGTCTCACCATTGTATTTTGGAAGCAGATGACTTGTCTGGTTTTACAGGTTTACAGCTGAAGGGGAATTTTGCCGGGGGATGAATCATATCTCCAATCTCACCCATACCTAATTTAGATGATATTTAGGTGAGACTTGGGACTTAGAGTTGATGCTGGAAAGTCTTAGCTACTTTTGGTGCTGTTAAGATGAGGTGAATGAATTTTGCATACAGAAAAACATGCATTTTAGAGGCCGAGGGGTAGAATGTTATGTATTGAATTATGCCCCTTCCCAAATTTATATGTTGAAGTCCTAACCTGTACTACCTCAGAATGTGACTGTATTTGGAGATGAGGCCTTTAAAGAGAGAATTAACGTAAAATGTGTGGGTGGGCTATAATCCAATATGACTTGTGTCCTTATAAGAAAAGGAGATTGGGACACAGACAATACACAGACAAAGAGGTGCCTGTGAAGGCACAGTGAGAAGGTGGCCATCTGTAAGCCAAGGAGAGAGGCCTCAGGAGAAATCAAAACTGCCAACATCTTGATCTTAGACTTCTAGCCTCCAGAGCTGTGAGAAAATAAATTTCTGTCATTCAAGCCTTCCAGTCTGTGGTATCCTGCCCTAGCAAAGTAATACAACCAGTTAGAAAATATAATGGGAAACTATCATTTAAAACAGCTACCAGTTCTATGTTGTCAGAGCAAAGCTCTTGAGAGCAGGGAGCATTGCTTCTTTAATATGGGGCCTCACATGGTCACTTCGGCCCTGAAGCTACTGTGAATGCCCACATTATTATGAAAATCATCCTTCAGCTTTTGATTTTTGCTCCTTTCCTGAGAGAGGCTCCTCTGAGGGTCTCCCACGTTCCCGTTGTCATCCCAAAGCTGCTGTGCTTAGGGAACTGCTGTTCCACATTTACTTTCTGGAAGATAGCTTTGCCTCACATTTGCAAAGCTAAAAGGTTCATATGGGGTTTTTCTCAGTGCAAACAATAAAGCTGAGCCAAGGGAGTACTGGAATCTCAGCATTTCGAAAGATGGTGGGGATAGGAACAACAACAACAACTAAGAGTTTGCTTTAGGAATGCAAGCAATTCCTTCCATCAATCGGCATTTCATACACGCTAATATTCAGGTTTCAGATTGGCATCTGTTCGTTTTAGCAGGCCTGATGACCTGTACAATGAGCTGAATGAATCGTAGCCCCCAGACTTCAGTGTGCAAGAATACAGTACAACATGTCCTTATTTTCTATAAAGGGAAGACTAAATCCAAATATTGAAAAAGCAAGCGGGCACTGAGCTTATTTACTTGCCAGACAAGGGAACTCACATGAGTGAAGAATTTACCAAGTAGCTCCCTGGAGAGGAAAAGTCAGAAGTTTTTATTGCTAGTAAGGGGAGTTTGGTGGTAGCCCTATGAATTAACATTGACATTTTCTGACTACCTGGAGACAAATAATTACATAAGTTTGCATCTTGGTTAAAACAAGTTCTACTGTTCATTGGTCAGGAAAGAGTCTTTAATTAGGTCCAATGAGGCTCTGGCATAGCAGGTAGTTTGAAGATCTTACTTGTGTTAAAAAAAAAAATGATGGAAGGCCATTGATTTAGACTGAGCTTACGTACTAGGCTTGAACAGATTGGAGCAAACCAAAATGGAGTCACTCATGCTAAATACAACATAATCAACCTGAAGCTTTAAGCAAGCACATAGATCCCCAAACAGACTTTTTTCTTCTGGAAACAGGAGATTCCATCATAATAAGAAAGTCTTCTCTGCTCTAACCCTTACAAAAAAAGTAACCTGAAGTAGTCTGATGTTAACCAATCAGTTTTTTTCTATTGTTCTCTTTCCTTTTTAAAAATTAAATCAAATTTTTATTTTAGATCCAGAGAGTACAAGTCAGGTTTGTTACATGGTTATATTGCATAGTGCTGGAGTTCAGGCTTCTATTGAATCCATCACTCAAATAGTGAATACAGTACCTGATAGGTGGTTTTTCAGCCCTCGTCCCCTTTCCTCTCTCTCCCCTTTAGGAATCCCCAGTGTCTAGTGTTTCCACATTTATGTCAATGTGTACTCAATGCTTACCTCTCATTTATAAGTGAGAACATGCAATATTTGGTTATCTGTTCCTGCATTAATTTGCTTAGGATAATGACCTTCAGTTGTGTCCATGTTGCTACAAAGGACGTAATTTCATTCTTTTTTATGGCTGTGTAGTTTCCATGGTGTATATGTACAACATTTTCTTTATTCAGCCCAACTTCGATGGGTGCCTAGGTCGAGTCCATGACTTTGCTGTTATTAATAGTGCTGTGATGAACACACGAGTGCATGTGTCTCTTTGGGAGAATGATTTCTTTTCCTTTGAGTTGATACTTAGTAATGGGATTACTGGACCGAATGGTTCTAGTTTTAGTTATTTGAGAAATCTCCAAACTGCTGTTTAAAGGTTAATCTAATTTACATTCTCGCCTATAGTGTGTAAGCATTCTGTTTTATCTGCAGCCTCTCTAACATCTGTTATTGTTTGGCTTTCTAATAATTACCATTCAAACTGGTATGAGATGGTGTGTTAGACTGTTTTGCACTGTTATTAAAAAAAAAAAACCGGCTGGGGTGCAGTGGCTCACGCCTGTAATCCTAGCACTTTGGGAGGCTGAGGCGGGTAGATCCCAAGGTCAGGAGATCGAGACCATCCTGGCTAACATAGTGAAACCCCGTCTCTACTACAAAATACAAAATTTAGCCAAGCGTGGTGGCAGGCACCTGTAGTCCCAGCTACTCGGGAGGCTGAGGAAGGAGAATGGTGTGAACCCAGGAGACAGAGCTTGCAGTGAGCTGGGATCGCGCCACTGTACTCCAGCCTGGGCGACAGAGCAAGACTCCATCTCAAAAACAAACAAACAAACACATAAACAAACAAACAAAAACAGAAAAAACCCTGAGGCTGGTAACTTATAAAGAAAAGAGGCTTAATTGGCTCATGGTTCTGCAGGCTGGACAGGAACATGGTGCCAGCATCTGCTCAGCTTCTGGGGAGGCCTCAGGAAGCTTTTAACTAATGTTGGAAGGCAAAGTGGAAGCAAGCATGTCACTTGGCAAAAGTAGGAGGAAGGCGGGGGATGCTACACACTTTTAAACCACCAGATCTCATGAGAACTCACTATGGTAAGAAAACATGAATCTATGAAGGATCTGCCCCCGCTACCCAGACATCACCCACCAGTCCCACCTCCAACATTAAGGATTACAGTTTAACATGAGATTTGGGCAGGGAAAAATATCCAAACTATATCGGATGGTATCTGACTGGGGTTTTAATTTTCATATTTCTGGTGATTCGTGATGTTGAACATTTTTTATATGTTTATTGGCCACTTGTATGCCAACAAACATATGTATGTATTCTTTGGATAAGTGTCTATAACCCGCTTTTTAATGGGATTATTTGTTTTTTGCTTGTTGACTTAATTTCCTTGTAGAATCTGGATATTAGTTTTTGTGTCAGATGAATATTTTGCAAATATGTTCTCCCATTCTGGAGGTTGTCTGTTTACAATGTTGATCATTTCTTTTGCCATGCAGAAGCTCTTTGGTTGGATTAAGTCCCATTTGCCAATTTTTGTTTTTGTCACATTTACCTTTGAGCTCTTACTCATAAATTCTTCACCTGGCCCAATGTCCAAAAGAGTTTTTTTTTTTTTATTTTCTTCTAGGATTTTTATAGTTGGAGGTTTATATTTAAGTCTTTAAACCTTCTTGAGTTAATTTTTGCACATGGTGAAAGGCAGGGGTCTAGTTAAATTCTTTTGCATATGGCCAGCCAGTTTTCCCAGCACTACTTACTGAGTCTTTCCCCATTGCTTATTTTTGTTGAGTTTGTTGAAGATCCATTGGTTATCAGTGTGCACCTTTATTTCTGGGTCCTCTGTTCTGTTCCATTGATCTATGTGTGTGTGTGTTTGACCAGTACCAGGTTATTTGTGTTAGAATAGCCTTATATTATAGTTTGAAGTCAGGTAATGCTATGCCTCTACATTTGTTCCCTTTGCTTTGGATTGCTTTGGCTATTTGGATTCTGTTTTGATTCTACATAAATTTTAGAATAATTTCTTTTTGATTCTGTGAAAAAATGACATAGGCAAGTTAACAGGAGTTGCACTGAATCTGAGGCTTCAGTGCAACTGAATTATAGTGCATTATACTATAGTTTGAAGTCAGGTAATGCTATGCCTCTAGATTTGTTCTCTTTGCTTATGATTGCTTTGGCTATTTGGGTTCTCTTTTGGTTCCACATAAATTTTAGAATACTTTATTTTTATTCTTTGAAAAAATGATGTTGGCAATTTAATAGGAGTTGCACTGAATCTGAGGATTGCTTTAGGCAGTGCGGCCATTTTAATGATACTGATTCTTCCAATCCATGAACATGGAATATTTTGCCATTTGTTTGTGTCATCTATGATTACTTTCAGCAGGGTTTTTTAGTGCTTGTAAAGATCATTTACTTCCTTGGTTAGATGTATTCCTAGGTATTTTATTTTTGTGTGGCTATTGTAAATGAGATTGCAGTCTTGAATTGGTTTCCAGCTTGAACATTATTGGTATATTGAAATGCTACTGATTTTTGTGTATTCATTTTGTATCCTGAAACTTTCTGGGCAACATTTAGCAGGTCTGAGTCTTTTCGAGGAATCTTTAGTGTTTTCTAGGTATAGAATCATGTCAATGGTTAATAGAGATAATTTGACTTCCTATTTTCCTATTTGGACGCCTTTTATTTCTTTCGATTACCTGATTGCTTTCTGGCTAGCACTTCCAATACTATGTTGAATAGGAGTGGTGAGAGTGGACATCTTTGTCTCGTTCTAGTTTTTAGATGAAATGCTTCCAACTTTTCCCCTTTCAGTGTTATGTTAGCCATGGGTTTGTCATAGATGGCTCTTAGGATTTTTAGGTGTATTCCTTCAATGCCTAGTTTGTTGAGGCTTTTTATCATGAAGGCATGTTGGATTTTACCTAATGATTTTTCTATTCATCTATTGAGATGATCATGTTTTTTCTTTTCAATTCTGATTATGTGGTGAATCACATTTATTTATTTGTGTATGTTAAACCATCTTTGCATCCAGTAATAAGTCTCACTTGATCATGGTGATTTATATTTTTGTTATGCTGCGGGATTCAGTTTGCTAGTATTTTTTGAGGATTTTTGCATCTATATTCGTGAGGGATATGGGCCTGTAGTATTTTTGTGTCCTTGGCAGATTTTAGTACCAGATAATACAGGTTTCATAGAATGAAGGAAGGACTCCTCCTTGATTTTTTGGAATAGTTTCAGTGGAATTGCTATCAGCTCTCCTTTGTACATCTGGTGAAATTTGGCTGTGAATCCGTCTGGTACATGGCTTTTTTTGGTTGGCAGTTTTTTAATTACTGATTTGAGTTTATAACTCATTATTGGTCTGTCCAGGTTTGGAAATTCTTCCTGGTTCAATCTTAGAAGGCTGTGTATTTCCAGGAATTCTTCCATTTCCTCTAGGTTTTCTAGTTGTTTGCATACAGATGTTCATAGTAGGCTCTAAGGATCTTTTGTATTTCTGTGGTATCAATTGTAATGTCACCTTTGTAATTTCTGGTTATGCTTATTTGGATTTTCTCTCTTTTTTCCTTTGTTTATCTAGCTGTCAATTAATCTTGTTTACCCTTTCAAAGAACTAATTTTCCATTTTGTTGATCCCTTGCATAATTTTTAAAATCACAATCTCATTTAGTTCTATTCCGATTTTAGTTATTTCTTTTTCTTCTGCTAGCTTTGGGTTAAGTTGTTATTATTATTTTAGTTCCATTGGGGAAATATTAGGCTTTAATTTCAGATCATTCTGACTTTCCAATGTAGGAATGTAGCACTACAAGCTTTCCTCTTACCACTACCTTCGCTGTATCCCAGAACTTTTTGTATGCTATGTCTCTATTTTCATTTGTTTCGGATTATTTTTTGATTTCTGCTTTAATTTTGATGTTTACCCAAAACTCGTTCAGCAGCAAGTTGTTTAGTTTGTATGTATTTGTGTATTTCTAAGAGCTCCTGTTATTGATTTCTAATTTTATTCCACCATGGTCTGTGAAGATGCTTGACATAGTTTTGATTTCTTAAAAATGTATCAAGACTTGCTTTGTGTCAGAGGATGTGGTCAACCTTATAGAGTTTTTCATGCACAGATAGGAATGTGTATGATGTGGTTGTCTGGTGGAGTATTCTGTAGGTGTCTATTAGGTCCATTTAGTCAACTGTCCCATTTAAGTCCAGAATTTGTTAGCCTTGATGATCTGTCTGACAGGGCAGGAGCACCATCGTCTCGGACAAACACTGCCACTTTAAGTTCCAGCTCCCTTTCTAGCCTCATGTATTTCAAGGAAATCACTTCTCTTCTAACTATAAGCAGCCAGAAAGAGCAGACAGTAAAACGCAGATAAGACAGCTCAGGCACAGAGGGAGGTAGGGAGAAAGTCTCCCGGGTAACTGCCAAACTTCACCCTCATACAATGGCCTTAATAAGTACATTCCTTTCCCTTCAGGTGCACTAAGATAGGGAAGCTAAAAGCAGACTCAGAATTGGGGGTAGGGTGTATGCCTGCAGCTGCAGGAAGACGTGTGGGAACAGACACACAACGCTCCCTCCCAGACAAGCACAACAAAAAGACACGGAAGCAGTCAAAGCCTGTGATAAACTCTCACACCCTGAATCCTTAAAAACTCTTAGTCTTTAAGAAAGTGTGGCTCTGACCTAACTTGGCCAGAAGCACCTCTCATGTTTGTTTTCTAAAGTAAACCTGTTCTTGGCTGTAAAGCCACCTTTCATGTTTCTTTCCTCTTTAATTCTTACAGTGTCTAATGCTGAAAACCGACAAAGAAATTCTGGACTGAAGTGGTAATGCTGTCAGTGGGGTAGTAAAGTCTCCCGCTATTATGGTATGGCTGCCTATATCTTTTCTTATATCCAGTAGTAAGTTTTTGTAAACCTCTGTGCTCTGGAGTTGGGTACATACATCTTTAAGATAGATAAATCTATTGAATTGAAACTTTTATCATTATACAACATCCTTCTTTGTCCTTTTTTACTGTTGTTGGTTTAAAGTTTGATTTTACCTAACCCAAGAATAGTGATCTCTTTTTTGTTTTCATTTGCTGATCAATCTTTCTCCATCCCTTTATTTTGAGCCTATGGGTGTCATTACATGTGAGATGGATCTCTTAAAGAGAGCAGGCTTGGCCTTTTTTTTTTTAATCCAACTTGCCACTCTATGAATTTTAAGTGGAGCATTTAGGTTGTTTACATTCACAGTTAATATTGATACGAGAGGTTTTGTTCCTGTCATAGCATTGTTAGCTAGCTGCTTTACAGTCTCTATTGCATAGTTGCTCTACAGTGTCTGTGGGCTTTGTACTCACATGTGCATTTGTGTTAGCAAGTACCATTATTTTGTTTCCATGTTTAGCACTTCTCGTAGGGTCAGTCTGGTGGTAATAACTTCTCTTAGCATTTACTTCTCTGTGAAAGACTTTATTTCTCCTTTGTTTCTGAAGCTTACTTTGGTGGGATATGAATTTCTTTGCTGGCATTTTTTTTTCCTTAAGAAAGCTAAAATGCTGGGCGCGGTGGCTCATGCCTGTAATCCCAGCACTTTGGGAGGCCGAGGCGGGCAGATCACGAGGTCAGGAGATCAAGACCACAGTGAAACCCCGTCTCTACTAAAAATACAAAAAATTAGTCGGGTGCGGTGGCGGGCACCTGTAGCCCCAGCTATTTGGGAGGCTGAGGCAGGAGAATGGCGTGAACCTGGGAGGCGGAGCTTGCAGCGAACCGAGATCGCGCCACTGTACTCCAGCCTGGGTGACAGAGCGAGACTCCATCTCAAAAAAAAAAAAAAAAAAAAAAAAAGAAAGCTAAAAATTGATTTCCAATTGCTTCTGGCTTGAAAGGCTTCTGTTGCGTAGTCCACCATTATTCTGATGGGATTGCCTTTATAGGTAATTTGACCCTTTTTTCAGCTGTCTTTAAGTTTTTTTTTCTCTTTCATTTACCCTGTATAGTGGATTAGGCCATTTTTACATTGCTATAGAGAAACATCTGAGACTGAGTAATTTATAAAGAAAAGAGGTGTAATTGGCTCACAGTTCTGTAGGCTGAACGAGCATGGTGCTGGCATCTACTCTCCGTCTGGGGAGGCCTCAGGGTGCGTTTACTCATGTTGGAAATGGTAGCATGCATGTCACATAGTGAAAGTGGTGCCAAGAGAGAGTAAGGGGGAAGATACCACACGCTTTTACAAAACCAGCTCTTGTGTGAATTCACTCATTGTTATGAGGATAGCACCAAAGGGATGGTGGAAAAGCATTATGAAAAAATCTGCCCCAGTGATCCATTCACCTCCCAACAAGCCTCACATCTCCAACATTTGGGAATACATTTCAACATGAGATTTGGAGAGGACAGCCAACACTGTATCAGATACTCTAGTAACTATGTGCCTTGCGGATGGTCATCTTGTATAGTATCTCATAGGAGTTCTCTAAATTTCTTGTATCTGCATGTCTACCTCTCTAGCAAGATTGGAAAAATTTTCCTGAATTACACCCTCAAATATGTTTTCCAGGTAGCATTTTCTTAGTCTCTGCTAGAAATGCTAATAAGTCATAGGTTTAGTGTTTTTCTCCCTCTTGTCCAGTCTACTTAAAAAACCTTCGACTGTATCTTGAAATTCCTGTAGTGAATATTTCAATTCCAGCAGTTCTGTTTGGTTCTTATTTAATGTAGTTACGTTATTCTTAGCTGGCCTTTTCCCACAAGGTCTAGAATATATCATCTTACTCCTTTCTGGCCTACAAGGGTTCTGCTGAAAGATCTGTTGATAATATCATTGGGGTTCCATTGTACATTACAATTTGCATTTCTCTTGCTGCTTTCAAGACTATTTTTTTGTCTTTAACTTTTGACGGTTTTAACTTTCTTCTGGACTTAAACTATAATTGACTAAATGGAACTAATAGATATCTACAGAATACCCTGGCCAACAAACACAAAGAATATACATTCTTCTCATCTGCACATGGAACATTGTTTAAGATTGATCACATGCTCTGACATAAAGCCATGACATAAAGCATTCTATCTCTCCACATACACAAACTCTATAGTTTTACTCCTCTTCCCCCCATTTTATACTTTTGATGTCACAATTTACATCTTTTCATAATTCATGTCTCTTAAATTATTGCAGCTTTAGTCATTTTTAATAGTTTTGAGTTTTAATCTTTATACTAAGTTTAAAGTTTATACCTTTAACCTTTAACCCTAGGCAATGAGTAGGTCAATTTAGTGTATGTTAAAACAATAAAGGTTAAAGGTATAGCATATACTAAATCGTTTTAACGTATACTAAATTGACCTACCCATTGCCATTACGGTATTAGAGTGTCTTGGATTTGAAAATGTTCTTCCTTTGATCAGTAAGCTTTATACTTTCATGCTACTAATTAGCATCCCCTTCCTCCATCTTAAAGAACTCCCTTTGGAATTTTTACAATGCATGTCTAGTGGTGATAAACTAAGCCTTTGTTTGTCAGTCTTTTTCACCCTTCATTTTTGAAAGACAGGATTGTTGGGTAGAGTATTCTTAATTGGATTCCCACCCCCTACTCGCCTCCACCCCGCCCCTGCAAAGTTTTGAAAATGTCATCTTACTCCTTTTTGGCCTACAAGGTTTCTGCTGAAAAATTTGTTGATAATGTCATTGGGATTCCTTTGTACATAACAATTTGCTTTTTTCTTGCTGCTTTCAAAACTCTGTTTTTCTTTAACTTTTGACAATTTGATTATGATGTTTCTCAGTGTATTAATCTTACTTGGCATCTTTGAGCTTACTAAATCAGGATTTCTGTTTCCTTCTAAAAGCTTGAGAAGTTTCTGGCTCAATGTTACTTTCTGTATTTTTCTGGAACATCAATAATGCATATGATGGTCGGTTGATGGTATTCCATTAGTCTCTTAAAATGTCTTCACTATTTTCTATTTTTGCTCCTCAAACTGGGTGACTTTTTTTCTTTTTTTTTTTTTTACTTAAACAACAGAGACTTATTTTCTCACTGTTGTGGAGGCTAAAAAGTCCAAATCAATGTGCCAGCAGAGTCACTACCTGGCGAGGGCTGTTAAATTAAAAATTATAGGAGGCAGTTGGTTTGGACTAAGATCCTACACCAAACCCCAACAGACCAGACTAAAAATCACAATGGAGTCACTCAGGCTGAGGATCAACATCACTAAACTAAAACTAAGTTGTTACCTGACCTTCTGAGAAATCAGAAATTTTCGTCTCCACTGAGCAGTAACAAGGTACCTTGCCTTGAATGGCAAGGAGATTGAATGGGGAACTTGGATATTTATGTCCACCTGGCCGTAGAAAGGTGGCACTCCCCTTCTTCCACCAGCATGGTATCTGAGGAAGCCTCTTAAAATAAAAGATAGAAAGAGATAACAGCCAATTTCTTAAACAGGCCAGTTTGAATCTTCAATAAGCATGATGATAAAATTCCTTCTGTTTTAACCCTTAACCTGAAGTAACCTTAAGATTACTTGAATAGTTATTGTTCTATTTTTCTGCCTTAAAAGGAAAGTAAATTTGACCAATCTACTTTCCATTCGTTATTTCTGCTTTCTTCCGTCCTTCTCTGTCTATAAAACTAACAACCCCTTTTGCTCAGCTCATTGGAGCACTAGTTCTGTTTTATGAAATGGAGTATTGCCTGATTCCAGAATCGCAGATAAAGCCAATTGAGATCTTTACATTTGTTGTAGTTTTGTCCTTTGACAGATCTCTTTCCTTAGGTTACAGATGGCTGCCTTCCTGCTATGTTCTCACATGGCCTTTCCTTGGTAACTGCACTGGGGAGAGAGCAATCTCTTTTCTTTTTCTTATAAAGCCACCAATCCTATCAGATTAAGACTCCACGTTTATAACCTTATTTAACCTTAAATATCTCCTAAAAGCCCTATTTCCAAACACAATAACTTTGGGCTTTAACATATGAATGTTGGGGGAGCAGACATAATTCAATATATAACAAGCTGTAAACAAAGATTTGTATGCAGATATTAATCTTATTTTTTAAATTTAATTTTTATTTTAAGTTCAGGGGTACATGTGCAGGTTTGTTATATAGATAAACTCATGTCATGGGGGTTTGTTTTGCAGATTACTTTGTCACGCAGGTAGTAAGCCTAGTACGCGTTATTTATTTTTTCTGCTTCTCTCTCTCCTCCTACTCTTCACCTTCCAGTAGGCCCCAGTGTGAGTTGTTCCCCTCTATGTGTCCATGTGTTCTCATCATTTAGCTCCCACTTACAAGTAAGAACATGTGGTATTTGGTTTTCTGTTTCTGCATTGGTTTGCTAAGGATAATGGCCTCCAGCTTCATCCATGTTTCTGCAAAGGACATGATCTCATTCTTTCTTATAGCTGCATAGTATTCCATGGTGTATATGTACCACATTTTCTTTATCCAGTGTATCATTGATGGGCATTTAGATTGATTCCACATCTTTGCTATTGCGAATAGTGCTGCAGTGAACATACCCATGTATGTGTCTTTAGAACAGAATGATTTATATTCCTTTGTGTATATACCCAGTAATGGGATTGCTGGGTCAAATGGTATTTCTGGTTCTTGAAACAGAAACTTGATAACTTTCAATGACCTGTCTTTGAGTTCCCTGATTCTTTCTTCTGTTTGATGTAGCCTGCTGTTGAACATCTCTATTAGATTTTTTAGTCAGAGTATTTTTCAGTTCTATAATTTCTGTCTGGTGTTTTAAAAACTTTTAAAAAATCTCTTTGTTGAAATTCACAGTTTTGTTCCTACATTGGTCACCTGATCAGAGAGCATCTTTATGACCTTTATTCTAAATTCCCTGTCAGGTAAATTGCATATCTCCACATCACTTGGGTACAGTTTCGGAAATTTATTTTGTTTTTAATTGGAATATATATCTCTGTTTCATCATTTTCTTTGACTTTCTGTGTTAGTTTCTGTATGTTAGATGAGACAACTGCCTCTCCCAATCTAGTCAGCTATAATTTTGTGTCTACTGATTCCTCCTAGAGTTTGTCCACATGATGAGCATCCCACTATTACAGCTTCCACCTAAGACTACATCCTCAACCTCCTACCTCTTGAAGTAGAGGGAATTAGACATATGCAAGTCTCTCTAGACCACAGGAAAAAGGTGATTTTATACAGGTGCATAGCATTTCCAGGAGCCTTATCCCCCAGGAGCAATGTACAGAAGGGGCTTTAAAATGCAGCTGTCTGTCACTTCCTGGAATGGGTTTATGGCACACTGTTCCAGTGGCTACTTGGTGGCCTGGTTTCCAACATGCACTGGGGAGAAAGGAGACAAATATCCCACTAGCAGCCTGAGAAGGAGATTGTCTCTTCCCGTGCTTTCTCCCCTAACCCCAGTGATAATTGCAGGTCTATTAATCCGACCTGAAAAGAGTTTGTCCACTCTTTCCACTCTTAGGACTGCATCCTAAACCTCCCAACTCTGGGGTAGAGGGGACTAGGTGTATGCAAGTCTCTCTAGGCCACAGAAAAGGCAGTTTTATATGAGCCTGCATGCACTTCCACAGACTTCATACTATGGGAGGAGTGTGGAGAAGGAACTCTAAAAATGCAGCTCCGTGTTTCTTCCCAGAAAGGATTTATTTATGCCATACATTAGGTGCTGCAACTTTTATAGCAACCACGATTAACTGAATCCTAAATACCTTCTAGCTCAAAGAACGGAAGAAGGCACATGTGAGTCTCTCTAGATTATAGGACAAAGAGGTGGTTTTCAATGGGCATCTAAGTACTTCCAGGGGCTACATCCTCTGGGTGCAGTGCAGAAAAAATTCTGGAATGCACAGCTCCCATTTTTCCCTCCAGAAGGATTTTCCTGCACATTCTTTCCATGACTATTTGACAAGCTTGCTTCTAATACATTTGCATTGGTGAGCAAACAGTAGCCCTCCAGTAATCTGAGCCACAGCTTGGCACTTCCTGAGCCTTTCTTCCAGCTCACCCCAGTAATAAATCTAGGCCTATTCATTTACCTTGAAGGAGTTAGTTCACACACCAAGAGCCACAACTTATATAGCTCCCACCAAAGGCACTGTCTTCTTAATGAACTAGCTCTGGGAATCAGTGGGGCTTTCCATTCCTGAATGTCCCTAGGCCACAAAAAACAAATAGGTGGATATGACGTAGGCTTACTTCCAATAGGTATCTCCCTAGGATCAGAGGCTGCCGCCTGAACACCAGTATGGGTACTTGCCCCATATAATCTCCCTGGCTTTCAGCAGAGAGAGTGGCAGATAAACACACACACTCAGCTTCACCTTGAAAATAGAAGAACTGGAATATACATCCAACATCCTACCTTCCCAGTTACGTCTAGAAGGTTTGGTTTCTACCTTACTTATCTCAGAGTTCTACCAAGATATGCCACATCCTAGTCTCCAGGGGGCCACCAAAAACAGAGACATGGGTTTGGACAAACACAAACAATTAAGAGGCACCTTAAAATCTCTGGCCAAATCAATTGGTGAGATTCTTCTTCACTCATTTAGATTTCATTAGAGAAAAGGTAACATTGCATAATAAGGGCAGAAGGCTTCAACCTGGAAGCGAAATTGTGTATTTCTGAATCTCTCTGAACATATTTTTGCTTTTTCCATTATGTGCTATATATAATCAAGAACAAAACAACTGAATTAGGTTTCAGGATACTCGTTGTGCAATATAATTTACTTGATTCATTTGTATACAACTGTATCATCATACTTGAGCCACATTTTTATCTGGTTTTTTGTTTGATTGTTTTGTTTTCATTTTTGTTTTTTTGCCACCACATCCTCCTGTGATGTGATCTTGCTCAGAATGTGAGAAACTTGGGTCTGCCTAGGAGCACCAGTGGTGACCTGGCATTGCAACAAGATAGCAGGAGAGCTGAACAAGGCTAATAGGTAAGAAAGATGACAAGCTCTCAAATATTGCTATATGTCTTTCATTTGTCCTTCCCACTGAGGCCAGATCTCCTATCCACCTCTTCCTAGGATATCTACACTCACCAGTATCTCCCAACTATTACACTGCTGCCTAAAATACTGATGCTTCAATGTAATTTATTCTCCTAATGAATATTTATTCATTCTAATGTCTGCTTTTCTCTTAAGATTATTATAGTCATCACGAGTCGAAGAGGGAGAATAGTGTTAAGAACAAATCTGCAGTTTAAACTATAGCCCTGATACTGGAATTTACAAACAGAAAATCTGAGTTATGGATAAGTAAAGATTCAGATTTTGAATCACAAGGCACACTCTCAGATCCGAGACATCTGATATCCTATCAATATTTAATTAAGGAAGAAGCAGGCAGATGACAGTAGGACCAGAATTTCAAGTTACAGGAAAATAAAGCAAAATGGAAGGAGAACTTTTGGCAAATGCTGGCCCAGCAACCACAATATTAATGATGTTATTCATCCATATAACAAATAGTTTTGAAAATTTATATCTGGCAGTGAATTATATAAATATTATTTGCATTTTATCTTTGAGGAATCAGAGCCACAGATTTTAAAAGTAATTCACCCCGTGTCCACAGGATTTCAAATCAGATCTACACAATAAAGCTCATGTTCCTTCTCTTGTGGCAAAGTATGGATGGAAGTAAAAGAATGTAACTAGGAGACAAGAAAGAGGATGAGAGGAAGACTCTATTGAGGAAAAAATGCCTAGCCCCATAATATCCTAAGTCGTCTAAAGAAAAACTTTGATTCACAATATATTAGCCAACAATGTTTTCATAAACTTTAGAGACAGTGAGTTTTTCCACAATATTCTTTATTCATTTACCAGTAAAAATTTACTATGAATTCAACAATAAATCAATATTAAATGTTTTCTAGCATGAATCACTCTGCTTCCCAAGATAATCACAGGCCATCCTTAAAATGCCTTTATTTTTATTAATTTGAAAATGTGTCCTTATGTTTCTTTAAAAAGTTATTGTTTTTTAATAAATGCTGACATTTTTATGGATGAAAGTATTTGATGTTTAGGATTTTCTTCAAAATAACGTGAGGGTAGAGAGGATATCTGATAGCACATAAGTTGATAATTAGTGAGTTGGGTGATACATACACAAGGGTTTATTTTGTTCCTTATTCTAAATAGTAAGGGATCCATCACCAGGTTTGGGCACGAGATTTCTCCCCAAGGAAATCTTAAATATATTTCTCAGCACTTCTTCAACCTCTTCCTCAGTGAGAGTTTTAAACTCGACCAGATCTGTATTGTCTTTATAATTGAATTTTCTATAGGTGAGGATGAAGCCCACCAAACAGTAAACCCCTTCTGGGGTCTGCAAGGAACAAAATGATGTGGTTATAAATGAAGATGTTGGAGACGTCTGCAGGTATGTATTCATAGACTCAAAATCTTCAATTGTTCGAGGTTCAAGCGTAAATAAGTATATTTTTTGGTGTTTCTTCTTTGGCAGGAGATGAGAATTAAGAAATTCTTTGTTTGTAATATACTGCTCTCTCCTGATTTGGTCCAGGTACCAGATTCCTCTCTCTTCTGTCAAGCAGAAAATGCAAGGCACCTGAGGCTGATCCTTCCCAGAAATTAATTCTAGAGGCTGCCACATCTGGGAGGAGCTTCCAGACCCAGCATCGACAATGTAATTCCTGCCGTCAATGGTCACCTGCAGGAGAAGGTGAACCATGCCAGTGCTGTATTTGTTAACTGGAGGGATGTAAAAATACCCTCCTAACATTGTGGTCTGAAAACCGATTGTGGTCAGAGCCCAGTACAGAAGTTGATTGACCTGGAGACACCACCCACCCCGGTTTCTTCTTACAATGTGATCAAAAATAGCCTCTAAGCCCAACTCCATGGCTTGCCCACAATGCATGTTAAGGTTCTCAAAGGGAACAGCCCGGATCTGGTGCTCAAGAATGTCAGTTAATGTTTCCAAGTCCAATTTGTTCCTAGAGTTCTTATAGCCAATTCTTTCAAAATATGCTTCAATGTCCATGATCCCCTAAGCAAGAAAAACAAAACATAAAAACATATCATACTTTAGCATTTGATTTCCTCGTGTGACTAATTATAGGTATAACGTATTTTAAATACGTAAAAACACAATGGTTATAAGTATCTGTCATAGTAATTCTTTTGTTAGTATTTCTACTGCATGAATCCCTTTTACATGCATAAGTTCTCTTAGTAGTCTCAGAACCCTGTAAGGAAAGTATTATTGTATCTTCCGTCTTTTAAGCATGAGGAGTTGGAAATCCAGATTAAATAAGGAGCCAAATGGTAAACAACTTGTTTGTGGTGTTCTTGGTGATGAGTAAAAAAGAGATTCCAATTGGTATCAATTATAATAGGCTTATAAACAGTTTCTGATATAAGCAGGAGAATTATACAGTAGAGTATATGGTATTCATGGTACATGACCCACTTGATTTCCCATTTAGCTGTACCTAACACAAAGCTCCTCACTCAAAAAATATATTGATTAATTCATTCATTCACTGATTGATTCAAGAAATAGTTTACAGAATACTCTTGATGTGTTTCCTATTGTTCTAGTACTTGCTTGCCCTCAAAAATATTATATTTTAATGGGAGTTGAAGGGACACAAATAGGAAACTGAATAAATGGATAAAACATGCAGTCTGTTAGATTGTGGTAAGTGCCTGGTGAAAACAAAAAGAGGGGTTAGTGGGTGCACAGGGAGAGCACTGAATTCAAACAAGGTGGTTAAAGAAAGGCTCACTAAGACTTTAAGGATGCTAGAGAATAAGTTCTGTGGATATGTGTGAGGAGGATTGTTCCATGCAGTGGAACAGAAAGTACCAGGATCCTTAGCTGGAACCTGTCCCAAGTGTTGAGGAAACATCCAGGAAGCCAGGGTGACTGGAGCACAGTCAGTGAGAAGGGGAATGGATTGAGATGATATCTGACAACTAACAGTGGCCTTGGAGCCAATGCTTATATTTTGGCTTCTATTCTAAACGAGATGAGAAATCAAAGTGAGACAGGATGAGAGAAGGGTTATAAGCGGAACAGTGTTCGCCTAATCAAAGTGATCTGTCTAGCTACTGTGTGGACAATAGGCTGCCCATATTGAGCTCTATGGGCTGTCACATAAACTATGTAGGACCACTTCAAACACAACAGCTCTAGGACCAAAGCTTGGCTGATGGGTGGCATGTGACCTAAGTAGATCATTGAAACTCTATTGAGGCATTTTTGCTGAAATCTAAGCACATGTATTATGCTGCAAGGCTAGAAGCTGGGAGGATATCAACCCAAAGCTACTGGGGAGAACCCACTGAAGAACAATACTAACAAAGAATTTACTAGTAACTTGAGCAGGGGAATACGTGACTCTTAGTACCAGCATAGGAAGTTTCATGGTTTCGTCGAAGACTTTAAATACACGTTGTAGCTCAGAAGACAGTGCCCCAAGGTAAAAGCTTCAGAAGTCAGTTTTTCTTTGGCCTTCTCCTGGCCTCCTATCTCTCAGTCCCAATATCCCTCAAAGCTGGCCAAACAAACTAGAATCTCTTTCCCCAAGGCAGAACCTAGAAATCAGAACTCCTTTTTCTCAAAACCAGCCACAAAGTCTAAAAATATTACTCTAATTTGCCCTCTCCCTTTCTGTGTATGAATTAGCCATAAAGAAATTATCCAACTTACCTTGTTGGATTGTAGGTCATAAGATCCCTATACCCAGAAGGAAGGAGTACATGCTCAGAGAGGTCAAGAGGAATCTAGACAGACAGGTCTTGCTGGGTTTCCCCAGTCCATTGGCATTAGGTTATGCCTTTTGCCTCAATCATATTTTTATATGTGCCCATACCTTGTCGCACCTAAGCATAAAAAGGACAATTTCCCCTGTGTGTTGGGGTCTTTATTCTGAAGACTCCAGCATACACACTCCAAACAAATCTGCATGCCTTCTCTTCAACTGATCTATCTTTTGTGAGTTGATTTTTCAGTAATCCTTCAGAGGGTTTCTGGCCCTTACTCATAGGAGGAAAAGCCAACAGCACAGAATTAAGTGATAATGGAAGAAAACATTGCTTTTTTTGAAGCTTTAAGACGAAACACTTCAGCATCAGGCTATAGCAACAGATTTAGACCTGAAGAAAAAAAAAATTTGCCAGAGCCAACAAAAAGTTGAAAGAGAGAGTTAAGATCTCAGCTATTCTCAAATGAAGAAAAGGCTAAAAGCAGCAGGATACACCAGAAGTTGAACTTCTGAGATATCTGAGAAGTTTCAAAAAGAAAAAAATAGCATTAAACATTAAAACTTCTTGGAATTTAATGAAGAGCAAATCAATACTTTAAGAAACCCTTATTGCTCTAACCAATGTTTTGGTTTTGTATTGTGGTTTTTTTGGTCAAAGCTCAGTTTCCAGAAAGACGACTATAAATAATTCAATTTTAATTAAAGCCAACATAACCACAAACAAAATTTCTTTTATGAATTTGATTATACACATGCCACTTCCAACATGATTGGACTTTCCATTGTATCCTAAATTTCCCTCTTTCTTAGATTACCAGTCATCTTACTTCAGAAAAAAATATAAAATTATTTATCATACAAAATAATTCTCTTTTCTTTTTAATCTCTCTTATCACAAATACATCTTTATATCTATAACTTTCTTTACATCTCTTTCCCCTATTTACTGGTTCCTTTTTACTTTGTTTCATAAATAACCTTTGAATTAGACAAAAGTGATTTTCTTTTTAATGAGAATACATTTTTCTATTTGTCTTATATTATTTTCTTTTTTCATCAAAAACATGTCTTTGACAGACTTTATAAACAGAATTATATATTAAGTGGAATTTTTATTTTTAGTGACCTTAAACCTAGGAAACATGAAATCCTAAACTGCATATCAGGTATCAGTACTTTATAGATGAAATCACTCTATAATTTTTAGGCATGTTTCTCCATATCTCTACTTAATTGGAAATGAGCCAAACTATTAATGAGTAGCTGTTCTTTAATCCAAAATAAGTTTAAGATTTTAAATTACATAAAAGTTAACCAACAAGCATTTATCCATCCCACTTATATTTGTTCAATTTATTCATTGTTAGCAGTTTACCTAGATTGCTTTGAGAACTGAGACATTAGACAAAACTAGTCACATTTAAAGTTATTTCCTTGCTAACTATTTTATAGCCTGTGAATATCAGGTGTTCACCCAAGTATAAACCTTAATGTTAAACGTATTTTTTTACAGATAGCTCAGGATTTAGCTGTTTTTATGAAACGAATATTAAGCTAGTCTTATTTATTTAAAAAATTACAGGCTGGGTGCATTGGTTCATGCCTGTCATCCCAGCACTTTGGGAAGCCAAGGTGGGCAGATCACGAGGTCAGGGGTTCGAGACCATCCTGACCAACGTGGTGAAACCCCGTCTCTACTAAAAATACAAAAATTAGGCGGGTGTGGTCATGCACAGCTGTAATCCCAGCTACTCAGGAGGCTGAGGCAGGAGAATCACTTGAACCCTGGAGGCAGGCACTCCAGCCTGGCTGACAGAGTGAGATTCGGTCTCAAAAGAACAAAAAAAAATTTTTTAGATTTTAAAGATTGTTTTAAGTTAAAAATGTGGACAAAACTAAAGGTTTATGAAAGATTGATCATTGATCTTGTAAAAGGAATTCTATATATAAGCCAGCTGGCTAAAATTTGAAAGGGATTATTTAGTTTTTGCATAAATTAAACCTTAAAATAAAAAGCATACTAATTCAGGGCCAGAATCTAGGCCCTTATGTCAAAATATCAGGGTTTTATTAGAATACTAATCTGCTCTTTTATGGAAAATTATAAAATGTTGTAAAAGATTTATAAAAATCTCTACCTTGTGTTACAACTAATTAAATAGATTTGTTTGTAAGATTTTATTAATGCTAACTTTAGCATTAATAATAAGCTATGCAATGGTAAAATTTAGATTTCCTTTGAATAAGATTTTCTTTTAATATTAAGAGATAGTGAAAGATTTTTGCTTACCTTTTGAGAAAACTGCAAAAAAAAAAAAAAAAAGATGGGTTGGGGAAGAGAGACAAATTTAGTTGGCCTCATGCTGTCTTTATTAGGTCTTATTGTTTGTGAAAGTGAGTCCTCTCTCTCAAAGAGTGAAGGTTTTTACTTTTTGAAATCTTTGAGTTATCACTTTGCCTAAATGAATGACTTATTTACAATGACCTGTTTGGTGATTGTAATTTGTTTTTCCACCACAATATCTGTCTCTATCTAAATACCCGTAACCCAAATCTCTCCAAAGCTATTACCTTGGCTTTTAATATATGAAACTTGTTTTAAGTTTCAAAGTGGGGACTGAAGAAAATCAAACTTTCCAAAATCAAATTCTAAATTCAGTCTTGTTGACCTCATTATCTTTTTTGATATTAAGTCCCCTGAAGCCAAAAACAGACATATTCGGTGTATTTGGCATGTTAAAATCATATAGGAAACATTGTCAAATATGAAATGGTGTTCAACTTTATTTGTTCTACATTTATATTAAACCTGTTACTAGTATGTTTTTCAACATTGCGTGATATTCCTATCATTCTGATGTCTTTATATATGTTATTAGTATTTATAATTATTATGTTAAATTGTTATATGCCACAGAAATAACCAAATTTCCTTGTTAAGTGTGTCCTTGACCATGGCTGTCCTAAGACTTCTGTCATTGACAGTTGTTCTACTTTGGTGCTTTTAAAAAGGTGGTTTGCAATTAGCTATAGGACTCTAAGGGGTGCTTTTGAATGAAGCTTTATGATAACTTTGGAGATTGTGCCACTGGTATAGAGAAAAAAAACTCCCAGGACTCTCATGGAGAACTAATATGTTCATGAAGATTGCTCACCCAATATCTAACAGAATAGGAGTTAATTGCATGGACTGAAATAATAGAAGACTGAAATAATCTTTTTATGGGTTTTGTTGAAACATTGCCACTTTTGTTTTTCAGAGTCAAAATTTTTTTCTTTTTAGACATTTACAGCTTTTAATATTTGTGTAAAGTATACTCTTGTGAGCAAAATTTGAAGCATATTTCCCTCTATCTGCCTGATTTCTCTGAAATTTGGAAACTCTTAGTGATTATTGCTAATTTATGGGAATATAATTATTTGCATAAATTCAGTTAGAATCTGTTTTGTTTTGTAACAGGCCACAAGTGGAGACAAAAATCAAGGATTTGACTGGAATGCCCTATTTTTAAGAAATTGATATTGGGACTTTATAAAGCTGATAATAGCCCTGTGGATAAAACTGGCCTCACAGCTTGTCTATGCAGTTCCTTTACAGGTTCCTTTACAGGTTTCTGGCCTGTAATGGGTAAAAGAAGGTCACATTCTGACAGGCCCAGGAACCCCAACTTATTTTGGGACCTTGAGAGAGAATTCACTTAATTCATACAGGTATCTCGTAGAAACAGATAAATCCTTGGTTGGGCTCAGGATGCTTTTAAGAGGTCTAATATGAGATTCTTTACAAAAAAGAATGTTCCAGCAAAGCCATTTTTTAAAAAGGAGCCTATATAGTAAATAATTATTCTTGCTGCCCTTTATGCAAAAAATCAGACCAAGTATAGTAACAAAACTTATTTTGCAAATAAATCAGTTCTACTGTGTGTCAGGCCTCTGAGCCTAAGCTAAGCCATCATATCCCGTGACCTGCATGTACACATCCAGATGGCCGGTTCCTGCCTTACTGATGACATTCCACCACAAAAGATGGGAAAATGGCCTGTTCCTGCCTTAACTGATGACACTGTCTTGTGAAATTCCTTCTCCTGGCTCATCCTGGCTCAATAGCTCCCCTACTGAGCACCTTGTGACCCCCACTCTGCCTGCCAGAGAACAACCCCCCTTTGACTGTACTTTTCTTTTATCTATCCAAATCCTATAAAATGGCCCCACCCTTATCTCCCTTCACTGACTCTCTTTTAGGACTCAGCCCGCCTGCACCCAGGTGAAATAAACAGCCATGTTGCTCACACAGAGTCTGTTTGGTGGTCTCTTCACACGGATGTGCATGAAACTATGTCTTTCATAAAATTGAAGAACTGGAAGCAGAAATACTATGTTTCAAAAACTATAGTGTATCTGTTAGTATCTTCTAGCCTTGCCCATTGTTTTTTCAGTTTTTATTATTTTTTACAAGTTAGACCAAATCCTGAATTTTTTTCTGGCTACAAGTCTGCAAAGTAACATTTTCAACGTTTTCTCCCATTTTTCTTACTTGAATTCACTAGAAATTAAAACTGGGGTTTTCTTAAAGTCTTGCAAACTGAAGGTATCAGGAGAAAATAACAGTAACTTATAAACAACCTTCATGCATATCTGCTGATGTGAGGCCTTCTCAGAAAGTTCAGTGGAACACCTGGTTTGAACTTCCAGGGAAATCTGGGACATTGCCACTGCAATATGAAGACGCCTCAGAGAAAAAGCTATAGACTAGCTTTTCTAGATATATAGACTACTCCAGATAGTAACATTTATTTATTTATTTTTTTCTGTTTCTACAGAAATGCCTCCTACTAGAAATCTGATTGCCTACATTACGTCTAAAGGCCTAAACCATTTGCAGTCCCACCTCCTGGAATGGGACGTAGATATTTAACTGAACTGATCTCACCTCAAAACCAAGGGACTGCCTAAAGAAAATATGGAATGATATATTTAAATTTGCTCATTTATATTTATCCCAAATGTGTTTTTCCACTGCTATGACTGTCTCTATCTAAACACCTCTAACTTAAATCTCCCCAAAGCTATTACCTTGGCTTTTAGTATGTGAAACTTGTTTTAAATTTCAAAGTGGGGACTGAAGAAAATCAAAATATTTTACCCTCAAATATATTTCTTTGACATATTTAAAAATGGTTTCCACTGGCCAACAAGCAGAAGTGGCATTGCAAAACTGTCTTAACTGAGGAAAATTTGCGTCTGTGGACAATGTCCATTAATGCAGCCATACCCTCTCCTGTTTCTAAGCCTTTCCCAGGATCCAGAGCGATTGAGAGTCTGACACCTTTAAAGATCTGGATAGAAACATTTACCATCTTTTGCTTCTGAGAAAAGGTTCGTCTACATAACAAGGCCACCTTTGCTAGCCGAGCTTCTTCCTTCCTCTCTCTCTTAACCTGTGTTGCCACTAAAACTAATTTACCTGTTTCTGGCCATGCTTTGAGTCTCCACTCTTTACTGTGGCCTCGGAATAATACATGAGTTTCTGTAACTTACTGGGAAGTTGGGTCTTCATTCTCAAGTTTCCCAAGTGTGGTGGTTAATATTGAGTGTCAACTTGATTGGATTGAAGGATTCAAAGTATTGTTCCTGGGTGTGTCTGTGAGGGTGTTGCCAAAGGAAATTAACATTTGAATCAGTGGACTGAGAAAGGGAGGCCCACCCTCAATCCGGGTGGGCACCATCTAATCAGCTGCCAGCACAGCCAGAATGAAAGTAGGCAGAAGAATGTGGAAAGACTAGACTGGCTTAGTCTCCCAGCCTACATCTTTCTCCTGTGCTGGATGCTTCCTGCCCTCAAACATCAAACTCCAAGTTCTTCAGCCTTTGGACTCCTGGACCTTTGACCACAGACTGAAGGCTGCACTGTCGGCTTCCCTACTTTTGAGGTTTTGGGACTCGGACTGGCTTCCTTGCTCCTCAGCTTGCAGACGGCCTACTGTGGGACGTCACCTTGTGATCATGTGACTCACTACTCCTTAATAAACTCCCCTTTATGTATACATCTATCCTATTAGTTCTGGCCCTCTAAAGGGTCCTGGCTAATAGACCATGTATATACATTAAATAAATTTGTACTCCCTTTCCCCTATTAATCAACCTGTCACATGACAGTGACTTTTAGTGAAGCTTTAGGGGGCCAACAGCCTATGGCCCCCACATAAGGTATACATTGGCTCTGCCTGAAAATCAGACATATTGAAGTAGGAGAGCTTACAGGACAAAGGTGGATTCAAAGATTTTGTGATTGGCAATTTGTTGAAGAGTTAAGTTTTGTCTAAAGACTTGCGGTCAGTACAATTAAATGCTTGAGTTAAAAGGGCTTATGGGAACCATGGTTTATGTCATGTAGATGAAACCTCCAGCTAGCAGCCTTAGAGAAAACAGATGGTAAATATCTCTTTTCAGATTTTTAAGGTGTCAGACTCTCATTTATTCTCTCCTCAATCAGAGCAGAGCCAGAAACCAGCAAATTTCCCCATAAAAGATGGTTTTGCAAGACCATTTCAATATGTGTCAAAGAAATATATTTTGGGGATTAAATATATTGATTTCCTTCAGGGTCTGCTATTGTCATGTGATGCTAAACCAGAGTCAGATTGGAATTTGGTATCTTATTCCCACAAACAGTCCATTTTGACAGTCTTATGATCACTGTTTCAATGTTAATGCTGGTCAGTTGTGCCTGAACTCCAAAAGGGAGTGTGTATAATGAGGCGTGTCTGACCTCCCTTTCCATTATGGCCTGGAATTTAGTTTTCCAGGTTTCTCTGGGGTCGCCTAGGACAAGAGGGGATCCATTCAGTCAGTAGGGGGACTTGATTTTATTTTTAATTTATACCCCACTTTCAAAGTACACTGCAAATTACTTACAAAGTTCTACTTACTTTGGCCAGCAACCAGGAACTAGGCTGAATGCAATCCTCTTGCTTCCAAGGTCTGTAATAAAGTGCTCTCCCTTCCAAAGTCTGCAAGGGAAGTGATCTCACTGGAATTCCGTATCACCCTGACACCAGAGTCTAGTTAGGATCACCTCAGGGATCTCTGGGAAATGTAGTTGCAGGGCCTCAGGTTGCCTCTGTGAATCTCTTACGCAAATCTTTTTGTTAAAAATGGTGTGGATAATTATATTATCTGATGATACCCATGCCACAGGCTAGGAGAGCTGTGCCCTTGTATTTCACCTAGTTCTTGCTCTCTGGAAGTCTGATGCCAGACTTCCCATGTGTGATATAGAAGGTGAGAGCTTGAAACAGGTCAAGGAACAGCAGAACCAATAACTTAGAAGCGGCAGAAGAGGAAGATGAAAGGTTTTAGTCATACTCTCAGTTTATGGCACACTTTCATCACTTCCTATAAGGCCTCTCTTTTTCTTCTGCCTCTTTTCATCTCTCATCCTCACTCTCATTCACTTCTCTACCCAAAGGTAACACACAATGTGTCTGAAATAACTCTATGCATGTGGTATAAGTGTCACATGTATCATATGGCTTTGTTTCTGCTTTTTTGACATTAACATTAATGTAAATTTTTATTTCTCCTAGCCTGTGGCATGGGTATCATCAGATAATATAATTATCCACACCATATTTAATGAAAAGATTTGTGTAAATTTTTATTTACATTAATATTAATATAAAATATAAACATTGTATATAATGTTTTTTGACACATAACAATTGTATATATTTATTTGGTAGTGTGTGATGTTCTGATACATGCAGACATTGTGTAAAGATCAAATCATGGTAATTAGCATGTCTGTCACCTCAAACATTTATCATCTCTTTGTCATGAGAACATTCAAAATCCTTCCTTCTAGCTTTTTTTCTAGCTTCCATACCCTCTTTTCTCTCCAGTAACAACTCTTAACTTTCTACTACTCTAACTATTCTACTCTTAACTTCTATGAGCTAAATTACTTTTAGATTCCACATATGAGTGAGATGTGCAGTTTTCATGATGTAATTGTTGCCTTTAGCACCTACTGTTCCAGTACATACCTCTGGCATGCTGCCACATGAACTCGGGACTCTGTGGGAAGGCTTTCTTTTGGCCTGTGCTTGGGCAGATGGACTACAAATTAAAGCACCTGGGACCACCACTCAGCCCACATGATGGGAACTGGAGACTAAATATCCTTGTGTTCTACATGCTAAGGTGGGATTACTCTTAGGCATGTACAAAACTGCCTCCTGGTGTTGTCTACTGGGATTATGCTCCCTTTCTTTGCAGGCAGCCTGCCAACAATGCACCTTTTTATTGATCTCAAGGTGTCTTGGGTTCACTGTTATACTCCCGCACTGGTGATTCCTTAAATCATCTCCTAAATCAAAATAAGCCACTGGAATACAAATCTTTGTCTTGTGGCCTGGTTTTAGAGAAACCCAACCTAAGTCTCTTTAACTTACCAGTTCCACTTGTGAAGGACATTTGATTGCCTCCTACTCCTGGTTATTATAAACACTGATGTGATGAATGCGTTTCTAGACATCCTCTGCAGATTAGCAGAACTCGCTGGGATATATGTATTAGGAATGGGATCTGCGGAGGGGCAGATCATAGATGTACTTTTTCTTTTGGCACTGCCAGATTTCTGTCCTCTTGTATAGAAGAATTCCTACTTTCCTCATATCCTGATTGACATTTGGTGTTAGCCACCTTCAAATGTTTGACAGTTTTGTGTATCTAAGATGATAGCTCAGTGTTCTTTTCATTTTCACTTCTCTGATTCCCAGTGAATACGGGTGAATAGGTTCTTCACATACCTATTGACCCTTCACATTTCCATTTGTGAATTAAATGGCAAGGTTTTAAGAAAGAATTCCTTCTGCCAAATTAGTCGGGACACACAGGCGAAGAGAGATGGATTAAAATTCAGATCTTGCTAGAAAATCTTTGGCCAAGGTGGGGTGAGAGAGAAGCAGAGGAAATAATTCCAGCATGTAGGACTGTGATCTGGACCATTTTTGACTGAGTGTGGGAGAGGAATTGTCAATGGATTATGGTCATTTTTCTCCTTGATTGTTGGAAACCTGACACCTGGAATTAAAATGTTGCAATCCAGATTGGCACATGTGTAATTCTGAGATTGCCTCTAATTATTGTCAGTTTGACAGAGATCCTTGAGGATGTCCAGCAAGAACCGTCATGGGAAACTATGAGATGAGGAGACTTGTGACTAAGGGAGAGTAAGACCAGAGTCAAGGATCCTGGTGTCCAAGGGAAGAAACACCTGAGGCTGGGAGTGTGAGATGTCAGAGAGCTTGAGAATACCCTACAGCCTCCCACAGGGTGGTCATCAAGACCTTCAAACCAAAATTTGACTTCATCAAAGTTTTTTATGTGGAAGAAGAGCAGAATTGGGGAATACCTGAGCTGTCACTGAGTACTTCCTCACCATACAAGTAAGAGATACAGAGATGGGCTGGGCAACAACAGTGATACCATAAAGAAAAGCTCCTTCTTCACTGTGACTTATACACGTAGAAAGCATGTTGTTTGTGTCTTTAAAGAAAAGCATTAGAGTTAGTTATGTCTAGTTTACAGATTCTCACATGTGCTAACTCACTTTTATGTCAAGATTCTAAAGTTTGATAATTGACTGTTTCCTTGCTAACAACAAAACTTATATTTTTGCAGAGAAAGAAATAAATGTTCTTCCTTTCCTGATCTTCTCTGAAGAAGGGTTCTATATCCAAGCTAATTTTTTTTTTTTTTTTTTTTTTGCTTATTATCTACTTTAACATTTAGCATAACTTCTGGTTTTCACTTCAACAAGTAAAGTTTGGGATAATCCCTCCCATCTTCTCATCAATGAGAAAACTAAACAAACTGAAAATAAATCTTCTCAGATCCATGACAGAATTGAAGTCACAGCAAAGTGCTGTCCTGAAAAGAGACAGACAGTTAAAGACAGATAATCACAATTTATTCTCAATTCTAGAAACTAAAGCCCAGGTTCAGAGGACCACAGATGAAGCCAGTATTTTTAGCAACATACAAACATGTAATAATTCATGAATTGTTGAGACTCAGTGTAGACAAACTTGACAGTTTAAAACTCTTGGGTGCTCAGTCTCAGAAGGTCTTCACACTTTTGTGTTTTACCTCCAGGATGCCCACCAAGTTCTCACTGTGAATACTGGAGAATAGTCTCTTCATGCTCCTGGCAGAAGGTGGAGAAAAATAACCATTGTGATATAAGTCCAGAGCATTCTGGTCCTCCTTCCCTTAAGGGAAATTACAAGGGCCTAACTGAAGTGAGGTAAGAGAAACATTCAACTCCAACCCTTCTAGCATTCCTGTCTCAGACCTAAGTGGAGGGGAGGGGGGAATGGATGCTGAGAAGCACTTTCGAAAGTCACGTCCCAGGGCAAACGCTCACTAGAAGATAGCGACCTCATCAAAGGCCTGTACAATGGTTCTCTTTCCCCCATACATTAAAACCACTGCGACTGCAGGAGGAAATACAGGAGGCCCGGGGCCAGGACAATGCTAAGGAGCTGAGGCCAAGCGCTTTGGAGAAAAGGCGACGAGAGAAGGAGCGGGACCGGAAGAGGAAGCGAAAGAGCTGCGGCAAAAAGGGAAGGGAGCAAAGGCCAAGGCCGAGAGGGCCGAGGGCCGGGGCGGCGATCAAGCCCACCCAGAGGTGGCCTGCAAGGAGCCGCAGGAGCCGTCGGGGCTGGTCGTCCACAAGGTGGAGGTGAATGAGCACGAGCCGGCCAGCAAGGCGCAAAGAGGAGGAACAGGCAGGAGCTGAAGGGGAGCCTCGCGCAGCGGAAAGGGAGGAAGTCCGGGCGCTGCTGAACTCCGGGGCCGGGACCAGCGGAAGGCACGAGAGCTGGAGGCCAACGTGAAGGGGCCGCGGACAGACCTGCCGAACCAGGCGGAGGGCGCGACAATCCGGAACGCCTAGCGCCTGCCCTAGGGGCTTGAGGCGCAGGGAGAAGCGCGGGAGCGGCGGCGGCGGCGCCGCCAGCGGGAGGAGCGCGGGGCGGACGAGGTGGAGAAGAAGCGGCGGCGCCAAAACCTAAGCAGGAAGAAGGCGGCCAGCTCCCCGCGCTCCCTGCACTGGGCCCGCAAGGGGACGATCCCGTCCAGGACCTGGAGCGCGCCGGCCTCGTGGGGGCGCCCGAGGGCTCCCCCCTTCCCCCACCCCAGGCCCAGCGTGTCCCTGGCCTGGGCCTTTCCCACCTGGGGCTGCCGTCTCTGTCCCGCGAGTCTCGAGGAGCCCCTCCGAGTCCTTGTGTGATGCCGGCTCCTCACTCAACCTCCGTGGAACTCGGCTTCTCCATGTGAAAGGGACACAGTCTTGCTCACCTGAGTTGTGAGGCCTCAGATCAGGCACGCAGAAAAGAATGTTTCAGCGTCGTCCTTGAACACAGGGCGCAGATCCTTCAGACCCTAGGGAAAGAGTGAACCAGATCCGGCCCTCCAGTCTTCTCTGTGAGGCCTGAGAGCTTCCCAGAGGTTTGCAGAGTCAGAGAAGAGGAACCTTGGTACGGGTGGGTGGGAGGAGTTTGGGGTGAGACAATCACTGGCCCTTCTTCCCCTGCCCGTGTTCACAGGGGCCATAGGACAGGAAGAGAATGTCCTTTGCCAATTATCCGCCTTAGTCCAAAACTCACTGGAAGGGAGGACAACCCCGGGGTGGGGTGTATGGGCACCTGGCACTCGGGAGAAGCTGGAGCCCATCCAGGCACCGTGTGTCCGGGACAGAACACCATGGTCTTCTCTGCTCTCTTGGCTTCTGCCTGTTTGAGTCTCATTCTTTTATCTGCCTTAGTAGCCCGGGCCGCATTCCGCAGCTCAAAATTCAAAGGGTGGAAGGGAGCTGTACCTTTCCAGATCATGGATGTAAGTTGGGCCACATGGCCACCTCTGAACCAGTTGCTGGCTCCAGTTGTGGGGCAGTGACTGACATGCCTCACTACCCTCCTGGAGTCAGAAAGTAAAAGTTTCCTGGCAGAGGGTGGAGCTGAGTGGGGGTAGAGGGAAGTTTGCTGTTACCTAATGAGAGGGATAGGGGTGAGGACAGACAGCAGATGTCAGATGGCTTCTGTCCCAGGTGAGTGCTTTGTTGCAGAAGTGGTCCAGTGTGGCTGGTGTTTTCTAAGTGTCTTGGAGTGAGGAAATCACACTTACTGAGCAGCTATTCAGACAAGAGGCCCCTCACTCCTTAAAAATTTGATAAAATGGGAAATTTTCCCAGGGTACACAATTTAAAACAGGTTTCTAATTGGCATTGTAGCATGCTAGATGTTCTCAAAAGTCTCTCTGGTGTGGCTGAACTGAAAATGCTTGATAGAATTTATTTTTTTAACGAATGACTGGGTTGGTGGGAAATGAAGAGATGTCTGGGCTGAGATTTTCCCCGCTTGATGAAAGAGAACAACAGTCTTGAGATTTGGGAAACCTGTGGCAGCCATGGAGGTGCACCTCTTGATCTTTTTTGAGAAATAACTGGCCATTCAGCTGCAAGGAGTGTAGATTGTTGACAGTCCAGACCATTGCCTTCTGCATCTGCTTCAGCCATTGAGCTAAGGACATGCACTGTGTGGGTGGCCTCCACCCAGTGACTAAGCACTCCTTTAATAGGCAGACTGCTCCACGGTTCCCCGTGAGTTATTTGAGACTGTTCACTCTGCATCGTGGTGTGAGGCTCTCCCGGTACCATTCTGCTTTCGGCCCTTGTCTTTCACAGGTGTTAGCCCTTGATAGCCCTTTTACACTCATCACTTAGTCTCTGAATCTGTTTGCTGGAGGAATGAAAGTGACACGGCTTCCAACAACTTCCAAGTAAATTTTAAACACACACCCTGGGGTATCTGCACATCACTGTAGAACATAAAAACCGGATCCAATAATCTTACAATCCTTAGCCAGAGAAGAAAAACAGGTGCCCTGAGAAGGAAGACAGATTGACAGCTGATTTCTCAACAGCAACAATGAAAGCTGGAAATATGAAAATTGCTGAGGAAACAAGAAGTCTAGAATTCAACACCCCTGTAAATATTTTTCACTTTGAGTGTCAGTTGTTCATTATTTTTGCTTGCTGAAAAATCCCTTCATGTCATCCTATCTCTTAAGAAAATGAAACTTAAGAAGGAAGATGATCTTACAAAGAAATGAGGAGCACAGATAAGGGGGATGTTTTGAATCTAAGCATGCCCATTGCATGAAACTGGTCTTCATTTTGGTAGCCAGCAGCCATCAGTGGCTATTTAAATTAAATAAAATTGGCTGGGCACGGTGGCTCATGCCTGTAATCCCAACACTTTGGGAGGCCAAGGCAGGCAGATCAACTTGAAGTCGGGAGTTTGAGACCAGCCTGGCCAACATGGTGAAACCCTTCTCCACTAAAAATACAAAAATCAGCTGGGTGTGGTGGCAGCCGCCTGTAATCCCAGCTAATTGGGGGGCTGAGGCAGGAGAATCACAAACCTGAGAGGCAGAGGCTGCAGTGAGCCAAGATCACACCACTGCACTCCAGCCACGGCAAGAGAGCAAAACTCCATCTCAAAATAAATAAATAATGTATCACTTAATAAATTGAATTAATTAAGTACTCAGTTCTTGGGTTGTATTAGCCACATTTTAAGTGCTCAGTAGCCCTAGTGATTAACATATTGGATAGCACAGATACAGAACATTTATATATCAAAGAAGGTTATTGGTCAATGCAGGTATAAAACAATGTTTTGTAATTTGTAGGCTTAAAAATCAAGGTATATCTAGAATATTGGACAATATGATATGTAAGTTATAGAAGTGGCTGGAATTGAATTATTCTCAGGTTTTTTATTTGTAAGGAGTAAAAGTTAGAATTTAAATATGCATATTCTAAGATAACCACCAAAAGATAGAAACGGTATAAACTAAAAGGGAAAAACATGGAATGAGGTGGAAAGATCTCAATCCAGCAGGAGGGCAGAGAGAGGGAAAGAATAAAACCTAGGAACTAAGTGAGGTGAATGGAAGATACAAACTATGATGGAAGAATTAAATCCAAATCTATAGGCAATCAACATGAATGCAAATTGATTAAACTCAGATGAATTTTGGTGGCATGTAAATAATAATAAAGCTGTAAATAAAAGTCTTTTGACTCTCCAAAGAGACAAAGATTGTAATGCCCTCCGAAAAATTATAAAAATGAATCACCCTGAGGTTATAACATCTTTCTACAGCTTCCAAATGAGTCATAAACTCCAATATCTCCATCTTCAGCTGGATGATTAGATATCATTTGGGGGATTCCCTCCATTAAAAAGAGGTCTTGCTCTTTTATGGTTAGTGCTGTGTGAGAAGCCATGAGCAGCAGGGTCTCTGGCGACACTTGGTACCAGGCAGTGCAAAGAGTCCTGGGAGGGAACCAGCACAAGCGCCAGAAGTTTTTGGAGACCGTGGAGTTGCAGATCAGCTTGAAGAACTATGATCCCCAGAAGGACAAATGCTTCTCAGTCTTAAGTCCACTCCCCACTCCAAGTTCTCCCTCTGTTCTTTGGGGGACCAGCAGCACCGTGAAGAGGCAAGGGCCGTGGGTATCCCCGACGTGAACATCGAGATGATGAAAGAACTCAACGAGAGTAAGAAACTGGTCAATACGCTGGACAAGAAGAATGACGCATTTGTGGCTTCAGAGTCTCTGATCAAGCAGATCCCACGAATCCTCGGCCCAGGCCTAAATAAGGCAGGAAAGTTCCCTTCTCTGCTCACACACAACGAAAACATGGTGGCCAAAGGGGACGAGGTGAAGTCCACAATCAAGTTCCAAATGAAGAAGGTGTTATGTCTGGCTGTGACTGTTGGCCATGTGAAGATGACAGGCGATGAGTTTGTGTAAAACATTCACCTGGCTGTCAACTTCTTGGTGTCATTGCTCAAGAAAAACTGGCAGAATGTCTGGGCCTTATATATCAAAAGCACCGTGGGCAAGCCCCAGCGCCTATATTACGGCACATTTGAATGAACTCTACTGCTACCAGAAAAAAAAAAAAAAAATCTCTATCAAATCTTGTTAACTAATCTTTGTGCTGTTAAATTTTGAGGCTTTGACCCCTGGGTACACCTATCTCATCTAAAAGGGGATACATGACTTCTATTGAATCTTAAATGTCAACCCTGGTATCTGACACTAAATTCAAGTTAACTGAAGCTTCATCTTCAGACCTGGGAGAAGATGACAGTCAAAATAAACTGCTTTCATATGACACTGGGCCAGTTAAATCATAACTATTGATTTAGTAATTTTTCCTTCATCTTAATATACTTTGTTCTATGCCTTAATGCCAGATAATTTGAATTGTCCAGATACCTATGAGTTTCCTTTTCCTGTCATTGTCAGAGCTAGGCTGCGCTTATGTCCTTTTTGTTTAAAACATTGCTTATTCTATACATGGCTTACAAAATGGGGTAGGACAACAAAGATTACCTTTCTCCTCTCTATCTGATATCTCTGAAGTTTAAAAACCATTTAGAATCCACTGAGCTTGATCTATTTTCATTGCTAATGCTCCACTGCTGAAACTGTATAAACACCTTCCCTCTAGGCCCAGCCACTATCACAGAAGAGGTGGAAATGTGAGACTGTAAGGGCCAAATTTGAGGGATAAAAATTATTGATGCTGCTTCTTGGTTGGTGAAAGAAAAATTAAGTTAGATCCTCTAAATCAAAGACAGGCCTACAGATGCTTAAATAGCTGGCAAAATAAGGGACTTTGCTTCCTGGGTCATTGTATGACCCCTTTTTAGCCATCCAAACCATAAAGAATTTCCTACTTCTCACAGAATTAAAAGAAAATTACTAAGAAGATATCAAGATACCTGGTTACAAAGCCTCCTGGGTGTAATGCCCCCAGTTATGAGGTTTATGCAGATAGATATATACAATTTTTTTAATCAGCCACCTTAGAACAAATTACTAAAAAGGCTGCAAAAAGCATTGTGGCACAACAGAAGTCTCAAAACTTAGCTTAAAGGTCTTAACAGAATGCCTGTGTTTTGTATAGCTAGTTGCCATAAGTATGTAACTAAAACCATGACATTAGCTCAATGCATGGAATTGATAGTTAAGTCAATTTTGTTACCTTGCCTTTTGACTTTTGGTTCTTGACTGTTATGTTACAACTCTCTGCATAATTCTGTAATTCTTTGCATTAGCCACACCAAAGTAGCCATTTCCTGAATCCCATTTTTTCTTATCTGTATGTCTGAGTGCAGTGAATTCTATAGCCTCAACACATTATATTGTAGGTTCATTTCAGAAAAATGTATTATCTCTATATACTTTTATCAAGCAGATGCTAGTTACATGGTTAGTATCCAATAAGTGCTGATTAAGTGAATGCATTCACAACCCAGTCAGAGATGAAGTGAGGCAAACAAATAAATAACACGCCATGACAGACTCTGAAATGGCCAGGCATACTAGGTATAATTGGAACACAAATGAAGAAGCCATTATTTGTGTCTCGGTGACCTGAAAAAAGGTTTCACAGAAAGGAGCATTTTAACAGAGATATAAAAATGAATTCAAATTTGTTTATGCTTCTCTAGGCCTATGTTGCCTTTCTTGGGGCATGAAAAGCACAAATTAGGATTGGGAATTGGGAATGAGCATGAGCTGGGGTGACCCCGGAGAGGGATGGAGGGGCTTCAGACCAGGGGTGGCTTCCAGGAGAGTGACAGGAGTAAAAATGTAAAAGTAGGTTAGGGCTTGAATTGATTACCCTTTTCAGACTTCTTGGCCTGTAGAAATCCTAAGAGCTCAAATGTTACCCCCTATGATGCATTCTCAGAAGTGTCAGTCAGAATTAATCCCGTTTTCTCTTTGCCAGGAGACAAAAACTAAATGTGCATTACAACAAGCAGTAAAAGAAACATGTTTTTAGGTCAACATTCGTTGTTTTCGTATCAGTTTCCTCCCTGAAGGAGAAGTGAAGGCTTTGTCTGTCTCATTTCTCACAGTGCCTGACTGAGGAGCTTGGCATACGTTTCCTGGGTGTTGAACAAATGCAGGGATTGGCTTTTCATTGCACGGGAGTGAAATTCAGTCCGAATTGTTTTGCTGCTCCTCAGACTCACCAGCTCTACAGCCTCCCACCTCATGGCAGCCAAGCCCATCCCTCCCTTCCTGTCCATCCGTTTTCATCCATGTCCCTGTCTCCTGGAAGCTTGTAGTTCCCACGCCAGAGACTGAAGCAGAGCAATCCTAATGGCTCAGTGTGACCTTTTTCCTGACTTCCTCAGTATTTGTTTATGCTGCAATCTGCAGTCTTCAGCCTGCCAGCCTGCCACGCTGGAGTCTGCCCCTTGGCCGAACCCTCTTTTCTTGCCCTTTGAAATTTTGGTTTCACCGTATCTAGCAGGCACCCTGGTGGCTGCTCCTCACATAGGAGGTCAACACTCCTGGAGGAAGCAGACTTTGTTCACTACCCTGGGGCTGGGCTGCTAGAGGCTGGTCACCACGGAATGCAGGGACAGCCCTCATTGGCTGTTCTTTCCTAGTCTTTGCTTCTCCCATCCCTCAGGGCTGGCCAGCCACACCCTGCATGGTGGTGTGGCCTGGAGTACCAGCTCAGTTTGTTTAATCTTTAACTTGTTTACAGACAAAATCTAATATGGTTTGGCTCTGTGTCCCCACCCAAATCTCAACTTGAATTGTAATCCCCATAATCCCCACGTGCTGAGGGAGAGACCCGGTGGGAGGTGATTGGATCATGGGGTGGTTCCCCCATGCTGTTCTTACGATAGTGAGTGAGTTCTCGTGAGATCTGATGGTTTTATAAGTGTTTTGCAGTTCCTCCTTCGCTCTCTCTCTTTCCTGCCACCGCGTGAAAAAGGTACTTGCTTCTCCTTTGCCTTCTGCCATGATTGTAGGTTTCCTGAGGCCTCCCCAGCCACTCAGAACTGTGAGTCAATTAAACCTCTTTCCTTTATAAATTACCCAGCCTTGGGTATTTCTTCATAGCAGTGTGAAAGCCGACTAATACAGAATCCCTTTCTTGGGGATGGACAAGACTGGGTGAAAGGGCAGGAAGAGTGACAAAGTCCCTACCCATCAGAGTGAGTGTGTGACTTGAGGATGCTTGGGTGTAAAGGGCTCTTTCTTAATTTGCAAACTGAGGGTGTTGGTGCCAAGTGTGTCTACAATTCCTTTCCCCCTCATATTTTTTTATGATTCTATGAATGCAACAAAGAGAGCATGTACTGGGGAAACAATGAGATAATTCATTGTTAGATTATTCCATTAAAAGGTTGAATTCAGTCAAGCCATTGCTTTATAACTGGTGCATTTCAAATCCATTGTTATTTCTGGTTCCCTTCCCCAAACTAATTTCCACCCCCTTCCTCTGACACCCACCCCCCATCACTAAAGGCATATGCCCACTTCTCCCTTGGTCTGCAGGGCTGACTAGCTGGTTGGGAGCAGCAGGAGCCAGGGAATCGCACAGGGAGGTTGACTCTCTCTCCCAGGGCCAGTGCTGTTCATGTCCATTTCCACCTCACACTAGGCGGCTACCACCAATTCAGGAGCCTGCTTGATGTGGGTGTGGAGTGGGGTAAAGTTGACCCCAGTAGCACAGCTATATGTAGATTCCCTTCCAAGAATAAAGCATATATTTATACCTCATGCCATCATTCAATAATAAGTTTTGAACGCTACTTTTGTCAGGCACTGTGCTAACAGAGCCTGGAATGATTCATTCATGTATCCAACAAATATTTACTGCATGCCTCCTGGATAAATGAAAAATGAGGCAGAGTCCCTGCCTACTGTGAACCTAGTTTAAACCTCCATGAGAAGGAGGGAAACTCCCTTCATGCTTATAATCTGCCCAGATCTCTATTCATTCTTGAGTCGTATGTGGACCTGCATATCTTTACTGAACCCCCTTGTAGACTGCCTGTGCTCATCGGGCAACATAATTTTGACCCCAGAAGTTTTTCACACTGATTATTCCACAAAAAAGCTGTCTTAAGGCATTTGATCATCTCCCCAAGTTTTCTTGCTTAAGAGAGATTTCAAAACCTCTATCTCTACACAGTCTGGCCAATAATCTTCTCTGATGAATAAGACAATACCACAGTACTGGTTTAGTTCTTGTCTTACTTGTCAGAGAAGATGACTAAACCCCTGGAAAATAATGAGATAATCTAAAGGAGTTAGATCATTTGCCAAGAAAAAAGAGAACAGGAAGCCCACACTTATTTGCCCATTCAAGGATTCATATCTTCCACCCCTTTAATAAAGCTCTGTAGAGTGTTGATTCATTTGAAAGCATTTTCAGGTTCTGTTAGAATGTATGGCATAACAACTCCCCCAAATCAGTGGCCTGATAGAGTGAAAGTTTAGTACTAATGATTAAATTGTAACTATTGCAGTTATTCTGAAAAACACATAGAAAAAAAAAACAAACTAATAATTATTTACAGAGAAAGCAGCTGGATGGTGTTACAGATCACCAAAACAGCATTTGAACTCACCGTTCCTTAAGTTTCTGAAAAACAGGATAGGTTCCTATTAAGAAGCTCACCTTCCTGCTGTTAGAATGAAATAATAGGTTGTCCAATTTGTTGGTGAATGGTTTTTCATAGTTGTCTCTTATGATCTTTGATTTCTGTGCTATCAATTATAATATCACTTCTTACATTTCTGATTTTGACCTTTCTTTTTTCTAGCTAAAATTTTGTCAGTTTGTTTTGCTTTTCAAAAAAACTCAACTTTTATTTTGGATGATATTTTCTGAAGTTTTTCTACTTTCTATTTCCTTTATATATTCTCTGATCTTTGTGATTTCTTTTCTTCTGCTAACTTTAGTCATAGGTTGTTCTTTTTTTAGTTCTGTGGGATGTAACATTAGTTTTTTCATTTGACAACTTTTCTTCTTTTTTCATATAGGTGTAATGCTATAAACTTCCCTTTTAGAGCTGCTTTTGTCTCAAGATATTTTTTAGTTTCCCCTTTAATTTCTTCATTGACCCGATCATTGTTTAGGAGCATATTGTTTAATTTCCACAAACTTGTTCATTTTCAATGACTCCTCCTGTTACTGATTTCTAGTTTCATACCAGTGTAGTCAGAAAAGATCATTGATATGATTTTGGTCTTCTCAAATTTGTTAAAACTTGTTTTGTGGCCTAACATATGGTCTTTGCTGGAGAGTGTTCTGTGTTACCTTGAGAAGATTCTGTTTGTGTTGGGTGGGATGTTCTGTGTATGTCTAGTAGGTCCATTTGGTCTAGAGTATCAAATTAAGTCTGATATAATTTGGTTGTTTGTCCCCCTAAATCTCATGTTAAATTGTACTCCCCAACATTGGAGGTGGGACCTGATGGGACATGAGTGAATCATGGGAGTGGATTGCTCATTAATGGTCTAGCACCATCCTCTTAGTGCCGTCCTTGCAATAGTGAGTGAGTTCTCGCAAGATCTGGTTGTTTAAAAGTGTGTCACACTTTCTCCTGTCTCTCTCTTGCTCCTATTGTGGCCGTGTGATGTGTCTGGTCCCAGTTCACCTTCTAGCATGAATAAAAGTTCTCTGAGGCCTCCCTAGAAGCCGAGCAGATCACAGTGCCATGCTTGTGTAGCCTGCAGAACTGTGAGCCAATTAAACCTCTTTTATTTATAAATCACTCAGTCTCAGGTATTCCTTTATAACAATGCAAGAGCAGCCTAACACAAAGTCTGATGTTTACTTCCTGGTTTTCCATCTGGATATCTCTTCATTGCTGAAAATGGGGTGTTGAAGTTGCCCACTATTACTGTATTGCAGTCTATCTCTCCTTTCAGATCTATTAATATTTGCTTCATACATTTAGGTGCTCTGATCTTGGGTGCATACAGGTTTACAATTAATATGTCCTCTTACAAAATCGACCCCTTTATTATTAGGTAATGACCTTTTTTTGTCTCTTTTTACAATTTTTGACATAAAGTCTATTTTATCTGATATAGCTCCTCTTGCTCTTTTCTGGATTCCCTTTGCGTGGAATATCTTTTTCTAACTCTCCACTTTCAGTCCATGTGTGTCCTTACAGGAAAAACAGGGTGTCTCTTGTAGGCAGCATAGAGTTGGGTCTTGTTTTTTCATCCATTCAACTACTCTGTGACTTGATTGGAGAATTAAATTCATTTATATTCACGTAATTACTGCTAGGTAAGAACTTACTAGTGCCATTTTGTTCATTGTTTTCTGGCTGTTTTGTAGATCCTTTGTTTGTTTCTTCCTTTCTTGCCTTCTTCCTTTGTGGTTTGATAACTTTCTGTAATGATATGAGTTGGATATTTTCTTTTGATGTTTTGTGTATGTTTTATAGACCTTTGCTTTGTTGTTATGCTGAGGCTTACAGAAAACACCTTATACATGTAACAGGCTATTTTAGGTGTTAGCAGCTTAATTTTGGGGATGGGTAGTGAATTGCTTTTTAAAATTGTCATTTATTTATTGATACATAATAATTGTACGTATTTATGGGGAACATGTGACATTTTGTTTCAACGTTTAATGATCAAGTCAGGGTAATAGGATATTTACCACCTTAAACATTTGTTATTTCATTGTGTTAGGAACATGCCAAATCTCTTGAAATATATGATAATTATTGTTAACCATGATCAACCTACTAGATGTGCTGTTGAATATCAGAATTTACTTCTTGTATCTAACGGTATTTTTATATCCATTACCAAACCTCTCTTCATCCCCCTATTCCCTACCCTTTCCAGCCTCTGGTAACCATAATTCTATTCACCATTTTCGTGGGATAACTTAATATGTGATATTTATCTTTAAGTTCTTGGCTTATTTCACTGAACATAATGCCCTCTGGTTCCATCATTGTTGTTGGGAAGGACTGGATTTCATTATATTTTATGACTGAATAATATTCCATTGTGAATATATACAGCATCCTTTCTTACCCATTCATCTGTTGATGGACATTTAGGCTGATTTCATATCTTGGGTATTGTGAATAATACTGATAACAATGTGATTTTAATCACATATATAAGCTCTACAGTTTTAATCCTCTTCCTCCTATGTTTTATGTTTTTGATGTCACAATTTACATCTTTTCAGCATTTGTATCCCTTAAGAAATTATTGTAGCTTTAGTCATTTTTAATCGTTTTGACCTTTAACCTTTATACTGAAGACATGATTGACTTACCCATTGTCATTACAGTGTTAGAGTGTACTGGATTTTAAAACAGTCTTACTTTTATCAGTAAGATTTATATTTTCATGTTACTAATTACCATTTTTCTCCATCTTGAAGAACTACCTTTGAAATTTTTACAATGCAAGTCTAGTGGTGATAAACTCTCAACTTTTGCTTGTCTGACGAAGTTTTTTCAATCCTTCATTTTTGAAAGACATGATTTCTGGGTATAGTATTCTTAGTTGGCTTCCCCCTACTAGGTCTTGAATATATCATCTTACTCCTTTCTGGCCTACAAGATTTTGGATGAAAAAATCTGCTGATACTATCACTGGGATTTCCTTGTACATAACAATTTGCATTTCTCTAGCTGCTTTAAAAACTCTCTCTTTGTCTTTAACTTTTGACAATTTGAGTATGATGTTTCTCAATGTATGCCTCTTTTGAGTCACCTTGTTTGGTGCTTTGAACTCCTTAAGTTAGTATTTCTATTTCCTTCTACAGGCTTGGGAAGTTTTCTTTCATTATCTCTTTGAATATGGTTAATGTCACTTTCTCTTTTCTGGTACATCAATAACACATATGATGTACAGCCTGACGCTGTTCCATACATCTCTTAAGTTATCTTCAGTATTTTTCATTCTTTTCTATTTTTGCTCCTCAGATTGGATGACTTTAACTGACTTGCTTTTGAGTTCACTGATCCTTTCTTCTGCTTGATCTAGCCTGCTGTTGAACCACTTTATTGGATTTTTCATTTCAGTTATAGTATTCTTCAGTGCTATAATTTCTGTTTGGTACTTCTTAAAAATTTTCTCTCTCTTCGTTGAAATTCTCAGTTTATTCTTACATTGCTCTCCTGACCTCAGTAAGCATCTTTATTATCTTTATTCTGAATTCCCTGTGAAGTAAATCACATATCTCCACATCACTTGGGTTGGATTTGGGAGATTTATATTGTTCTTAAATGGGAATATATATCCCTGTTTCCTCATTTTCTTTGACCTTCTGTGTTGGTTTCTACACATTAGATAACTGCCTCTGCCAGATTTTTTTAGTGAAAACGTATGTCTATTGATCCCTCCTGGAAAGGGTTTGTTCACATGATGAGCATTCCACTATTTCAACTTCCATCTGATATGACATCCTAAACCTCTTAGGTCTTGGAGTAGAGAGAAGTAGACATACGTAAGTCTCCCTAGATCACAGGAAAAAGTGGCGATTTTATACAGGTTTGTAAGCATTTCTAGGGACCTCATGCCCCAGGAGCAGTGCATAAAAGGGGCTTAAACATGCAGCTACCTGTTACTTCCTGGAATGGGTTTATGGCACACTGTTCCAGTGGCTACTTGGGGGTCTGGTTTCTAATGTGCATTGGGGAGAAAGGGGGCAGATAGCCGCCTGGTAGCCTCAGAAACACAATGGCTTTTCCAGAGCTTTCTCCCCTGGCTCACACTACTGATAAATCCAGGCCCATTAATCCCACCTGGAATGAGTTTGTCCTCATATTGAGTGCCCCACCTTTTATAGTTTTAACACAAGGGGCTGCATCCTAAACCTCCTAGCTCTGGGAGTAGAGAGGGCTAGGCATATACAACACTCTGTAGGCCACAGAAAAAAGTGGCAGTTTTATATGAGCGTGCACACACTTCCAGGGACTTCATTCAGTGGAGGAATGTAGAGAAGGGGCTCTAAAATGCAGTTCCCTGTTCATTCCCAAATGGGGTTTGAGCCATGCATTGAGTTCCCAAACTCTTATAGTTACCACTTGATTGACTGCATCCTAAAAACCTTCCAACTCTAGGAACGGGAGAATGCACACGTGAGTCTTTCTAGATTACAGAACAAATAGGTGGTTTTCAGTGGGAGTCTAAGCACTTCCAGGGGCTCCATCCCCAGAGTGCTGTTCAGAAAAGAGGCTGGAATGCACAGCTCCCATCTTCTTTCTAGAAGGGGTTTTCTGTACATTCTTTCAGTGACTATTTGACAGCCTGGCTTCTAATGAATTTGTATTAGTGAGCTAATAGAGTAGACAAACAGTAACCCTCCTGCAGTCTGAGTCACAGCATGGTACTTTCTGAGCCTTTCTTCTGGCTTACCCCAGTAATAAATCTAGTCCTATTCATGTTTTCTTGAAGAAGTTGTCTCACACATCAAGTGCGACAAATTCTATAGCTCCCATTAAAGACACTTTCTCCCAGTGACCTAGCTATCGGAGTCAGTGGGGCTTTGCATTCCTGAATATCCCTAAGCCTCAGAAAACAAACAGGTGGGCTCACTTCCAGTGGGTATCTCCCTAGGGTCAGAGGCTACCACCTGAATACCAATATACACGCTTGTCCCAGATCATCTGCCTTGCTTAATGCACAGAGAGTGGGAGATTAACACATACACACTCAGCTTCACTGTGAAGGTAGAGGAAATAGCATACACACTTAACACCTCAACCTTTCCAACTAGATCTTCTAACTTACTTGTCTCAGGGTTCTGACACGACATGGCATATCCTACTCTTCAGAGGGCCACCAAAAATAGAGACAACGTTTTGGACAAATGCAAAGAATCAACATCCACCTCAAAATCTTTAGCCAAATCAATTGGTGAGATTCTTTTCCTTCATTCATTTAGATTCCATTTGAAAAAGGTTAACATTGCATAGTAAAAGCAGAAGTCTTCAATCTGCAAGCTAAATTGTATATTTGAGTCTTTTTGAACATATTTTTGCTTTTCCCCCTATGTGACAGATATATTCAAGAAAAAAAATTGCATTTGGGTTACAGGATATTCATTGTGCAACATGACTTACTTGACTCATTGTATAAAACTGCATCATTTTCTTTGAGCCACATTTTGATCTGGTTTGAGTTTTTTGCCAGCATTTCCTCCATTGGCCTGATCTTGGTTGGAATATGAGAAAGTTCTTTCTGCTCGAGAGTACCAGAAGTGACGTGGCATTATTGCAAGACAGCAACATAGCTGAACAAGGCCCATCAGTAAGGAAGATGGCAAGCTTTCAAATATTGACATATCTCTTTCATTCTTTCTTCTCACTGAGACCAGGTCTCATACCCACCACTTCTTAGGAAATCCTTGATATTAGTCTGTTCTCATGCTGCTAATAAAGACATACCTGAGACTGGGTAAATTATAAAGAAAAAGAGGTTTAATGGACACACAGTTCCACATGGCTGGGGAGGCCTCACAGTTATGGCAGAAGGTGAAGGAGGAGCAAAGGTACATCTCTCATGGTGGCAGGCAAAAGAGTATGTGCAGGGGAACTGCCCTTTATAAAACCATCAGATCTTGTGAGACTTATTCACTATCATGAGAACAGCATGGGAGAAACGTGCACCCATGATTCAGTTACCTCCCACTGGGTCCCTCCCACAACATGTAGGGATTATGGGAACTACAATTCAAAATGAGATTTGGGTGGGGATACAGTCAAAGCATATCATTCACACTCGCCAGTATCTCCCAACTATTATATTGCTGTCTAAAATACTGATGCTCCAATGTATCTTATTTTCTTAACGAATATTTCTCCATTCTGGTCCCTGCTTTTCTCTTAAGCTTATTAAAATGATCACAAGTTGAAGAGAAAGAGAGTAACGTAAGAATCAGTCTGAAGTTTAAACTATAGCCCTGATACTGGAATCTACGAACAGAAAATCTGAGTTATGGATAAGTAAACATTCAGATTCTGAAACACAAGACACACGCTTAGATCCAGGGCATCTGATTTTCTATCAATATTTAATCAAGGAAGAAGCAGGCAGATGAAACTGGAGCCAGAATTTCAAACTGTAGGGAAATAAAGCAAGATGGAAGGAGAACTTTGATCAAATGCTGATCTAGTACTAAAACATTACTGACATTATTCATTCATCCATGTAGCAAATATTTTTTTGAAAGTTTACTCCAGGTCTGGCACTGAATTGTATAAATATTATCCTCATTTTATCTTTGAGAAATCAGAGCTACAGTTTTAAAAAATAATTCACCCAGTGTCCACAGGATTTCAAATCGAATTTATATACCAAAACCATGTTCTTTTTCTTATGGCAAAGTTTGGAAGAAAGTAAAAGAATATAACCAGGAGACAAGAGAAAGGATGAGAGGGAAGACTTTATTGAGGAAAAACACCTAGTCCCATAATAGCCTAAGTCTCCTAAAGAAAAACTTGAATTCACATTATATTATCCAACAATCTTTTCATATGCTTTATAGACAATTAGTTTTTCCGTAATATTCTATTCACTCATTTACCAGTAAAAATTTTCTATAAAGTCAACAAAAAACCCGCATTAAATATTTTCTCACACAAATCACTATGGTTCCCAAGATAATCACAGGTCATCCTTAAAATGCTTTTATGTTCATGAGTTTGAAAATGTGTGGTTATCATTCTTTAAAATGATGTTTAATGATATATGCTGGCATTTTTATTGGTGAAATGATTTGATATATAGAATTTTCCTCCAAATAATGTGAGGGTATAGAGGATATATGATAGGACATCGGTTGATAATTAGTGAGCTGGCTAATAAATGCACAAGGATTTATTTTGTTTCTTACTCTAAATAGTAAAAGATGAATCACCATGTTTGGGCATGAGTTTTCCCTCTAAGGATATATTAAACATATTCTTCAGTCATTCTTCAACTTCTTCCTATTTCAGAATTTAAAACTCTACGAGATCCATATTGTCCTTATAGCAGAATCTCCTACAGTTGAGAGTGAAGCCCACCAAGCAGTGCATACCTTCTGGGGTTTGCACAGAACAAAATAATGTGCTTGTAAATGGAGATGTTGGAGATGTCTACAGGTATGTACTCACAGACTCAAAATCTTCAATTGTTCAGGATTCAGGAGTAAAGGAGTAGATTTTTTTTTGTTATTTCTTTTCTTCCCGGAGATCAGAATTAAGAAAATCTTAGTTTGAAATGTGCTGACATCTTCTAAGGTGATCCAGGTAGCAGAATCCACTCTCTCTCTCAAGCAGAAAATGAGTGACACCTGAGGCTGATCCTTCCCAGAAATAAACCCCAGAGGCTGCCACATCTGGAAGGAGCTTCCAAACTGACCATCAGTGATGTGGTACTTGCCGTTAACGGTCACCTGCAGAAGAAGGTGAACCATGTCAGCGCTATATTTTTTGGCCAGAGGGATATAAACATTCCCTGCCAATATCGTGGTCTCAAAGCCAGTTGTGGTCAGAGCCCTTTACAGAAATCGATCAACCCAGAGACACCACCCACCCTGGGGGTCTTCTTATAACGTGATAAAAAAAAATGGACTTTAAGCCCTACTCCATGTGTTCCCCACAATGCATGCTAAAGTTCTCAGAGGGAACAGCTCAGACCTGTTGCTGAAGATAGCAGTTAATATTTCCAAGTTTAATTTGTTCCTAGAGTTCTTATAACCAGTTCTTTCAAAATATACTGTAATGTCCATGATCCCTTAAACAAGGAAAACAAAGACAAATAACATTACTTTTGCCCTTAGATTCCCTTGAGTAGGGTAATTATAGGTATAACATATTTTGAATATGTAAAAACACAATGATTATAAGTATCTGTCATAATAATTATTTTGTTAGTACTTTTATTGCATGAATTTCTCTTACATGCCTAAGTTCACTTTATAGTCTCAGAACCCTGTAAGAAAAGTACTATTGTACCTTCTGTCTCCCACCAACAATGTATAAGCATTCCTTTTTCTCTGCGTCCTTGCCAGCACATTATTGTTTGACTTTTTGATAATAGCCATTCTAACTCATGTGAAATGGTGTGTTACTGTGGTTTGGGTTTGCATTTCTCTAATGGTCAGTGAGGTTCAGCTTTTTTTCATATGTTGGTTGGCTGCATGCATGTCTTCTTTTGAAAAGCATGTGTTCATGCCCTTTGCCCAGATTTTCATGGGGTTGCTTGCTTTTTTCTTTTAAATTTAAGTTTCTTATAGATTCTGGATATTAGACCCTTGCTGGATGCATAGTTTGCAAATATTTTCTCCCACTCTGTAGGTTATCTGCTTACTCTATTGATAGTTTCTATTGCTGTGTACAAGCACTTTAGTTTGAGTCCCACTAATCAATTTTTTGTTTTGTTGCAATTGCTTTTGGCATCTTCAACAGAAAAGGTCTATGTCTAGAACGGTATTTCCTAGGTTTTCTTTCAGGGTTGTTATAGTTTTAGGTCTTACATTTAAATCTTTAACCCATCTTGAATGGATTTCTGTATATGGTATAGGAGGGGATCCGGTTTTCAATCTTCTGCATATGGCTAATTATTTCAGCACCATTTATTGACTTAAGTTTTCCTTTCCTCCATTGCTTGTTTTTGTCAGCTTTGTCAAAGATCAGATGGTTGTAGGTGTGTGGCTTCATTTCTGGGATCTGTATTCTGTTCCATTGTCTATGTGTCTATATTCGTACCGGTACCATGCTCTTTTGGTTACTGTGGACTTGTAGCATCGTTTGAACTCAGGTTATGTGATGCCTCCAGTTTTGTTCTTTGTGCTTAGAATTGCTTTGGCTGTTTGGGCTCTTTTTTGGTTCCTTATGAATTTTAGAATCGCTTTTTCTAGTTCTGTGCAGAATGTCATTGGTAGTTTGATAGGAATAACATTGAATCTGTAAAATGCTCTAGGCAGTAATGCCATTTTAACAATATTGATTTTTCCTATCCATGAGTATGGAATGCTTTTTTCCATTTGTTTGTGTCATCTCTGATTTCTTCAAGCAGTGTTTTGTAATTTTTTTTTTCTTTTTTTGAGATAGAGTCTCACTCTATCCCCCAGGCTGGAGTGCAGTGGTGTGATCTCGGCTCGCTGCAACCTCCACCTCCCAGATTCAAGCAATTCTCATGCCTCAGTCTCCTGAGTAGCTGGGATTACAGGTGCCTGTCACCACACCTGGCTGATTTTTGTATTTTTAGTAGAGGTGGGGTTTCACCGTGTTGGCCAGGCTGGCCCCAAACTCCTGACCTCAGGTGATCCACCCGCCTCATCCTCCCAAAGTGCTGGGATCACAGGTGTGAGCCACTGTGCCTGGCCTGTAATTCTTATTGCAGAGATCTTTTACCTTTCTCCTTAGCTGTATTCCTAGGTATGTTTTTCTTTTTGTGGTGATTGTGAATGGGATTGTGTTCCTGATTTGGCTCTGGGCCTGTTTTTTGTTGGTGTATAGGAATGCTTCTAATTTTTGTGCATTGATTTTGTATGCTGAGACTTCGCTGAAGTTTTTTTTTAATCAGCTTAAGGAGCTTTTGGGCTAAGACTATGGGGTTTTCTAGATATAGAATTGTGGCATCTGCAAACAGGGACTTTTTCTCTTTCTATTTGGATGCCTTTTATCTCTTTCTCATGCCTCAGTGCTCTGGCTAAGACTTCCAGTACTACGTTGAATAGGAGTGGTGAGAGTGGGCATCCTTGTCTTGTTCTGGTTTTCAAGGGGGAATACTTCCAGCTTTTGTGCAACCCGTATGATGTTGATTGTGGGTTTGTCATAGATAGCTCTTATTATTTAAAGATATGTTCCTTCAATGCCTAGATTGTTGAGGGTTTTAAACATGAATGGATGCTGAATTTTATCAAAAGCCTTTTCTGCATCTACTGAGATAATCATCTGGTTTTTGTTTTCAGTTCTGTTTATGTGATTAATCACATTTATTGATTTGCATATGTTGAAGAAACGTTGCATCCCTGGAATAAAGCCTATTTGATTGCTGTAGATTAGCTTTTTGATGTGTTGCTGGATTTGGTTTGCTAGTATTTTAGTGAGAATTTTTGCATCTGTTTTCATCAAGGATATTGGTATAATGTTTTCTTTATGGGTGTCATTGCACATGAGATGGGTCTCTTGAAGACAGCATACGGTTGGGTCGTGCTCTTTTATCCAAGTTGCCATTCTGTGCCTTTTAACTGGGGACAGTTAGCCCATTTACATTCAAGGTTAATATTGACATGTGTGGATTTGATCCTGTTGTTGTGTTGTTAGCTGGTTATTATTCAGACTTGATTGTGTGGTTGCTTTATAGTGTCAGTGGTCTATGTACTTAACTGTTTTTATGTGGCTGGTAATGGTCTTTCCTTTCCATATTTATCACTCCCCGTAGGACCTCTTGTAAAGCAGGTGTGAAGGTAATGAATTTCCTTAGCATTAGCTTGTCTGAAAAGTATCTTATTTCTCCTTTGCTTGGGAATCTTTGGCCAGATATGAAATTCTTGGTTGGAACTTCTTCTTTTTAAAGAATAGTGAATATAGGCTCCCAATCTCTTCTGGCTTGTAGGGTTTCTGTCCAAAGGTCTGCTTTTAGCCTGATGGGGTTCCCTTTGTAGGTGACCTGTCCTTTCTGTCTAGCTATCTTTAATATTTTTTCTTTCTTGTTGACCTTGGAGAACCTGATGACTATGTGTCTTGGGGATAGTTGTCTTGTGCAGTATCTCACAAAGGTTCTCTACATTTTTTAATTTGAATGTTGGCCTCTCTGGTGATGTTGGGGAAATTTTTGTGGCCAAGATTGTGAAATATGTTTTCCAAGTTGCTTGTTTTATCTCCCTCTCTTTCAAGGATGCCAGTGAGTCACAGATTTGGTCTCTACATAATCCCACATTTCTCCAAGGTTTTCTCCTTTTTTTCTTTATTTTTGTCTGAGTTAGTTTGTAGAACCAGTTTTTGAGCTCTGAGATTCTTTCCTCAGCTTGGTCTATTCTGCTGTTAATACTTGCAATTTTATTAGGAAATTCTTGTAGTGTGTTTTTCAGCTCTATCATTACAGTTTGTTTTTTTCTTAAAATGCCCATTTTATCTTCAGCTCTTGTATCATTTTTTGTTATAATCCTTAGATTCCTTAAATTGCATTTGACTTTCTCCTGAATCTCGATAATCTTTGTTCCTATTCATATTCTGAATTTTACGTTGGTAATTTCTGCCCTTTCCGCTGGTTAAGAAGCGTTTCTGGGGAAGTAGTACAGTCATTTAGAGGAAAGAAGACACTCTAGCTTTTTTAGTTGCCAGAGTTCTTGTGCTGGTTCTTTCTCATCTGTGTGGCTTTAACTCTGGTGTAATTTGAGTATAGTCAGTTAACTTCCTTTCTGGACATTTTCAGAGGACTAAAGCTTTGTCCTGGGTCTTTATTTGTAGCTGAATTCTTGTCCTTGGTTTCACAGAGTGGTATATTAGCAAAGTTTTTTGGATGTTGAAGTTTGGGCTGTGATCCAGTAGATGGTGCTTAAGTGTAATGTCCAGTAGGTAGGCTCTTGCTCAGCCTCATGGCTCCTCTGTATTTCCTCACATTTGCAGCCACGTTCCTTCTCAGTGTTTTGAAAGTGTGGGCTCCTTTCCCACTCAAGTTCTGGATGGAGATCTGGGCTTGGAACTCCTGGGCTGCACATCACAGCCCTAGGGCAAGCTCAGGCTTTATGTTTTCTCCCCAGCTTGGAGGCAGCAGGGGAAGGGACCTTGGTAGTGGCAATGAGCAAGGGCCTTTTACTTGTCTCTTGTGGCTTCACCCCAGAGAAGCACAAAGCCTCTACTACTTGGAGTGGTCAGCCAGGGCTGTGGTGTGTGTTGTGGGACCATGCTGGGGAGACCTCCCTTGTAATGAACAGGAGGCAGGGGTCTCACAGGGAAGACAGACTGGCCTCTTCTCCTCTCCTGCAGTGTGCTGGAGGTGTGAGTAAAGTACTTGGGGTCTTTGTTCCCTCCTCACTTTGAAGGCAGCAAGTGTAGTACCACTGCAGTAGCAGTGGCAGAGAGGCTTTCAGTTGCCTTTGGGAACTTCACCCCAAAGAAATGCAGAGCTGCTGCCAAAGGGAATGTTGAGCTGAGGGTGGGTTGGCTGTACTGTGAGCCTGAGCCAGGGGTCCTCTTTGAAGAGCAGGTGTTGGAGTCTCACAGGTAAGAGAGAGTGGGCTTCTCTCTGTGTGGTGACTGTGGTGTGCTGAATGCATGAGTAATGACCTCAGGGTCTTTATTCCTTCCCCAGTCTGAGGACAGCAATGGCAGAACTGCCTCAGTGGCAGTGGCAGAGTGGCTGTCAGTTTTCTCTGGAAGCTCCACCCCAGGGAAACGAAGAGCCACTACCAGTGGGAATGCTCAGTCAGGGGTGGAGTGGCTGCTCTGCAGTTCCAAGTTTGGGACCCTGCCTGGTGATAAGTAGGGTGTGGGGGCTCACAAGGAAGAGAGACAGTACTCCTCTCCATATGGTGTTTGCAGTGTGCTGGAGGTGCCAGTGACATGACCAGGCCTTTGGTTCCTTCCCCAGCCTGAGGGTAATAAGGGCAGTACCATTGCAGCTGTGATGGGCAAGGGGCTGTGGGTTGTCTCTGAGATTTCCTCCCCAAAGAAATGCAGAGCTGCTGCTGACTGAAGTGTTCAGGCAGGGCAGGGTGGTTGTACTGGTGGCCCAGGTTGAGAAGCCTGCTTAGTGAGGATTAATGGCCAGGGACCCATGTGGAAAACAGTCCGGCCACTTTTCTGTAAGCTGTGCTACACTGAGGGCCCACGTTAGTTCATAATCACTTTGCTCCTTTCCAAGACTGAGGGCAGCAGGATTGAGGGCTGCGGAGCAGTAAAACTGGTAGGTCCACCTGTTCCCTCTGGGAGCTCTGTCCCAGGAAAGTGTAAGGCTGCTACCGACCTGAGAGCTCAGGCAGGGCTGGGGTGGCCATGCTAGACTCCAAGGACAGTGGGCTTTGTCTGGATAGATGCAGGCAAAGCCTGCAGTATATCTGTTCATCAGCCCCATGGATTCAGCTTCTATCTTGGGGGCATGCAAGGGAGCCTAGCCTCCCCAACTACTAGAGCTGCAGCCACTGGTGCCAGAGTGCCCAGGGGTCCAAGGGACCAGGAATCCACCTGTAATAGTCCATTTTCATGCTGCTGATAAAGGCATACCTGAGATTGGGTAATTTATAAAGAAAAGGAGGTTTAATGGACTCACAGTTCCACGTGGTTGGGGTGGCCTCACGACCATGGCAGCGGGAAGGTGAGGGAAGAACAAAGGCACGTCTTACAAGGCCACAGGCAAAGAGAAAATGAGAGCCAAGTGAAAGGAGTTTCCCCTTATAAAACTATCAGATCTCATGAGACTTACTCACTACCATGAGAACAGTATGGGGGATTCCATGATTCAATTATCTCCCACTGGCTCCCTCCCACTGTATGTGGGAGTTATGGGAGCTACAATTCGAGATGGGATTTGGATGGAGACGGCCAAGCTATATCACCACCTGAGCTTGAGTGATGGCTCTGCCCACACACCACGTAGCTCTCTGTTTTAGTTTGGAGGCCCTGGTCGAGGGGGTAAGGGGGATCATGGGGGATCTCTCGAGCCCAGGGTTATAAAGGTTTGTGGCAGAAGTGTGGGTCCCAGAGGGTATTACTAACTCACCATTTCCACATGGTGAGGAGCCTACCCCTAACACTGTGCCAGTCTTGGGTGGACAGCTGCCCTGTCTCCCTCCAATACCTTCTCTGTAGGTCACATTGCTTCCCTGATGAATCCCAACATGTACACCTGGCTAATCCAGCTGAGGAGCTAGTGTTGACTAGTTTCTCTCCAGGAAAGAGGCATATACCAGCTGCTTCTAGTAAGCCATCTTAAACAATTTTGTTCAATTTTTATAGTTTTGATACCCACCAGTGAAAGTATGAGACTTAATTTAGGATTTGATTTTGAGGATGTTTGTCATAGATGTTAAAAAGCTCAAAACATTTGATTAAATCAGAACCATAGGTTATTATAAAATAACAATAATTCATTTAACCAGAATGATCATCAAAAGGCTTTAAAAGCAGTATAGGAAGTTACATGGATGTAAAAACCTTAACCCTTTTAAAGGTTGGTGATAGGGTTTAGCTGTGTCCCCACCCAAATCTCATCTTGAATTGTAGCTCCCACAATTCCCACATATTGTAGGAGGTACCCAGTGAGAGATAATTGAATCATGGGGCTGTTTCCCCCATACTATTCTTGTGATAATGAATAAGTCTCACAAGATCTGATGGTTTTATAAGGAGAAACCCCTTCTGTTTGGCTCTAATTCTCTCTCGTCTGCTGCCATGTAAGATGTGCCTTTTGCCTTCCACTATGATTGTGAGGCCTCCCCCGCCACGTGGGATTGTAAGTCCATTAAACCTCTTTTTCTTTATAAATTACCCAGTCTTGGGGATGTCTTTACCTGCAGTGTAAAAATGGACTATTAGAGTTAGTTTTTCTATGTAATTTTTAAAAACTAATAAAAACAACACAGAAGTGATCCTTACAAAAAGTCAAATCTTTGTTTCTTTAGGCTATTTACCAGAAAGATAAACAAAACCTCCTGCAATATGACTGGTTTTCCTTATGGAAAGTTCATTTAGATAACTTGAAAATCAAACCTGCTGAAAAGATAATTTGAATTAATCACACAAAGGAAGAATGTGCCCATAGTCATAAGTGAACTCTATATGATAGAGGAAACAAGAAACTAAACAACTGGCACCTTGAGCAGGGAAATATGTGACTCTTATCAACAGCATGGGAAGTTTCTTGGTTACATCAAACACCTTAAACACATGCTAGGGCTCAGAAAACGGTCCCCCAAAATGAAAGCCTCATTTCAGTCTTAGAAATGAAAGGTTCTTTGTCTTTCTGCCGTCTTATTTCTCAGTCCAGTTTTCCCTCAAAGCTGGCCATACAAACTAGAATCTCCCTTGCCCAAGGAAGGCCTTAGAAATCAGAACACCTTTTTCTCAAAACCATCCATGATGCCTAAAAATATTACTTAACTTTCCTCTACTTTCCTGTGTAAGAACTGGCCATAAAAAATTATATGACCTACCTTCTTGGACTGTAGGTTATAAGATCCCCATACCCTCAGTAGGAAGGAGTACATGCTCTGAGAGGTCAAGAGGGATCTGGACAGACAGGCATTTCTGGGTTTCCTCATTCAACCAATTAGCATTAGATTATGCCTTTTAGCTCAATCTTATTTTTACATCTGCCCATACCTTGTTGTACCTAAGCATAAGATGGACAATTTCCCCCATGTGTTTGAATCTTTATTCTGAAGACTCCAGCATACACACTCCAAACAAATCTGCATGCCTTCTCTTCAACTAATCTATCTTTTTTGAGTTGATTTTTCAGTGACCCTTCAGAGGGCCCCTAGCCCCTACTCATATTAAGAAAAACCAAGAGTACAGAATTAGGTCATAATGGAGGGAAATATTGCTTTGTTTTGAAGCTTTCTTTTGTAACAGGACACAGTTGGAGACACTGGTTGTTTTATCAAGGCTTTGACTGGAATGGCATAATTTTAAGAAACTGAGATTTGTTTATGAAACTGACAGAAGCCTTTTGGATAACACCGTCCCCATACCTTGTTCGTACAGTTTATTTACAAGTTCCTTTGCAGGTTTTTGAGTAAAGAATGTCACTTTCTGACAGGCACAGGCCCTGATGGTTGAATGCCATCAGGCACGAAGGTTGTTGAATGCCTGGCTTGAACTACAATCCAGAAGGATCTTTCAGATTGCCACTGCAATCTGAGGATGCCTCAGAGACATAGGAAAAACTAATCTATAGTGTCTCCCGCGTCCATGTGAAGAGCCCACCAAACAGGCTTTGTGTGAGCAACAAGGCTGTTTATTCCACCTGGGTGCAGGTGGGCTGAGTCCGAAAAGAGAGTCAGCAAAGGGTGGTGGGATTATCATTCATTCTTACAGGTTTTGGGATAGGCAGTAGAGTTAGGAGCAACGTTTTGCAGGCAGCGGGGTGGATCTCACAAAGTACATTCTCAAGGGTGGGGAGAATTACAAAGAACCGCTTCTTAAGGGTGGGGGAGATTACAAAGAACCTTCTTAAGGGTGGGGAAGATTACAAAGTACATTGATCAGTTAGGGTTGGGCAGAAACAAATCACAATGGTGGAATGTCATCAGTTAAGGCTATTTTCACTTCTTTTGTGGATCTTCAGTTGCGTCAGGCCATCTGGATGTATACATGCAGGTCATGGAGGATATGATGGCTTAGCTTGGGCTCAGAGGCCTGACATATAGACGGATTACTCCAGACAGTAACCTTTGTTTCTGTTCTCTTTCTATAGAAATGCCGCTTATTAGAAAGCTAATTGCCTACATCATATAAAGAGGCCTAGCGCATCTGCAGTGCCACCTCCTGGAATATGACATGACTTTAACTGAACTGACCTCTTCTCAGTACTAAAAGGCTTGCTGAAAACAGATATGAGAGGATCTATTTAAATTTGCTTTTTTTATATTATTCCCAGTTTGTTTTTCCATTCCTTTATCTGTTTTTCAATGCCTCTAACCCAAATCTCTCGAAAGCTATCAGCTTGGCTTTTTGTATGTGAGACTTGTTTGAGGTTTCAAAGTGGTGACTGAAGAAAATAAAAATATTTTACCACTAAATATATTTCTTTGACATATTTCAAAATGGCTGCCGCTTGGCCAGTAGGCAGAAGTGGCCTTGCAAAGCTGTCTTAAGTGGGGAAAATTTGCATTAGTGGAGAATCTCCATTCATGCACCCATGCCCCCCTCCCCTACATATGCCCTCCCTTAGATCCAGGAGAGATTGAGAATCTGACATCATTAAAGACGTGAAAAGAAACATTTGCTATCGATTCATGGTAAGGGATGTTTCATTTACATAAAGAGGCCACCTTTGCTAGCCTAGCTTCTTCTTTCTCTCTCTTTTAACCCGTGTTGCAACTAAACCTAATTTACCTGTTTCTGACCATGCACTGAGTCTGCACTCTTTACTGTGGCCTCAGACAGTATATGAGTTTCTATAAATCGTTGGGAAGTTGGTCTTCATCCTGAAGTTTCTTGTGTATACAAGTTAACAAATCTGTATGCCTTTTCTCCTATTAATCATGTCAGTGATTTTTAGTGAAACTTTAAGAGGCCAAGAGCCTCCTAAAGTGTGGCCCCCATACAAGCTATACATTGTTTGGCCCAAAAATGGTAGGACATGTCAAAGTGGGGGAGCTTACAAATCACAGGTGGATTAAAAGATTTTCATACTGGAAATCGGTTGGAAAGTTAAGCCTTGTCTAAAGACTTTAAGTCAGAAGGAAGAAATGCTTGTGTTAAGATAAGGGGGGTTGCGGAAGCCATGGTTCTTGTTATGTAAATGAAACCTCCAGGTAGCAGCCTTAGAGTAGAAAAAATAGATGGTAAATGTCTCTTTTCAGACCTTAAAGGTGTCAGGCTCTCATTTAATCTCTCCCAGATTTGGAAAAGGCCTGGAAAGGGAAGGAGATTGTCTACAGATACAAATTTTTCCACTTAAGGTAGCTTTGAAGGCCATTTCAAAATATGTCAAAGAAATGTATTTTGGTGTAAAATATGTTGATTTTTTCAGGGTCTGCTACCTGTCATGTGATGCTGTACGACAGTGATGTTGGAATTTGGTATCTTATTGCCGCAGAATCGTTTTTGCCCGTCTTATGATCTCTGTTTCAATGTTAATGATTCAACAGTTGTGCCTAAATTCCAAAAGGGAGGGGGTATAATGAGGCCTGTCTAACTTTCCTTCTCATTATGTCCTGGAATTTAGCTTTTCAGGTTTATCTGGGGTCTTCTTGGCCAGGAGGGAATCCATTCAGTCTGTTGGGGGGCCTAGGATTTTATTTTTGGTTTACACCTCGAGTTGAAAGTACACTGCAAATTACTTACCAAGCTCCGCTGACTTCAGTCAGCAATGTGGAACCAGGATGAATGCAATCCTTTCACTTCCTAGGCCTGCAGAAGAAATGCTCTCCCTTCCAAAGTCTGCAGAGGAAGTGCTGCCACTTCTGAAGTCTGAAAGTGAAGTGATCTCTTTAGATTTGCAACTGGTCCCAACTCCAGATTCTCATTAGAATCATCCCAGGAATCCCTGGGAAGTGTATAGTTGCAGGGCCCCAGGTTGCTGCTTTGGATCTCTTATTCAAATCCTTTCATTAAAAAGTGCAGAGAGTTATATTATGCGATGATCTCCATGATACATGCTGGGAGGGCTGTGCCCTTTTATTTCACCTGGTTTCTGCTATCTGGAAGCCTAATGCGAGACTTCCCATGTGTTACGTGGAAGGTGAGAGCTTGGGAAAAGTCCAGGAAAAGCAGAACCAATAACCTAGAGGAGGCAGAAGAGGAAGATGGAAGGTTTAGTCACATTTCAGGTTTATGGCACAGTTTATTAATCAATTTCTTTAAGGCCTCTATGTTTTTTTTTCTTCCTTTTATCTCTATTCCTTACTTCCACTCACCTCTCTACTCAAAGGTAGCATGTAATGTATCTGAAATAACTGCATGTATGATATGAGTATGACATGTTTTATGATTTTCATTTCGGCTTGTGTTTTTTATTTACATTAATGGCATTGATCCATAACTCTTGCTGTTTTGTATGCATTTCCCTCTAATATAAATATGTATTAATAACATAATATTTATAATATGTATGTTTTTTAATGGACACGTAATAATTGGACATATTGATGGGGTGCGATGTGATGTTCTGATACATGTATACATTGTGTCATGATGAAATCATGGTAATTAGCATGTTTGTCACCATAAACATTTATCATTTGTTGCAAAAACATTCAAAATCCTTCCTTCCAGCTATTTGCAATGCGCAACACATTATTTTTAGCTATAGTCACCCTATTGGGCAGCAGAGTACTAGAACTTATTCTTCCTCTGTGACTGTAACATTGTGCTTGTTGATCAGCCTCTCTCCATCTCCCTCACCCCCTTTTCTCCCTAGTCTGTGGTAACCACTATTCTACTCTTAACTTCTATGGTATGTTTTCTTCTGATTCCACATGAGTGAATTTGGCAGTTTTCATGGCATAATTATTACCTCGTGCTGTGCCTTCAGCACCTACTGTTCCAACACATGCCTCTGGTGTCCTGTATGAACTTGGCACTCTCTGTGGGAAGGCTTTTCTTTTTCTTTTGGCCTGTGCTTGAGCAGGTAGATGGATCTGCAAATTAAATCCACTGGGGACCACCCCTCAGCCCAGATGATGGGAATTGGAGACTAAATATCCTTGTTTTCTACAGGCTAAGGTGGGATTACTCTTAGGCATGTACAAAACTGCCTCCTGGTGCTGTCTAGTAGGATTATGCTCCCTTTCTTCACAGGCAACCTGCCAACAATGCACCTTTTTATTGATTCTCAAGCTGCCCTGGGTTCACTGTTCCACTCCCGCACTGGTGATTCCTTACATCATCTTCTAAATCAAAATAAGCCCCTGGAACACAAATCCTTGTCTTGGGCCTGCTTTTAGAGAAACCCAACCTAAGTCTCTTTAACTTACCAGTTCCACTTGTGAAGGACATTTGATTGCCTCCTACTCCTGGTTATTATAAACACTGATGTGATGAATGCGTTTCTAGACATCCTCTGCAGATTAGCAGAACTCGCTGGGATATATGTATTAGGAATGGGATCTGCGGAGGGGCAGATCATAGATGTACTTTTTCTTTTGGCACTGCCAGATTTCTGTCCTCTTGTGTAGAAGAATTCCTACTTTCCTCATATCCTGATTGACACTTGGTGTTAGCCACCTTCAAATGTTTGACAGTTTTATGTATCTAAGATGATAGCTCAGTGTTCTTTTCATTTTCACTTCTCTGATTCCCAGTGAATATGGGTGAATAAGTTCTTCGCATATCTATTGACCCTTCACATTTCCATTTGTGAATTATATGGCAAAGTTTTAAGAAAGAACTCCTTCTGCCAAATTACTCAGGATACATAGGTGAAGAGAAATGGATTAAAGTTCAGATCTTGCTAGAAAATCTTTGCCCAAGGTGGGGATGGGACAGGGGCAGAGGAAATAATTCCAGCATGTAGGATTGTGTTCTGGACCATTTTTGACACAGTATGGGAGAGGAATTGTCAATGGATTACAGTCATTTTTCTCCTTGATTGTTGGAAACTTGACGTCTGGAATTAAGATGTTACAATCCAGATTAGCACATGTATAATTCTGAGACAGACTCTATCATTATTGCCAAAGTAACAGAGATCCTTGTGGATGTCTAGTAAGCACTGTTATGGAAAACCATGAGATTCGGAGACTTACAGCTAAAACAGCGTGAGACCAGGGTGAAGAATTCTGGTGTCCAAGGGCCAGAACACTTGAGGTTGTAGGGTTGGGGTGTCAGTGGGCTTGAGAATACCCTGCAGCCTCCAGCAGGGTGGTCATCACAACTTTCAAGCCATAGTCTGACCACATCAAGGTTTTACATGCGGAAGGAAAGCAAAACTGGGGAATACTTGAACTGTCACTGAGCACTCCCTTACCATATAAGTAAGAGATACAGCAATAAGCTGGGGTAATAATAGTGATACCGAAAAGAAAAGCTCCCTCTTCACTGTGACATACGCAAGTTGAAAGCATGCTATTTGTGTTTTTAAACCACTTAAAGTGTTAGAGCTAGTTATGTCTTGTTTAAAGATTCTAACATGTGCCAACTCACTTTTATGTCAAAATTCTGTTTAGTAATTAATTCTTGGTCCACAAAGAGCAGAGAGTGGCACTGATGACATACTCCCAAAATTTCATGATTTTTTTTGCTCTTAACTATACGTTATTGAATTTCCTGGTTTTGTTTTTTATTTCTGAACATAAATGGATAATAAAGGTATATGCAACTAAAAAACAAAAACAAAACAAAAAACCTCCTTTATTTGTGCAAAGGCACAATAAAGAAAGGAGTAAAACCTCTCCCTTTCCTGAATGTCCCTGAAGAAGGGTTTGATGAGAGCACTGGCTCCAAAGTGAAGTTTTTTTTGTTTAATACATTTGTTTTAAAATCTGTTTACCAGGACTTCTGGTTTCTACTCCAACAAGTAAAGTTTGGGGTTATCCCTTCCATCTTGTTATCCAGGGGAAAACTGAATAAACTGAAATAAACAATCTTCTGAAATCCATCATAGAATGGAGGTCACAGGAAAACTACTGCCCTGAAAAGAGGAGAGACAGACAGGTAAATATACAGAGAGTGACAGTTTGTCCTCAATCTTAGGGAATAAAGCTCAGGATTAGAAAACCACAGTTGAAGCCAGTATTTTTGGGAACATGTAACTTAATTCATGAAAACCTGAGGCTCAGTGTAGACAAGCTTGAGAGTTTAAAAGTCTTAGGGGTTCAGTCTCAGGGGGGTCTTTACACTTTTGTGTTTTACCTCCAGGAGCCCTGCCAAGTTCTCACTGTGAAAATTGGAGTATAATCTCTTCATCCTTCTGGCAGAGGGAGGATAAAAATAACCACTGTAATGTAAGCCCAGAGCAGCCTGCCCTTACCCTCTCCTTCAAGGGGAATTACAAGAGCCTAACTAATGTGAGGTAAGAAAAACATTCAATCCATTCAACTCATCCTCCTCTAGCTTTCCTGCTTCACTTAAGTGGGGAGAAGCTGAGAAGCCCTTTCAAAGGTCACAGCCCAGGACACAGGCTCAGTGGAAGATAGCAACCCAATCATAAGACTATAGAATGCTGTTTTCCCCATACCTTACAACCACATCAACAGGACTACTGTAAATAATGGAGAATTACAATTGAAAAATTGAAAGTTTCAGAATTTATTTAAGAATGATTTCCTAGAGAAACCTGAAAACACAAGGGGTGACACAAAGACGCTAAGGGAAATTGAAGCCTCAGTCACCTGTGGGTACAATAAACAGTAAGCACAGTATAATTCCTAGCCAGATAAACATAACCGTCACACTAAAGGCCAATCTATGTCAGTACCTGTAACCCAAGATGTAATATCCAACTTCTAACATAAAATGACGTGAAATGCTAAAATATAAGAAAAGACAAGTTGAAACTAAGTATCATAATCTAATTCAGATATGGCAGAGATTTGAGGATTATCGTACGAGGAATTTAAAATAACAACGATTAATATGCTCAGGTCTCTAGTGGAAAAGTGGACAACATGCAAAATAGATGAATAATATAAGCATCTAGGTTAAAACTTAAAGAAGAAATCAAAAGTCAGTGTTAGAAATAAAAAACACTGTAGCAGAAAGAAAGAATGCTTTAGATGGGCTCACCATCATATTATACATGGACAAGGAAAGATTCAGTGACATTGAAGATATGTCAATAGAAAGTTCTCAAACTGAAATTCAAAGAGAGAGAAAAAAACCAGAGTATGCATGAACTGTGGAGTGATTTTAAGAGGTGAATATGTATACATATATATGTGTGTGTATATATGTATATGTGTGTGTGTATGTATATGTGTGTGCGTGTATATATACACATATATGTGTGTATGTATGTGTGTGTATATATATACATACAGACACATACACATATGAGTGTATGTATGTGTATGTATATATATACATACAGACACACACACACACATATGTTGCAGGACTTTTCCTTAGTTCACTAAAGACAGGGTCCTTGTTCCACGGCCATGAAAATTTAGGATCGTAGATGGTTTGAAGGGTGAGTAAAGCAGGGTTTTATTGGTAGAAAGGGAAGAAAAGGGGGAAACAGGACTCTCCACAAGGCCAGAGTCCCTGCTAGAGTGCTTCCTGCCTCACAGTTTAAATCCCAGATAGAAAGAGGAGGGGCCGGACTCCTCCCCACTGCAAAAAGCTCCACTTTTTGAGGCGCCACCCCAGTGTACAGGCTGATTGGAGTTTTTCTGGGAACCACTTTGCCCTTGGCTGTTTCACATATATGTGTGTGTGTGTGTGTGTGTGTGTGTGTGTGTGTGTGTGTGTGTGTGTATGATGGGAATGCCAGGAGGAGAAGAAAGAGAGAATGGATCAGACTAAATATTTGAAATAATAATGGGCAATTTATTTTCAAAAATTAAAACACCAAACCTCAGATCCAGCAATCTCAGAAATCAGCAAACAGGATAAGTATCTAATAATCTAAATAGAGGAATATTATATTAAAACTTTGGAAATTCAGTGACAAAGAGAAAATCCTATTTTGTTGTTTTTTATTTTTATTTTTTGTAGAGATGGGGGCTCATTATGTTGACCAGACTGGTCTCAAACTCCTGGCCTCAAGAAATTCTCCCACCTCACCCTCTCAAAATTCTAGGATTATAGGCATGAGCAATTATGCCTGAGCAAAGAGAAAATCTTAAAAGAAGTTGAGGGGGGTGGAAACCATTTTACATGCACAGGAAAAATGATAGAAATTACACTGGATTTCTTATCATAATGCATGGAACCAAGAAGAGGGTGGAGTGAAATATTTAAAATGTTGAAAAAATAAGCACACCAATCTACAATTGTGTATCCAGCAAAATTACTCTTCAAAAGATAAGAATAATTGGGATATTCATTACCTCAAACATTTATCATTTCTTTGTGTTGGGAGCATTCAAAGTCTCCTTTCTAGCTATTTTGAAATATACTATAAATTCTTGTTAACAGTAGTCACTCTATTACGCTATTGAACACTAGAACTTATTCCTTCTAGTTTAGCTACACTTTTGTACCCATTAGCTGACCTCTCTTCATCCCCCCATCCTTCCTACCCTTTCCAACCTCTGGTGGCCACCATTCTATTCACTACCTTTATGAGATTAATCTTTTAGTTTCCACATATGAGTGAGAATATGCAATATTTGTCTTTCTGTGCCTGGCCTATTTCACTTAATGTCATTCAATGCCATTCACATTGCTGCAAATGACAGGGTTTAATTCTTCCTTATGGCTGAAAAACATTCAATTTGTGTGTTTGTGTGTGTATATATATATGTATATCAGATTTTCTTTATCCATTAATCTGTGGATGGACACTTAGGTTGATTCCATCTCTTGGCTATTGTGACTAGTGATGCAATGAACACGGTGGTACAGATACCTTTTCAGTATACTGATTTCAGCTGGGCATGGACACTCATGCCTATAATCCCAGCAGGTTAGAAGACCAAGGTGGCAGGATTACTTGAGCTTAGCAGCTCAAGACCAGCCTGGGCAGCATAGTGAGACCCTGCCTCTACTAAAAGTCTGGAAAAGACTTATTTCTCTTTCATTTATGAAGCTTAGTTTTACAGGATGCAAAATTCTTGGCTGGCATTTTTTTTTCTTTAAGGAGGCTAAAAATAGGCCCTCAATATTTTACAGCTTATATGGTTTCTGCTAAGAAATCTGCTATTAGTCTGATGGGATTTCCTATATTGGTGATTTGACACTTCTCTCTAGGTGACTTTAAAATTCTTTTCTTTAGCATTGGCTTTCAATAGCCTAATGACTATATGCCTTGGCAATGTTCATGTTTTATAGTATCTTGCAGGTATTCTCTGAATTTCTTATATATAGATGTCTACCTCTATAGCAAGATCAGAGAAATTTTCAGGAATTATTCCCGCAAATATGCTTTCCAAATTTCTTACTTTTTCTTCTCTTTCAGGAATGTCTATAAATCATAGGCTTGGCCATATTACATATTCTCATGTTTTTTGAAGCCTTTGTTTTTAAAGTTTTGAATATTTTTAAATTCTTTTTTTTTTTTTTAATTTTTGGCTGACTGGGTTAATTCAAAACACCAGTCTTTGAGCTCTGAAATTCTTTCTTCCACTTGGTCTAGTGCATTGTTAAGGCTTTGAACTGCATTTTAAAATTTCTTCGGTGAATTTTTCATTTCCAGAAGTTCTGTTTCTCATGTGTGTGTGTGTGTGTGTGTGTTTGTTTGTTTTTGCGGTGGAGTCTTGCTCTGTCACCCAGGCTGGAGTGCAGTGGCGCTATCTCGGCTCACTGCAAGCTCTGTCTCCTGGGTTCATGCCATTCTCCTGCCTCAGACTCCCGAGTAGCTGGGACTACAGGCGCCCACCACCACGCCTGGCTAATGTGTTTGTTTGTTTGTCTGTTTGTTTGTTTGTTTTGTATTTTTAGTAGAGACGGGGTTTCACCGTGTTAGCCAGGATGGTCTCGATCTCCTGACCTCGTGATCCGCCCACCTCAGCCTCCCAAAATGCTGAGATTACAGGTGTAAGCCACCACACCTAGCCAGTTCTGTTTTCTTAAATAGAGCTGTTTTGTCTTACATATCCTGAATTATTTTTCTTGTTTCTTTAAGTTGATTTTCAAGTTTCTCCTGGATCTCACCGAGCATTTTTATAATCCATATTTTGAGTTTTCTATCTGTCACTTCAAAATTTTCATTTTGCTTAGGAGCCATTGCTACAGAACTAGTATGATCCTTTGGCAGTGGTGGGGGGCGGGGTGTAGCAATGCTATTTTTTTCATGGTTCCAGCGTTCTCATGCTGGTTCCTTCTTGTCTGAAGAAGCTGTTACTTCTTACTTTTGATTTTACTTTCATTTGGACGGGGCTCCACTCCTTGAGATTGTGATTGAAGTATATGTTGAGTAGGGTCCTTTAGTTTTCTTCTGAGTGCTGGTAGGGGGCCAAGACTCTGTATGAATTCTTTGGTTATAGATAACCTTAGCCTAGTGGTTTTTTTCAAATGATGATTGTCTCTAGGTTGTAGTAGCAGTATACTGGATATGTGAACAGGTTCACTGCATCCTTCACAAACAGGAGGTGGAGGTCTCAGGAACTTTATCTCATTTTGCTGTACTGTGCACTTCTGTCAACAAACACACTGGGCTGTATAGTTTGATCTCCAGGCCAGTAGATGGTGCTTGCGGATAAGAGCCAGCTCAGCACTGTGCGGTTGCGTTAGCAGAAATTGTGATGGGCTATGCAGGTTGACCTCACAGCCAGTAGGTCTTGCAGGAGAGGGTCAGCTGTGGTGGTGGCACTGGGATTTTGCTTGGCCTGTGTTAATCAGAAGAAGTATTCAAGTGTCCTAGGCAGTGGACAGGTGGGAAATTCCCAGGTGTCACCATACCATGCTCTGCCACTAAGGCAGTTGGAGGGGGCAAAGCTGAGCAGGGAAGGGTTGGGCAAGCCCATGACCTGGCTCCCTAAGGTCGGTCAAGTGTTCACCCTAGCAAGGGTCAAGGGACAGCTGTCGGATTGCTGGGGCAGCCCTCCAGGGAGTGGTGGAGGAGCTTCTGCACCAAGGGGCCCACACAGGGATAGAGGGGTACCCTGAAATCTGTAACCTAGCAGGCTGCAGTAGGACAAGCCCATCTCCCACAGCCGCAACTCAGTAGTTCTCCCTCCATTATCTGGTTACTGGCAGCCGGCCAGGTTGGCGAGGCTAGTTTCAAGCAGTCTTTGTTCAGATGGTGAAGCAACCCCAGGCTGTGAGACCCTTCCTGGGGCAGAAACCACAGCTCTTAGGCCACACCCTTCCCAGTTTGGTCCGGCCAAGGGAAGGACCTCCAGCTCCCACTTTGCAGCATGAACCCACACCACACTCTTCTCTCAGTCCTGGCAAAAGAGGCTACTCCCTTGCTAGAGATCAGATCACAAATCTTATCTCCATGACCCTGGATGGTATGCTTAAGTCCTGGACACAGAATCAGGCCAGTGGACTTCTCTGCCTTCTGACACTAACACTGGTTGTGCTAGGGAAGGATGGATTGCTCCCCTGTTTGCCAGCAGAACACTTGCAGGACGATGTTGCATATGTTTTGTGCCTGCCACCGGGAAGGTTGGGCCTCTCTCCATAGGAACTGCCAGGAGGCAGCTTCGGGGGAGACTGCCAGACATGGGATATGTAATCTGAATGTGCCTTGGTACTACAGCAATGGCAGTGGATCCTGTCCTGGGGGTGTATGAGAGCTCCCAGACTCCCCATCAGTATCCAGCCTGGTGGACAGCAGCGTCAGTGGCTGCCTCAGAGAAGGATGCAGAGCCTTGGGGGGTGGTTTCCCAGAGTGTCTTTTTACAATTTTAAAATTAGATTATTACTATTATTTTGCTATTGATTTCTTTGAGTTCTTTATATATTCTGGTTATTAATCCCTTGTTAGATGGATAGTTTTAAAATATTTTCTCTCATCCACTGTGTTTTCTCTTCACTGTGTTGATTGTTTTCTTTGCTGTGAAGAAACTTTTTAGTTTAAGCCCCATTTATCTATTTTTGTTTCTGTTGTCTATGCTTTTAAGGCCTTACTAAAAAAATCTTTGCCCAGACCGATGTTCTGAAGTGTTTCCTCAAAGGTTTCTTCTAGTAGTTTCATAGTTTCTGGTCTTAGATTTAAGCCTTTAATCAAATTTTTATTTAATTTTTGTATATGATGAGAGATACAGGTTTGATTTCATTTTCCTACTTATGAGTATTGTTTTCCCAGCACCAATGATTGAAGAAACTGTCCTTTCCGCATTGTACATTGTTTGCACCTTGGTCAAAAATGAGTTGGCTATAAATGTGTGATTTCATTTTTGGGTTTATTCTGTTCCATTGGTCTGTGTGTCTGTTTTGATGCCAGTAACATGTTGTTCTGGTTACTACAGCTTTGTAATATACTTTGAAGTCCAGCAGTGTGATGCCTACAGCTTTGTTCTTTTTTCTAAGCATTTCTTTGGCTATTCAGAATCTTTTGTTGTTCCATATGAGTTTTAGAATTTTTTTCTATTTCTGTGAAGAATATTGATATTTTGATAAAAATTGCGTTGAATCTGTTTATCATTTTGGGTAGTATGGACTGATTTTAACAATATCAGTATCAATTCTTCCAATTGATGAACATGGTATATCTTTTCATTTTGAGGTATGATTTTCAATTTTCTTCATCAATGTTTTCTAATTTTAGAGTTCTGTCACTTTTTTGGTAAAATTTATTTCTAGGTATTTTTTAAATCTCTTGTGAATGGATTTTTTTTAAATTTTGCTCTCTTGATTTCTTTGTCAAATTGTTCCCTATTGGCATATAGAAATGCTACTGATTTTTCTATGTTGATTTTGTATCCTGCAAACTTACTGAATTTATTACTTCAAATAGTTTTTTGGTGGAGTCTTTAGGTTTTTCTAAATATAAGAACATGTCATCTTCAAACAAGAACAATTTAACTTATTTTTTTTCCATTTGTATGCCTTTTATTTCTTTCTCTTATCTGATTGCCCTGGCTAGGATTTCTAGTACTATGTTGAATAAAAATGATGCAAGTAGTCATTCTTCTCCCATTCCAGATCTTAGAGGAAATGTTGTCAAGTTTTTTTTTTTGTTCAGCATGATGTTAGTTGTTGGTTTGTCATATATGGCCTTCGTTGTTTTGGGATATGTTCCTTCTATATACAGTTTGTTAAGTTTTTTTATTGAGAAAGGACGTCATATTTTATCGAATGCTTCCTTGGCACTTACTGAAATTATCATAGGCTTTTTGTCCTTCATTTTGTTAATGTGATGTATTGTGTTTATTGATTTGTGCATGTTGAACCATTCTTGCATCTCTGGGATGAACCCCACTTGATCAATGAAGAGTAATTTTTTAGAACATGTTGTTGAATTTGGTTTGTTAGTATTTTGTTAAGCATTTTTGTATATATGTCCATCAGGAATATTGGCATGTAGTTTTGTTTTTTCAATGTGTCATTGTCTGGCTTTGGTATCAGGGTAATGCTGGCCTTGTAGAATGTGTCTGAAAGTATTCCTTTTTCTTCAGCTTTGTGAAAGAGTTGTAAAATTGGTATTAGTTCTTTAGATGTTTAGTAGAATTCAGCAGTGAAATGATCAGGTCCTGGGCTTTGTTTTTGATGGAAGACTTTTGGGGAAAGGACTTTTTAATTACTATTTTAATCTTGTTCCCTGTTATTGGTCTTTTCAGACTTATTGATCCCTTTGTATTGTTATTTATTTTCAGTTTCATTTATTTCTTCTCTGATGTTAATTATTTCTTTCTATTCTTTGGTTTATTTCTGCTTTTCTAGTTCTTTGAGGTACCTAGTTTTGTTTTTTATTTAAAGTCTTTCCACTTTTTATGTAAATATTTATTGTTATAAGCTTCCCTCTTAAGGCTGTGTTTGCTATGCCTTAAAGGTATGTTATGTTTCTGTTTTTGCTTTAAGAAATTTTTACAACATTAAAAAAATTTGCTCATTGACTCATTGGTCATTCCGGAGTGATTTGTTTAATTAATATGTATTTTTGCAGTTTCCAAAGTTCTTCCTGTTATTGATTTCTAGTTTTATTCCATTGTGGTTAGAAAAGATATTTGATAGGATTTTACTTTTTTCAATTTATTGAGATTTGTTTTGTGTCCTAACATGTTCTAAAGTGAAGAATGTTCCGTGTGCTGATGATAAGAATGTGAATTCTGCAGCAGTTGGATGAAATGTGCAGTAAATGTCAGTTAGGTCCATTTGTACAGAGTGTAGTTTAATTCCAGTGTTTCCTTGTTGATTTCTGTCTGGATGATCTGTCATCCAGACAATGAAAGTGGGGTGTTGAAGTATCCTACATTATTGTATTGCAGTCTGTCCCTTTTGATCTTTCAATATTTGTTTTATATGTTTGGGTACACCAATGTCGATTGCAAATATATTTACAATTATTATATCCTTTTGCTTTTTTATCCATTTATCATTATATAATGACCTTATTTGTCTTTTTTTACTGTTTTTAATTTAAAATCTATTTTATCCTGTATAAGTATTCCTGCTCTCTTTTGTTTTCCATTTGCAAGGAATATCTTTTTCCATCTCTTCACTTTTAATCTATGTGTTTCTTTATAGGTGCAATGAGTTTCCTGTAGGCAATATGTAGCTGAGTGTTTTAGGGTTTTTTTTAATCCATTCCGTTACTTGATGTCTTTTAATTAGAAATGTATTCTATTTACCTTCAATGTTATTGATAGGTAAAGCTTTACTAGTGCCATTTTGTTATTCTTTTTCTTGTTGTTTTGTAACTCCACTCTTCCACTATTACTGTCTTCCTTTGTGGCTAAGTGAGTCTCTTGGGTAGTATGTTTTCATTCCTTGCTTTTTATTTTTAATGTATGTATTCTAGGTTTTTGCTTTCTGTTACAATGAGGCTTATAAAAAACCATCTTATAGTTACAACAAATCATTTTAAATTTATAACACCTTGGCTTTGATTATAAAGGAAGGAAAAGAAAGAAGACAAAGCAAAAACTAAATAACTCTATACTTTATCCTCCCACTTTTTGATTTTGTGTTGTCTCAATTTATAACTTTTTCATATTTCCTACCTGTATATCTGGGGTGGATCTGGAAGTGCCATGTGGGGGTAATGGTCTGGAATCTGATGCTTCAGGATTCTGCCTTGTTCTGTGTTTTACCAGAGCAGGGCTGGCACTAGGTTGCAAGGCCCCTGTACCCTTTCCACTCCTTCCCCCAAGCAGAAGGGGTGTCTCCTCTCTCCTGCACTTTCTGGAGCCAAGGGAGTAGTAACCTGGGCACCCTTGTGGCTGCAATAGGTAGTGTTGCACTGGGTCACACCCTGAATTTACAGCCTCTTAAAACAGTGCAGCACCAGGGCTTTCCCAAGTACCCCATTTGTTTGATGTGGCTGGCTGGCATTGAAATGTGTTTGGGTCCCTGAGGCTACTTTAGTCAGTCAATGGTGAAGCAGTCTGGGACTTGAGTTCCCCCCAAGAAGGGAATGCATTCTCCTCTGCCTGGAGCAGGTCTTAAATGCACTCTCTGCAGGAACTGGCCTGGAATCAAAGGCTGCAATATTCTGCCAGGTGCTATGTTCCACTGTGATGGAGCCAGCACTGAATTCCAGAGCTAAGTCTCACACACATGTCCATCTCCCCTCCACCTGCACACAAGTTCTCTCTTCATGCTGCCCTTGCCCTGCCTGTGGTTGAGGAACAGCAGTGTAGGCAATGAAAAACTTCCTATCTTCTTCAATATGTCTTTTCTTGTTATTATACTAAAAGCAGTTACTGTGATGTCTCACCTGATTTTTTTAACCTTGTACAGGTGCTTTTTTGCATGGATAGTTTTTCAATTTGGTGTTCCTGTGGGGACTATCTTGGAGGGCTCTATTTGTTCATCTTGCTTTGCCTCCTTTAAAAGATCTTTATAAAAAATAAAAATCTATCAACATATATGTTGCAAGTACTTTCATGGATTTTTATTTACCTTTTAATTTTTTTCTTAAAAAAATTTAATATGAAAGGCTAATATTTTATACAGTCAAATCAATCAGTCTTTCCTCAGCAATTCCTGTCTTTGGTGTCATATTTAGAAAGTCCATTGCTTTCCTGATAGTGCATAAATATTTACTTATATTTACCTTTCCATTTGGCTGAGTGATCCTCACGCTTTCATGATATTGGAATCATTTTCAGTCCTTTAACAAAATATAGCTGCCCAGGCAACACTAAAACCACTGGAATCATTATGTCTTATGATAAGGTCTAGGAATCTAAGCCTTGATAAAGCTGTCCAGATGACTTAAAAAATAAACTCCTTTTAAAAAATTATAGAAATACCCAATAAAAGCCAATATTTATTAATGTGTTTAGGACCATATTAAACCCATAGTAGTATAGACAAACAGACACAATAAAGCTTCATTAATGTGTAAATGTCTTTGCTTTCATGGAGCTTACCATCAAGAAGCTAAGATGGTTCTCATCAAATCATCACACAAAAAATAAAATTTTTCAAGTGTGATAAGCAATACGGAAGCTTAAAATGAGAGGTCCAGGGTGCCATGAGAGCTGAAAACAAGGAATCTGTCCTAACTTTAGGAAGGGAGCTCAGGGAATGTGTTTCTAGTGTTTTGAGATGAAGTCTGCAAGTCGTATAGGAAAATTGGAAAACGCTGTTCACTCAGAGGTTGGGATAAGCACATACCCCATGATCAATGAAACAAGTCCTAAGGAGAGACTGAAAAGAGGCCAGCACAACTATACTGCTGAGATCTTGGCTGGAGAGGTAGATAGGGGAAAAATCATGTGGGATCTCAGAGTCAGGAGAGGTGTTAGCCTTTTTTGTAGGTGCAATGGGAATCTATTGAGTTTTAAGTTGTGGTAAGGATTGGCATGTTCATACCTTTATTCTGAATAAGTCACTGCAGCAAACTATATGATCAGCCCATCATATATCCTGCCACTTCTTGATTTTATGGGATAGCCCTTTCACTGTGCTCCAGATGGCCTCTGATTCCTGGACATGCACATAATAATGTCCCTTCAGGGCACTTCAAAAGTCTCTGAATTACAGCATGCCTCTGGCTCATTTTCATCTAATTATCTTTTGTTAATTTACTGGGATTTATTGCTCCCAGACTGCAGCCAAAGTTCATGATGACCTTCATATTATTAAAAGACTTCATCAAGTCTCTCTTTCCTGCTGAATTTTCTCTCTTTTTTTTTTTTTTTTTTTTTTTTTGACCATTTCCTTGAGGGACCTTCAATACACTATAATAGTTGAGCTTTAACATACTGGGATCTCCTCTTTTATTTTTTACCTGCAAGATACAGTACTGTAACTCACATAACTTAAAAAAAACATTGTGGTAAGAACATGTAACATGAAATCTATCATCTTAACAAATTTTGAAGTGTTCAATACAGTATTGTATTGTTAACTATAGGCATGATATTAAATAGCAGATTTGTAGAATGTATTCATCTTGCATAACTAAAGCTTTATCCCTGCTGAAAAGCAACTCTACATAGCCTCCTTCCCCCTGCCCATAGGAATCACCATTCTACTCTCTGCTTTTTATGAGTTTGATTATTTTAAATATTCATATAATTAGAATCATGTGGCTTTGCCCTTCCATGTCTGGTTTACTTCACTTAGCATAATATACTTCAAGTTTATTCATGTTGTCACGTATGGTAGGAGCCCTTATTTTTTATGGCTTAATAATATTCCATTGTATTTGCATACTACATTTTATTTATCCATTATTCAACAATGAATATTTAGGTTGACTCGAGTTAATAATGCTGCAATGAACATAGGAGTGCAAATATCTATTCCAGATTCTCATTTCAATTCTTTTGGAAAAATACCCAGAAGTGGGATTGCTGAATCATATTGTAATTCTATTTTTAACTTTTTGATGATTTTCTATGCTGTTTTCCATACTGGCTGCACCATTTTACATTTCAACTAACAATGTAGAAGTGTTCCAATTTCTCCGCATCCTTGCCAACACTTTTTATATTTTCTTTGTTTTTATTATTATTATAGCCATCCTAACAGGCATGAGGTGGTATTTCATTGTGACTTTGATTTGCATTTCCCTGATGATTAGTAATGTTGAGCATTTTTT